>NC_000003.12:52737272-53040303 GCF_000001405.40 Homo sapiens
AAGTGTCCAAGACCTAAAAGGGCTGAAACCAAAAAAACTCTTAGAAGAAAATATAAAAATAAATCTTCATGACTTCAGATTTGGCAGTGCGGACCATGGGGAGTGACTGCTAACAGGTGCAGGGCTTCTTGGGGCGTAATGAAAATGTTCTAATATCGATTGTGGTAATGACTGTACAATGTTGTAAACACATTAAAAACCACTGAATTATACACTTTAGATGAGTGAATTGTTATGTGTGATTTATATTTCAAAAGGTTGTTTAAAAAATTCTATAACATAAGCATCTTGATACAGTTAATGAGACACTCACCTCTCTATCAAATTCATCCTCCTCCTCCAAAAGATCATACACCTGCTCTAAAAGCTGAACTCCCAGGCCACGAATTACATCAGTTCTCAAGACTTCAACTAGTCTCCTGATCTTTTCAGAACCTGGCATAATAGCTAAAAGGCAACAACAAAGACAAAGGGAAAAATAAACACTTTTACCACTATAGCAAGAACACTGCAATTTTTTAAAATTTTGTATTTTATTTTATTTATTTATTTTATTTTTGAGACGGAGTCTTGCTCTGTCGCCCAGGCTGGAGTGCAGTGGCACGATCTCAGCTCACTGCAAGCTCCACCCCCTAGGTTCATGCCATTCTCCTGCCTCAGCCTCCCGACTATTTGGGACTACAGGGGCCCACCACCACACCCAGCTAATTTTTTGTATTTTTAGTAGACACAGGGTTTCACTGTGTTAGCCAGGATGGTCTTGATCTCCTGACCTCGTGACCCACCCACCTCAGCCTCCCAAAGTGCTGGGATTACAGGCATGAGCCACTGCACCCGGCCTATTTTTTTTTTTTAAGTGACAGGGTCTTGCACTGTCATAGGGATGTAGTGCAGTGTGACCATAGCTCACTATAGCCTCTAATTCCTGGGCTCAAGCAATCACCCTGCCTCAGCCTTCCAAGTAACCAGAACTACAGGAATGCACTACCATGTCCAACTAATTCTTAAATTTTTTGCAGTGATGGGGTCTATGTTGTCCCGGTTGGTCTTGAACTCCTGGCCTCAAGCAATCCTCCCACCTTGGCCTCCCAAAGCAATGAGATTACAGGCATGATGATACCACACCAAGCCTTTTTTTTTTTTTTTTGGTATTTTATTTTATTATTTTATTTTTATTTCATTTCATCTGATTTTTTGAGACAGGATCTTGCTCTGTCGCTCAGGCTGGAGTGCAGTGGCATGCTCATGGCTCACTGCAGCCTCAACCTCCTGGGTTCAAGAAATCCTCTTACCTCAGCCGCCTGAGTAGCTGGGACTACAGGCATGAGCCACTATGCCTGGCTAATTTTTGTATTTTTTGTAGACACAAGTTTTCATCATGTTGCCCAGGCTGGTCTCAAACTCTTGGACTCAAGCAATCTGCCCTCCTCAGCCTCCCAAAGTATAGGCATGAGCCACCGTACCCAGCAGGGCTGTTTTTTTAAAAATCTTGTTATACTGACATTCTTTTTTCCCTCTGACAAGAGTTTGGTTTAATGACTTAAAATTTACATATGAACTTAAGCTTCACTACCATCTCTTAAACCTAAAAAACACCACAACTGTCTAACTTGAAGAAAAGTCACATGAAAAACCACAAACATTTATCTATTTATTTTTAAAAATTAATTTTCATGTAACTTTTCAGGAATACCTCTGTTGCAAAACACAGGATATACCTTTTATGGAGATATGCAAATGAAATAATTTTAAAAACACAAAAAAATTTATAGGCATTAGTTCCTTGTTTTGACACAGTTCTCCAATAAACACATGCTCTCCAGTTTGCTGTAAAAGAATAAACTAGGCCAGGCATGGTGGCTCACACCTGTAATCCCAACACTTTGGGAGGCCAAGGTGGGAGGATCACCTTAAGTCAGGAGTTCAATACCAGCCTGGCCAAATGGTGAAACCCCGCCTCTACCAAAAATACAAAAATTACCCGGGCATGGTGGTGCATGCCTGTAGTCCCAGCTACTTGGGAGGCTGAAGCAGGAGAATCGCTTGAACCCGGGAGGCAAAGGTTGCAGTGAGCCAAGATCACACTACTGCACTCCAGCCTGGGTGACAGAGTGAGACTCCGTCTAAAAAACAAAAAATAATAATAAGCTGATCACCTGAAGGTAGCTCTTTAAAATGGATTTCCTCTGCCTCTTCTGCAACCTTCCCATGAAGTATCAGTGTGTCCCGATATTTCCGATGAAGTTTGAATTCTGACACTGGGTTTGCTACCGGGACATCTTCACAGCTCTCTTTAGAATCCAGTTTCAGGGTCTGAGTCATCAATTGTACCAAGGCATTAATTTCATTTGTCTGACCTTTCCTGGGGGAAAAAAATATCCCTTTGTTATTTAATTGGCTTCATGAGAATTTTTCATTAAAAAATTACGTGCAAAACGACCTTTCGGGAATTATCCTTTGAAATGTCCAAGTAAGTTCCTACAGACTGACCTGACCCTTCCACAAATAACAACTATAAACTCTAGAAAAAATACAAAACTCAACAACGTAAAGGGAATGCAGAATAAACAAAATCTGCAGGCAGATCTTGGAGAAGAGTCAACACCTTTAAGCCTAAGAGCAGGCCATAGGCAGATCAAAGTACAAGAGAACTCACAATCTTGTGGGCCTACAGAAAGGACAGAGTTCAGAACAACCACTGTCACTAGAAAGTGAGACAGGAACCTTGGAGACAGTCTAAAAGAAACAGCCCCAGATTCTGTGTACAAATTCTGCCTATTTCAAAGTAACTTAACTATACTCAAGTACAAAGCTCAAGAATATTTAAAGAAACACAAAATACCAGCTTCCAATGAGGTAAAATTCAGTGTCTAGCATCCCATCAAAAATAACCAGATGGGCAAAGAAGCAGGAAAATATCATACATTTGTGAAGAGAAAGAAATCAGTTAATAGAAACATATCCAAAAGTGACACGACTGATAGAATTAATAAATGAGGACATTAAAATGGGTAGTATAAATATCTTCCATATGGCCAAGGTAGAAGAAAACATGAACATGTTAAAGAGAGACACAAAGACATTAAAAAAAGACCCAAATCAAATTTCTAGAAATGAAAGATACAATATATTAAATACACGGGATAGGATTAACAGATTAGACACTGCAGAAGAAAAGATTAATGAACTCAAAGACATAGCAATAGAATCTATGAAATGTGAAACAGAAAAAAAGTAAAAACAGGCCAGGTGCAGTGGCTCATGCCTGTAATACCAGCAGTCTGGGAGGCCGAGGTGGGCGGATCACCTGAGGTCAGGAGTTCGAGACCAGCCTTGCCAATATGGTGAAACCCAGTCTCTACCAAAAATACAAAAATGTAGCTGGGCGAGTGCCTGTAATCCCAGCTACTCGGCGGGGCTGAGACAGGAGAATACCTTGAACTCAGGAGGCAGAGGTTGCAGTGAGCCAAAATCATGCCACTGCACTCCAGTCTAGATGACAGAGTTAGACTCTGTCTCAAAAAATAAATAAATAAAATAAAATATATTTTTAAAAAGTAAAAATAAACAGAGCATCAGTGAGCTGTGGCACATATTTAAGGAGCCTAATATACATGTAATTGGAATCCCTAAGAGGGCAGGAAGAAGTCCAAAAAAAAAATGTGAAGAAATAATGGCCAGGCGGGGCGTGGTGGCTCACGCCTGTAATCCCAGCACTTTGGGAGGCCGAGGTGGGCAGATCACGAGGTCAGGAGATCGAGACCATCCTGGCTAACACGGTGAAACGCCATCTCTACTAAAAAAATACAAAAAACTAGCCGGGCATGGTGGCGGACGCCTGTGGTCCCAGCTACTTGGGAGGCTGAGTCAGGAGAACGGTGTGAACCCGGGAGGCGGAGCTTGCAGTGAGCGGAGATTGTGCCACTGCACTCCAGCCTGGGCAACAAGAGCGAAACTCCGTCTCAAAAAAAAAAAAAAAAAAAAAAGAAGAGACACTTTTAGCTCCAGCATATGCCACAAACCATTTATAATTTTATCAGTGGGAATACTAGAGATCTAAATACTACTGAAAATGCACATTTAATATTCATTAAAACAGAAATAGTTTATAAAGGGAGACAGAAAAACAAGAACTTACCCTTCCCCGTAATCCCCATCTGACTTATCAGTTGAACTTGTAGAAGAACTTAACTCATCCTCAGACAGACAATGAATCTGTTTCCTTTCCTATTAAATGTTTGGAAGAATTAAAATTCTACATGACAACACAACCAGAATGTGATACTTGAACCAGTCTTAGATGCAACAACTAGACACAATACGTTCCTAGGTGCAATATAACAGGAGAATCTAACAAATACAAAAATTGTTCCCATATGATTTGTGGCAAAAAGAAAAAAACATTGAAGTGATTTTACCCGTGATATCCCAGTTCACTCATAAAGTCCACAAGAATAACTGAAGAACATCAGATGAAGTTTTTTATTTTGTTTGTTTTTTTTTTGTTTTGATTTTTGTGTTTTTTTGAGACAGAGTCTTGCTCTGTCGCCAGGCTAGAGTGCAGTGGCACGATCTCGGCTCACAGCAACTTCCGACTCTCTGGTTCAAGTGATTTTCCTGCCTCAGCCTCCCGAGTAGCTGGGATTACAGGCACGTGCCGCAACGCCCAGCTAATTTTTGTATTTTTAGTAGAGACAGGGTTTCACCATGTTGGCCAGGCTGGTCTCCAACTCTTGACCTCATGATCCGCCTGCCTCAGCCTCCCAAAGTGCCGGGATTACAGGCATGAGCTACCGCGCCTGCCCAAGGTGAAGTTTTACAAAGGTCCTGGAGAGTCTCAGCTGTGAAGAAATTTCCAGAGGACAGTGGATGGCTAGTTCTGGTTTATCAACTCCTAAGCAGAAGGCTTGTTCTATAGGAATGTTGGCATTTTAAATTACCTAGGCAAACTCAGCTTGTCTTTTTTTTTTTCTTTTTTTTGGATACAGGGGTGTCACTATGTTGTCCAGGCTGGCCACAAACTCCTGGGCTCAAGCAATCCTCCTTCCTTGGCCTCCCAAGTAGCTGAGATAACACCCACAAGCCACCATGCCCAGCTTCAGCTTGCTCTTAATGTGAGACTGTTAAAGTGCTTTAAAGGATCACCTAAAAATACACATAAACCTTACAACTCTGAGATATGGAAGGCAGCCTCTATTAGTGAAATAACTAAATGATATAGTTAAAGAAATAATACATCCAATACTTTCAAAGAACAGGAAGAATTCCCAGAGTATTATACAGAGAGGTGAACATGGGTTAGAAACCTAGTAATTACCCATTTAGCCACCAGATGGTGTCCCTACATCATCTACAGGCAAGAAGGTAAACTACATTGACACAAATAAGAAACTGAGGAATGATTAGCAAGTGAGACTCAAATCTGGCGACACAGATGGGTATGTTGGTATCACAGCAGATTGAGCAAAGTGCTGCCTAGTGCAAGCCCTTAGAAAGTTCTGTTATTTATTTACTTATTTATTTATTTATATTTTTGAGACAGAGTCTTGCTCTGTCACCTAGGCTAAAGCACAGTGGTGTGAACACAACTCACTGTAGCCTCAACCTCTTGGGCTCAAGTGATCCTTCCACCTCAGCCTCCCGAGTGGCTGGGACTACAGGTGTGCGCCACCTTGCCAGGTAATTTTTTTTTCTTAGAGACAGGGTCCAACTATATTGCCCAGATTGATCTCAAACTCCTGGGCTAAAGCAATCTTCTCACCTTGGCCTCCCAAAGTGCTAGTATTATAAGCGTGAGCCACTGCATCAGGCCAGGAAGTCCTGTTAAGACCAACCTATGAAATATTTTTAATTAGGCTATCAATTGTTTACAAGAGTACCTGAAAAATTTATTCCCTTAATGGGTCAATCATAATCCTTTTGACTATTATTTACCAGTTCCTTTCTTTATCAAGAGTGAAAAGATATAACAAGCTGGCCCTGTCCCAAAAATAAATGGAGCTGACATTTAAAAGGTTTACTGCATTAGGCCTGCCAGATGTAGACTGTCCACCTTCTCTCTTAGGAGTACGTAATGCACCTGAGTGACGCTGCAGTCAGAGGAGAGCCGTCGGGCAGGCAAGGGCTGGTCTTCTTCCTGGGGTTTTCCTGGCCCTGCTACACTCAGAGACGCTTTCCTCACTGAAGGGCCTGAAAAGGCAAACATCCCCAGTAGTTGTTTGTGGTGGGCTGCCCCAGTTGAAAAGGGCTTTGTATTTGGTATGGAACATACCCCAGCAGGAGCTAGCCCAAAAGTAAGTCAAACAGCATATTTATCATTTCTCTGGTGTCTGACACCTCAGTTGAAATCTTAGCTCTAGGTCCACCAGCTCTGTGACCTTGGGCAAGTTACTTAACTCCTCAGAGCCTCTGTTTCCTTAGCTGCAAAATGAGGATAATGCTGCATATTTTGGCAGTACTGTAAATGTGAAATGAGATAATACCCTTAATATGTTTACCATAATGCCTAAGACATGGTCAGCATTCAATAAATGGAAACTGCTAGTACTATCTTTAAAAAATATTAAAAAGAATGATAGCCCTCAGCCTACGGCAGCACCACTCCCCAAGCAACCTCCCTCTGTTCCTAAGATGGGAGCAATTCACTGAACAGTGGACACTGGACATGGAAAAAAGTTAAACATTCACTTGATTTCTGGTCTGAAACCTCCCAGGACTTACTGCCACTCAAAGCCCTCTTGTTATTTCTTTAATATCCCCCTCCTCTGATATTTGAACCACATTCAACACCCTATGATGATTTCTTAAAAGACTTGACTAAGAAATTTCAAAATCTTTTCCAACTCGATTTCCTACATGTTTTACTGCTGCTGGAAAGTTTCAACCTCTCATAGTTAGAACCAGTGTTTCTGTCCACGAACCATACCCCTAACTGCCAATTAGATGAAGAAAAGAAGTCAACTTTACCTGAAGAGGACATTTCTTCCTGTGACTGCTTTAGTCGCCTCCTCTCTCTGGCTGATAATGGTCGATCCTTTAAAAGAAAGTCACAGAGTCACTTCCATTCCTACTTGCTATTTTTATAACACCTACAATCCATGATGTATCATTCAGCATTAAGAAAAAGGTCTGAGCTGGATGCGGTGGCTCACACTTGTAATCCCAGCACTCTGGGAGGCTGGGGTGGGCAGATCACCAGGTCAGGAGTTCGAGGCCAGACTGGCCAACATGGTGAAACCCCGTCTCTACTAAAAATACAAAAATTAGCCGAGCATGGTGGTGCGTGCCTGTAATCCCAGCTACTCGGGAGGCTGAGGCAGGAGAATTGCTTGAACCTGGGAGGCGGTGGTTGCAATGAGCTGAGATCGCGCCATTGCACTCCAGCCTGGGTGACAGAGCAAGACTCCATCTCAAAAAAAAAAAAAAAAGAAAAAGGTCTTACTCCAGCCTGGGTGACACAGCAAGACCAAAAAAAAAAAAGGTCTTGCGCTGGACTTAGAGGAGTGTCCATTGGAAACCAGCCCACAGCAGGGTTATAGCTACTAGTGAAAAATGATCACAATGATCACAGCCCTCGTTTCTGGGAGGTGCTCATTTTTGGAAGGGCAAATGGGGACTTTCACATTTGCCATATTCGGAATCTACTTGGTTTCTTTTTTTTTGAGATGCAGTCTCGCTCTGTAGCCCAGGCTGGAGTGCAGTGGCCCTATCTCAGCTCACTGCAAGCTCTGCCTCCCAGGTACACGCCATTCTCCTGCCTCAGCCTCTCGAATAGCTGGGACTACAGGCGCCCACCACAACGCCCGGCTAATTTTATTTTTGTATTTTTAGTAGAGATGGGGTTTCACTGTGTTAGCCAGGATGGTCTCGATCTCCTGACCTTGTGATCTGCCCACCTCGGCCTCCCAAAGTGCTGGGATTACAGGCGTGAGCCACCGCACCTGGCCTACTTGGTTTCTTTAATTCACTGGAAGTGACCATCTCTGAAACCACAGAATCTGTCCATTTCAATCAAAGATTCTGCTGAGGCCGGGTGCGGTGGTTCATACCTGTAATCCTAGCACTTTGGGAGGCCAAGGCAGGCGGATCATCTGAGGTCAGGAGTTTGAGACAAGCCTGGCCAAATGGTGTAACCCTATCTCTACTAAAATACAAAAATTAGCCGAGCATGGTGGCTGGCACCTGTAGTTCCAGCTACTCAGGAGGCTGAGGCAGGAGAATTGCTTGAACCCAGGAGGCGGAGATTGTAGTGAGCCAAGATTGTGCCACTGCACTCCAGCCTGGGCAACAGAGCGAGACTCCACCTCAAAAAAAAAAAAAGATTCTGCTGAGATCACATCTGTCCCATCTGTTCCTTCCAGTGTTTGGCAAGAAGCAGAGCTAAGATGTTTTAATACAAAACTTCATAATATACACAAGACTTTACAAACAAAAAGCTTTATAAGAAGGTTTTGGAGGGTTTCTGCTTTAAGACAGGTTATTGCTCTGTCACCCAGGCTGAAGTACAGTGGCATGATCTCGGCTCACCTTAACCTCCGCCTTTTGGGTTCAAGCCATCCTCCCACCTCGGCCTCATGAGTAGCTGGGACTATAGGCACATGCCACCACATTTCGCTAATTTTTAAATTTTTTGTAGAGACAAGGTCTCACTATATTGCCCAGGCCAGTCTTGAACTCTTGGACTCAATTGATCCTCTTGCTTCAGCCTCCCAAAGTGCTGGGATTACATGCATGATACACCACGTCTGGTTATAAGGTTTTTAAAAATCCAGCATATGTTCCCACAAACCTTTGATGATGACATCTCACTGCTCCTTGAACTGCTCACAGACCCAGTGACCACTCTACGTTGGTTTTCAGCCTCTTTTTGTGTTGATGTGACATCCACTTTCCCAACAATGGGATGAGAAGGCAAAAATCGAGGAGGCGACTCTTGGAACTTAAATAATTAAAAAAGAAGATTATCAGTTTCATATATAGCCCCTTCCAATGTTCCCCTATCAGCAGGTTCTCTATGTATTTGTCCGTGGTTTGCTCTTAAAACCTTCAAAACATTGCATTTTTTTGGAAAGACTCTGCCAAAAGTCAGTCATCTAAGAAGGTTATGGAGAGGATACGTGTTGAAGTTATTTCTAGAAATGAGATGTCAACATGATTCTGTGGAGAAGCTGAAGAAAGAACTGTTCATCAGTACAATACAGATGGGGCCAAAGGTTTAACCACATTAGCCTATTCCTTTAACTTTCAAAATGATCTGTCCATCTTTGCTGGAGAAGATAAAATCCTTACTCTGCTTCGAACTCACTGATATTTGAAAACTACTATTTAGCATCTTGCCATTGTCACCCTTCTGTATTATGTTCCTTGCATTTCTTACATGCCTTTTTGGCAATTGTTAATTGCTCTAAATAGAAATTGAGTTTCCCAAAGTCCACCTCCCAAACCAAAGCAAAATGACTTACAGCAAAGAGATCTCTGCGGACCTGTCTCTTTTCCCCTCTGTGCTCAGTCTGTTCTCTCCTCTTTTGCCGTCGCTGTCGAGACAGGGAAGGTTCAGACCCAGAGTTGTGTGGCTGTAAATCTGGGTGGATTCTGCCCTGTTTTTCTATAATACATTCACCAGCAACTTGATCCTTAAAAACAATAAAATGACATTTTAAAGTATAGCAGCAACCTGGTACATTGTAATCCAAAGTAAGTTGTCCATAAAAAGTGGCTTTTGTTTTTTAGCATGAAAACTTTCCTCAGTTTTAAAAACTGGTTTCCATATTGCAATTTAGTGTTACATGGAAGTTCTAAAATGACCCATCACAATGTAAAGTTCACAATATGGTTCAAATATAACAATGCAGAATTGAATATAGAGGTATACATAACCTTCCTCTTAGAAAACAAAAGAAGCGGGCCAGGCATGGTGGCTTGTGCCTGTAATCCCAGCACTTTGGGAGGCTGAGGCAGGCAGATCACAAGGTCAGGAGTTCGAGACCAGCCTGGCCAACATCGTGAAACCCCCGTCTCTACAAAAATACAAAAATTAGCTGGGCATGGTGGCACGCACCTGTAATCCCAGCTACTCAGAAGGCTGAGGTAGAAGAATTGCTTGAACCCGGGAGGGGGAGGCTGCAGTAAGCTGAGATCGCACCACTGCACTCCAGCCTGGGCAACAGAGTGAGACTCCATCTCAAAAAAAAAAAAAAAGAAAAGAAAAGAAAAGCAGTTGCAATTTCAAATTTTTGTGCAATGAAATTAAATCATAATGCAACAGTTAAAAAATAATGATTATAAAATGAAGCAAACACACACAAAAACACAAAATAATGAAGTCTTTTGAACATCCAAATGGCCAAACGCTCCATGCCTACTTTTAAAATTGTAAATGAAAATGAGAAGAAGCTGAGTGTGGTAGCCCACACCTGTAATCCCAACACTCTGGGAAGCCAAGTCAGGAAGACCACTGGAGGCCACGAGTTCAAGACCAGTCTGAGCAACAGAGTGAGACCTCCATCTCCATTTAAAAAAAAAAAAAAAGTCAGATGTAGTGATATGCCAGGTAGTCACAGCTACCCAGGAGGCTGAGGTAAGAGGATTGTATGAGTCCAGGAGGTCAAGGCTACCATGAGCTGTGATCATGCCACTGTCCTCTAGCCTGGGTGACACAGCAAGAGTGTCTCAAAAAAAAAAATTATTATTTTATTTAATTTTTTTTGAGACAGAGTCTCGCTCTGTCGCCCAGGCTGGAGTGCAATGGCGCGATCTCGGCTCACTGCAAGCTCCTCCTCCTGGGTTCACGCCATTCTCCTGCCTCAGCCTCCCGAGTAGCTGGGACTACAGGTGGCCGCCACCACGCCCAGCTAATTTTTTTTTTTTTTGTATTTTTAGTAGAGACGGCGTTTCACTGTGTTAGCCAGGATGGTCTCGATCTCCTGACCTCATGATCCGCCCGCCTCGGCCTCCCAAAGTGCTGGAATTACAGGTGTGAGCCACTGTGCCTGGCCAAAATTTTTTAATAAATTAAAAAGAAAATGAGAAGTTGTCTTTCTCAAAATGAATGTTTATTTGCAGTGTTGACAGGCAAAGACAAAATGCCGACATCAGTTATCCAAATGTTCTGATTTTTTTCTCTTCCTCCAAATAAAAATAATTGTTTTAATTCAATCACTTAAATTGTGGTTAATCTGAAACTACTGATGTTTGATTCAATTATTTTTAAAAATCTCCTCATAACTTTTCATAGGTTTTCCATTCTGAAAATGAACCAATGTTTTAAATGAATTCCAATTTAATACAAATTTATTTCCCAAGTAAACATCAGTTATTTGGATGTACCCTAAAAAGCACAATAAAAAGACCATTGAGCTTGGCATTAGATGCAGTCTTATGTGAGAAACTTAATTTCCCTGAGCCCAGTTTCATCATTTAAAAATGGATCTAATACCCACAGCCATATTGTATTACTATTTCAGGATTAGCTGAAAGAATACACTAAAAGTACTTAGGACTATGTCTGATGCATATTAATTAGATGCTCAGCCAGGCACAGGTGGCTCACACCCGTAATCACAGCACTTTGGAGGCCAAGGTGGGAGGATGATTTGAGCCCAGCCAGGAGTTTGAGACCAGCCTAGACAACATAGGGACACCCTGTCCCTACAAAAAATAGAAAAAATTAGCCAGGCGTGCTGGCGTATGCCTGTAGTCCCAGCTACTCGAGAGGGTAAGATTGGAGGATCACTTGAGCCTAGGAGGTGGAGGCTGCAGTGAGCTGAGATCACATCACTGCACTCCAGCCTTAGCAACAGAGCAAGGCCTTGCAGAAGGGGAAGAGGGGAGGGGAGGGGAGGATGGGAGACAATATTTTATTTTCCTTTTTTGTTTTTTTGAGATGGAGTCTTGCTCTGTCACCCAGGCTGGAGTGCACTGGGTCAATCTCAGCTCACTACAACCTCTGCCTCCCAGGTTCAAGCGATTCTCCTGCCTCAGCGTCCTGAGTAGCTGGAATTACAGGCTCGTGCCACCATGCCCAGCTAATTTTTGTATTTTTAGTAGAAACAGGGTTTCACCATGTTGGCCAGGCTGGTCTTGAACTCCTGACCTCAAGGGATCCTCCTGCCTCGGCCTCCCAAAGTGCTGGGATTACAGGCGTGAGCCACCATTCCTGGACGGGAGACAATATTTTCAAATGCTGTATCTAATAAGTAACTGGTATCTAGAATAAAGAATTCAAATAGATTATTTCTCCAAAGGAGAAATACTGGCCAAAGTATATAAAAAGATGCTCAAGGCTGGGCACGGTGGCTCACACCTGTAATCCCAGCACTTTGGGAGGTCGAGGCAGGCTGATCACTTGAGGTCAGAAGTTCGTGACCAGCCTGACCAACATGGTAAAACCCCATCTCTGCTAGAAAAACTGCAAAAATTACCTGGGCGTGGTGGCACACGCCTGTAATCCCAGCTACTCGGGAGGCTGAGGCTGGAGAATCACTTGAACCCAGGAGGCGGAGGTTGCTGTGAGCCAAGATTGTGCCACTGCACTCCAGCTTGGGCGACAGGGCAAGACTCTGTCTCAAAAAAAAAGAAAAAGAAAAACATGTTCAACATCATTGGTCATTAGGGAGATGCAAATCACAACCACTTCATACCTACTAGGATGACTATGTTCAAAACAATGAACAGTAACGAGTGTTAGCATGGATGCAGATAAACTGGAACCCTCATATATTGCTGGCAGAAATAAAATTATATGGTTGTTTTGGAAAACAATTTTGCAGTTTCTCAAAAAGTTTAATACATAGAGTTACCATATGACCCAGGAATTCTACCCCTAGGTACATACTCAACAGAACTGAAAATATATGTCCACACAGAAACTTGTATGCAAGTGTTCATAGCCGCATTATCCACATATAACCTTCCTCTTAGAAAACAAAAGTACCTAAAAAGTAGAAACAACCCAAATGTACATCAACTGATGAATGGATGAATAAAATATATATAGGCTGGGTGTGGTGGCTCACACCTGTAATCCCAGCACTTTGGGAGGCCAAGGCAGGCGATTCACTTGAGGTCAGGAGTTTGAGACCAGTCTGGCCAACATGGTGAAACCCCATCTCTACTAAAAATACTAAAATCAGCTGGGCATGGTGGTATGCACTTGCAATCCCAGGTACTTGGGAGACGGAGGCACGAGAATCATTGAACCCAGGAGGCAGAGGTTATAGTGAGCTGAGATCGTGCCACTGTACTCTAGCCTGGGTGACAGAGTGAGACTCAAACAAACAAAAAATACATATATGTGTGTGTATACACACACATGCACACACACACAGGCACACAAATACAAATACAGTATATTATTTGGCAATAAAAAGGAATGAGGCAGGGTCCAGTGACTCATGCCTATAATCCCAGTACGCTGGGAGGCCAAGTTGGGAGGACTGTCGAGCCCAGGAGTTTGAGACCAGCCTGGGCAACATGGCCATGGCAAGGCCCCATCTCTCTACAAGAAATAGAAATAAAAAAATTAGCAGGGCATGTCTGTGGTCCCAGCTACTCAGGAGGCTGAGGCAGGAGGATCACTTAAGCCCAGGAAGTCAAGGCTGCAGTGAGCTGTGTTTGCACCACTGCACGCTAGCCTGAGCAGCAGAGACCCTGTCTCAAAAAATTAAAAAATGAAATTTTTTTAAAAAAGGAATAAAATGTTGGTACATCCTACATCATAGATAAACCTTGAAAACATCAGGTTAAGTAAAAGAAGGCAGGCCAGGCCCAGTGGCTTATGTCTGTAATCTCAGCACTTTGGGAGGCCAAAGCAGGCTGATCACCTGAGGTCGGGAGTTCGAGACCAGCCTGACCAACATGAAGAAACCCCGTCTGTACTAAAAACACAAAAGTAGCCGGGCATCGGCCGAGTGCGGTGGCTCATGCCTGTAATCCCAGCACTTTGGGAGGCCAAGATGGGCAGATCACGAGGTCAGGAGATCGAGACCATCCTGACTAACACGGTGAAACCTCGTCTCTACTAAAAATACAAAAAAATTAGCCAGGTGTGGTGGTGGGTGCTTGTAGTCCCAGCTACTCGGGAGGCTGACGCAGGAAAATGGTGTGAACCCGGGAGGCGGAGGTTGCAGTGAGCCGAGATCACGCCACTGCACTCCAGCCTGGGCGACAGAGTGGGACTCTGTCTCAAAAAAAAAAAAAAAATTAGCTGGGCGTGGTGGCGCATGCCTGTAATCCCAGCTACTCAGGAGGCTGAGGCATAAGAACTGCTTGAACCCAGGAGGCAGAGGTTGCAGTGAGCCGAGATCGCGCCATTGCAATCCAGCCTGGGAAACAAGAGTGAAACTCTGTCTCAAAAAAAAAAAGAGAAAAAAAGAAGCCAAACACACAAAGCCATAAATTGTATGATTCCATTTATATGAAATCCTCAGAATAGGCAAATCCATAGAGACAAATGTTGCCACGAGTTGTGGGCAAGAGGGAATGGTGAGTGACTGTTATAGGGTACTGGGTTTCTTTTTGGTTTGATGCAAATATTCTTCTATGTTTAAACTGATACATAGAATTACTGATTTTCCTAAAATGACAACAGAACCCACATATTTGTAACTGCACTTTCAGTCTTCTCTCCAAAACCAGTATCTCATGTGTGCATATCACTCACCTGGTCCTTTGGCTTTTGTTCTTTGATTAGGGGCTGCAGAGGCTTCACTGGTTCATTCTTTTCCCCAGTGACAATGTCAGAGGACCACATGGGAATCAGGTTTTCAGGCTGGGCACTGGATTTAGTGTTGTCCTGCAGCATCTCCTCTTCCACTTGAGAAATACTGCATATACCTCCTAACTCATTAGAGGCATCCAAATATCTTGGCTGATTCTCCTGAACAAAGCCATCACTCACTGAATCCCTCCCTTTTGCAGGTAAGATGTCAATATTTACGCTACTGATTGTGGCTAGTTCTGTGGTATTGCTCAAGTCCTGTTTGCAGGTATGGGCTTTCAGACTGGCAGGTGACTTCAAGAGACCAGAGGCCCTGGGTTTCTCCTGGGACAAACATTTGCCTTCACCCTGAATGAAAAGATGTTTGGAAATTATTATAGCACTCCTCATATCTTATACAAAATCAACTCAAAATGCAACAAGAGGTTCCTCAAAAAGTTAAACATAGAATTAACATATGACTCAGCAATTCCACTCCTAAGTATGTAATCCAAGGAACTGAAAGCAGGGATTTAAGTTAAGTATTTGTACACCAATGTTTACAGCAGCTTTATTTAAAATAGTCAAAAGGCGGAAACAACCCAAAAGTCCATCAGCAGATGAAGGGATAAACAAAATGTGGTAAATACTGCCAGGCACGGTGGCTCACACCTGTAATCCCAGCAGTTTGGGAGGCCAAAGCAAGTGAACCACTTGAGGCCAGGAGCTTGAGACCAGCCTGGGCAACATGGTGAAATCCCATCTCTACTAAAAATACAAAAATTAGCCAGGTGTGGTGGTGCATGTCTGTAGTCCCAGTTACCTGGGAGGCTGATGCGGGAGGATTGCTTGAGCCTAGGAGGCGGAGGTTGTAGTGAGCCGAGAGCCCGCCACTGCACTCCAGCCTGGGCAACAGGAGTGAAACCCTGCCTCAAAAAAAAAAAAAAAAAATATATATATATATATACACACACACACACACACACAATGGAATATTTCTAATCTATAAAAAGGAATGAAGTTCTGATACATGCTAAAACACGAATGAACCCTGAAAACATGCTAAGTAAAATAAGCCAGGCCAAGTGTGGTGGCTCACACCTATCATCCCAGCACTTGAGCTCAGGAGTTTGAGACCAGCCTAGGCAACATGGCGAAACCCCATTTCTATAAAAAATACCAAAAAATTAGCTGGGCATGGTGGCAAGTGCCTGTAGTCCCAGCTACTTGGAAGCCTGAGTGGGAGGATTGCTTGAGCCGGGAGGTCAAGGCTGCAGTGAGCCGTGATCACACCACTGCACTCCAGCCTGGTTGACACAGTTGAGATCCTGTCTCAGAAAAGAAAAGAAGTAAGCCAGGACAGGGCAGGGAGCAAGCAGGGGCAGGACTGGCACTGTGGCCAGAGATGCCGCTGGGCCACAAAGGTGATAGGCAGCTGGGAACTCTACATTGAAGGCACAGAGGTGAGGCACAATGCCCGGAAGGCTGGTAAATTGAATGCTGAGGACGGAAGAGTCTGATGACATACTACTGAATTTCTTTGTTTGGAGTACACATTATGTACTCTTTCTGGAGCATGTCTACAAGCTCTACATGGAAACGATCTGAAGCTGAAAACATTGGCAGGGGATGCAAAAACCAGTCTTTGATGAACTATGCCAAAGAAACAGCTGCCTTCTATTCCCAAAAATGCTTTGCCCATAACTAAGCCTACGGAGCCTGTCCCAGCAGCACAGTCAACAAATGGCATGCATGCTTCCTACAGACTCGTCCACCTGAAATACTCTCTTCTTGCTGAATTTACCTTGGTTGCGGAGCAGACGTTATTAGGTGTCTATGTGCAGCCATCTTATCCCTCTGTATTAAAGTGGTTTGGACTAATATTCATAGGGCACAGACTTTATCAAGATGGCATATTTAGGCCAGGCGCGGTGGCTCACACCTATAATCCCAGCACTTTGAGAGTCCGAGGCGGTGGAGCACTCAGGAGTTCGAGACCAGCCTGGCTAACATGGTGAAACCCCGTCTCTAACCAAAAATATAACAATTTGCTGGTGTGGTGCCACATGCCTGTAATCCCAGCTACTTAGGAGGCTGAGGCAGGAGATCACTTGAACCCAGGAGGCAGAGGTTGCGGTGAGCCAAGATCGCACCACTGCACTCTAGCCTGGGAAACAGAGCGAGACTCCGTCTCAAAAACAAAAGATGGTGTATTTAAGTTTGCAGTTTACATCCATCCCTAATTACTATCCAGATGGTGACTATCCATGCTTGATATTTGGTATTCCCATCTTTCACCTACTAGGTGATGCCACCTCAGATGAACTGGATGTGAAGAGCATTTGGAAAATGGAGGTGGAATCATAACCAAATTTGGCAAGTACTAACAATATGCAGGGAGAGTTTTCTACAAGATTGATACAAAAAGCCCCCTAAACCCAGAGGCTGCAATACTGTATGAGAAAGATGTTCAGCTTTTTAAGAGTAAAGTGGTTGACAGTGTTAAGGTATGTATTACTCGTCTGTCTGACCAATTTAAAATAGAAGACTCATGCAATTAGCTTTTCTCCATGGAATCCTTCTGTACATGATGAAGCCAGAGAAAAGATGCTGACTCAGAAAAGCCTGAAGAACAGCACAATAAGTGTACGTGTCGCCGGCCTGTCATAGGTAAAGCCTGGCTCAGTACAATCTTTCAGTAAAGAAGAGAAAACAGTAGCAACTTAAGAGATGGTGAATCTGGTACACCATGCACTTTCCTGCTGGACTCTGGACTAGTTCAAGCTGACCAATGGCAATGGACAGCTTGAAAAACAAAACTGTGGGCCGGGCACCGTGGCTCATGCCTGTAATCCTAGAACTTTGGGAGGCCAAGATGGGCGGATCACGAGGTCAGGAGATCCAGAACATCCTGGCTAACATGGTGAAACCCCGTCTCTACTAAAAATGCAAAAAAATTAGCCGGGCGCGGTGGCAGGCGCCTGTAGTCCCAGCTACTCGGGAGGCTGAGGCAGGAGAATGGCGTGAACCCGGGAGGCAGAGCTTGCAGTGAGCCAAGGTCGCACCACTGGACTCCAGCCTGGGCGACAGAGCAAGACTCCGTCTCAAAAAAAAAAAAAAGAAAAAAGAAAAACAAAACTTCTTAACAATGAAAAAAAAAAAAAGAAAGAAAGAAGCCAGAAACAGAAAGACAAATATTGTATGATTCCACTTACATAAAATATCTAGAACAGGCAAATCGGCAAATCCATAGACAAAAAGTAGATGAGAGCTTACCAGGGCCTGACGATACGGGGAATAGAAAATTATTGCTCAATGGGTACCAAGTTTCTGTTTGAAATGATGAAAAGGTTTTGGAAGATAGTGGTGATGGCTGCATGATACTGTGAATCTAATTAAGGACAATGAATTATATGCTTCATATGTACTATTAGACCACATTAACAGAATGAAGGAAAAAAAACACATGATCATCAACACCCTTATGTGATGATTTTCAGGGCTGTGAAAAAAAAACACCTTTTCATGATTAAAAAAAAATTCAACAAACTACGAATAGAAAAAAAAATTCATAACATAATAAAAGTCATATATGAAACACCCACAGTAAACATCACATTTAATGGTGAAAGACTGAAAGCTTTTCCTCTAAGATCAGGAACAAGGCAAGAATGCCTGTTTTCACCTCTTCTAGTCAATATAGTACTAGAAGTTCTAGCCAGAGCAATTAGGCAAGGAAAAAAAAAATAAAAGGCATCAAAATTAGAAAAGAAGAAGTAAAATTATCTCCTTTTGCAGATATGATCTTGTGTCTAGGAAACCCTAAAGATTCCACATACAGAAACTGTTGGAACTAATAAACGAACTGAGCAAGGTAGCAAGAGGCAAAGTCAACATACAAAAATCAGTTGCATTTCTATACACTAACAATAAACAATCTGAGAAGCAAATTACAAGAACAATTCAATTTACAATAGTATCAAAAATAATAAAATAATTAGGAATTAACCAAAAGGCGAAAGAAGGACTTACATAGTGAAATCTACAAAATGGTGCTGAAAGAAATTTAAAGAAGACATAAATAAATGGAAACACATCCCATGTTCATGGATTGAAAGACTTAACATTGTTCTTTCTTTTTTTCTCTTTTTACATTTGGGCATCTCCTTGAGAAAAGCTTAATATTGTCAATATATTAATATTACCCAGAGCAATCTACAGATTCAATCTAATCCCTATCAAAATCCCAATGACATTCTTTGGAAAAATAGAAAAATCCATCCTAAAATTCAGTGGAATCTCAAGGGATCCCAAATAGCCAAAACAATCTTGAAAAAGAAGAATAGAGATGGAGGACTCATGCCTCATGATTTTAAAACATACCACAAAACCACATTATCAAAACAGTGTAGTATTAGTATAAAAACAGACATTAGACATAGAAACCAATGGAACAGAATGGGGAACCCAGAAATAAACTTTCACATATGTGGTCGAATGATTTTTGACAAAGATGCCAAGATCATTTAATGAGGAAAGGACAGTTTTTTCAACAAATAGTGCTGAAAAAGCTAGATATCCATATACAGAATAATGAAGTCAGACCTTTACCTAACACCATATATAAAAATTAACTCAAAATGAACAAAAAACCTAAATGTAAGACCTAAAACTATAAAACTCTCAGAAGAAGACATAAGGCAAAGGCTTCACAACATTGGATTTGCCAACGATTTTCTGGATAGGACACCAAAGGCACAGGCAACACAAGAAAAAGACACACTGGATTTCACAAAAATTAAAAATTTTGTGCATCAAAAGATACTATCAACAGAGTAAAAAGGTAACCCACAAAATGAGAGAAAATATTTGCAAATCATATATGTGATAAGGAATTGACATCCTGAATATATGGAGAACTCCTAAAATCCAACAGCAAAAAATGAACGACCCAACTCAAAAATGGGCAAAGGATTTGAATAGACGCTCCTCCCAAAAAGATAGCAAACGGCCAATAAGCACACAAAAAATGCTCAATATAACTAATCACTAAGGAAATGCAAATCAAAACTACAATGAGATACCACCTCATGCCCATTAGGATGGCTATTACTAAAAAATCCCAGAAAATAACAAGTACTGGTGAGAATGTAGAGAAATTGGAACCTTTGTGTACTGCTGATAGGAATGTAAAATGATACAGAAGTTGTGGAAAACAGTACCACAGGTCCTCAAAAAGTTAGAATTACCATGTAGTCAGCAGTTCCACTTCTGGTTATATACCCAACAAAAGAGAAATCAGGGTCTTAGCTGGGAGCAGAGGCTCACGCCTGTAATTCTAGCACTTTGGGAGGCCAAGGCGGGTGGATTACCTGAGGTCAGGAGTTTGAGACCAGCCTGGCCAACATGGTGAAATCCCATCTCTACTAAAAATACAAAAATTAGCTGGGCATGATGGCACATGCCTGTAATCCCAGCTACTTGGGAGGCTGAGGCAGGAGAATCGCTTGAACCTGGGAGGTGGAGGTTACAGTGAGCCACGATTGTGCCACTGCGCTCCAACCTGGGTAACAGTGAGACTCCGTCTCAAAAAAAAAAAAAAAAAGAAAAAAGAAATCAGGGTCTCAAAGAGATAAGTGTACATTCATGTTCATAGCAGCGTTATTCACACTAGCAAAAAAGGTGGAAACAACACAAATGTACATCTGCAGATGAACCAGATAAACAAAACGTGGGATATACATGCAACAGAATACTATTCAGCATTAAAAAGGAAGGTAATTCTGACATATGTCACAACATGGATGAACCTTGAGGATATTATGTGAAACGAAATAAGGCAGTCATGAAAGACAAATAATGCAAGATCTCCTTATCTGAGGTACTTACACTAGTCAAAACCATGGAGACAGAAAGTAGAATGGTGGGCCAGGCACAGTGGCTCACACCTGTAATCTCAGCATTTTGGGAGGCCAAGGTGGGTGGATTGCCTGAGGTCAGGAGTTCAAGACCAGTCTGGCCAACGTGGTGAAACCCTGTCTCTACTAAAAATACAAAAAAAATTAGCCAGATGTTGTGGCGTGTACCTGTAATCCCAGCTATTCAGGGGGCTGAGGCAGGGGAATTGCTTGAACCAGGGAGGTGGAGGTTGCAGTGAGCCGAGATCATGCCACTGCACTCCAGCCTGGGTGACACAGCAAGACACCATCTCAAAAAAAAAAAAAAAAAAAAAAAAAGAAAGAAAGTAGAATGGTAGAACAGTGGTTGCCAGGGACTGGGGTAGTAGGGAATGGGGAGATACTGTTTAATGGTAACAGAGTTCAGTTTTACAATATGAGAGTTATGAAGATGAGGGGTGATGGCTGCATAACATTATAGATGTATTTAACACCACTAAATTGTACACTTACAAATGGTTAAAATAGTAAATTTTACATTATGTGTACTTTATCATAATGAAAAAATTAAAACTAAAAATTCGATCGACAACCTAAATATAAGAGCTAAAACTATAAAACTGTTAGAAGAAACTATGGCATAAACCTTCAAGACGTTGGATTTGGCAAGGGATTCTTAGCTATGACAACAAAATAAAAAAATAGATAAACTGGACTTCATCAAAATTAGAAGCTTTTGTGAAAAGGACATTATCAAGAAAGTGAAAAAACAAAAGAAATTTTTAAAAACAAAAAAAAAAATTTTAACTAAAAAAGGAAAGAAAAGACAACCTATACAATGGAGAAAATACTTGCAAGTTGTCTATCTGACAAGGGACTAGTATCTGGAACACAGATCGAGAACTCCTACAACTCAACAACAAAAAGACAAAAACACAATTTAAAACTGGGCAGGGGCTGGGTGATGTGGCTCATACCTGTAATATCAGCACTTTGGGAGGAAAACGCAGAAGAACTGTTCAAGACCAGCCTGAGCAACATAGTGAGACCCACCTCTACAAAAATAATCATAATAATTAGCCAGGTATGGTGGCGTGCACCTGTAGACACAGCTAATCGGAAGGCTGAGGTAGGAGGATCCCTTGAGTCAAGGAGTTCAGAGGCTGTAGTGAGCTATGATGATGCCACTATACTCCAGCCTACGTAACAGAGCAAGATCCTCTCTTAAAAAAAGAAAAAAGAAAAAAAAAAAAAAAGCCTGGGCACAGTGGCTCATGCCTGTAATTCCAGCACTTTGTTTGGGAAGCCAAGGTGGGAGGACCTCCTGAGCCCAGGAGTTTGAGACCAGCCTGGGCAACATAGTAAGACATTGTCTCTACAAATAAAAAAATTAGCCAGGCATGGTGGCATGCTGTGGTCCCAGCTACTCAGGAGGCTGAGGTGGGAGGATCACTTGATCCAGAGAGGTGGAGGCTAGATTGAGCCGTGATCGCAGCACTGCACTCCAGCCTAGGCAACAGAGCAAGACCCTGTATCAAAAAAAAAAAAGCAAAAGCTTTAGCAGATATTTCTCCAAAGAAGACATACAAATGGCCAACAAGCATGTGAAAAGATGCTGTATGTCATTAATCGTTAGGGAAATACAAATCAAAAATACAATAGGATACCACTTTACACCCACTAGGATGGCTAGAATCAAAAAATCAGAAAATAATTAGTGCCGGCAAAGATGTGGAGAAACTGGAACTCTTGTGCACTGCTGATGGGAATGTCAAATGGTGCAGCCACTGTAGAAAACAGTGCAACAGTTCCTCAAAAAGTCAAACCAAAAAAAAAGTCAAACCAAAAATTACCATTTGACTCAGCAATTCCACTGCTAGGTATGTACCCAAAAGAACGGAAAACAGGTACTCAACTACTTGCACACTTATGTTCATAGCAATAGCCAAAAGGTGAAAAAAACCCAGATGTCTACTAATGGATGAATGGATAAACAGTGGTATATCCACATAATGGTAGCCAGACCTAAAAAGAAATGAAGTATTCATACATGCTACATGGATGAACCTTGAAAATATGCTATGTGGAAGACACCAGAAACAAAAGGATATATTTAATGATTCTATTTACATGAAATATCCAGGACAGGTAACTTCATAGAGACAGGAAACACACTGGTGGTTGCCAGAGGCTGGGTGAAGGACAAAATGGGAGTGACTGCTTAATGAGGAAGAGATTTCCTTTGGGGTGATGAAAATGTTTTGGAACTACATAGAAGTGACGGTTGCACTACACTGTGAATGTACTGGCCACATTTAATTGATCACTTTATTTATTTATTTTATTTTATTTATTTTTATTTTTATTTTTGAGACAGTGTCTCATTCTGTCACCCAGGCTGGAGTGCAGTAGTGCAGTCTTGGCTCACTGCAACCTCCACCTCCCAGGTTCAAGCGATTCTCCTCCCTCAGCCTCCTGAGTAGCTATGACTACAGGTACATGCCACCACAGCCAGCTAATTTTTGTATTTTTAGTAGAGATGAGGGTTCACCATGTTGGCCAGGCTGGTCTTGAACTCCTGACCTCAGGTGATCTGCCAGCCTCGGCCTCCCAGAGTGCTGGGATTGCAGGCATGAGCCACCGCGCTCAGCCTTAACTGTTTACTTTAAAATGGTTAATTTTGTTATATAAATTTCACCTAAAAAATTCTTAAAGTTATTACAGCACTGACTTTGTGAACAATTTGACAGCCCAATTTGGATAAAGCTAAATCAATCACCTTAACCAGTATTCTTTCTTTACAGTAAGGAATTAATTGTACAACAGAATCTCTAGTAAAGCATAATCATTTCACACAAAATAATTTGCTTAGATGGCCCATTTTTCTAAGTGCAGTTTCTAAAACACATACCCTTTAAAAAGAAACGTACCATTATATATGTCTGGGAGCCCTCAGAAGAGAGTGGTTGGGGGTGGATTACTTCATGATTTGATTCTGCCTCTCCAGAAACCACTGTAGCAAAAGGCTTGGATTGAGAGTCACCATTTTTAATGTTATTTTTGGAGGTTTTTCTTTATAAAGAAGAAAAGAAAGAGTTATTATCAATATACTGAAGATTAAGGGTTTTTAGGTATATGTGGGAGTGTGTGTATACAATGAATTCCCTTACAGAACTGCACCATTTATAGAGAATAGTTTTCTAAAAATCTAAGGGGCATCCTACAAAACACCTCACCAGTAGTCTTTGAAACAATCAAGGTCATAAAAAATAAACAAAGTGAGAAACAATCACAGACCCCTGATTAGATGTACTATATCCTGGATTGGATCCTGGAACAGAAAAGAGACATTAGAGAAAAAAACTGGTGAAAGCCAAAGAAAGTCTGGAATTTAGTCAATAGTAATATTTTTCTTTCTTTTTTTAAAAAATTGAGACAGAGTTTCACTCTGTCATCCAGGCTAGAGTGTAGTGGCGTGATCTCAGCTCACTGCAACCTCCGCTGCCCAGGTTCAAGTGATTCTTGTGCCTCAGCCTCCCGAGTAGCTGGGACTACAGGTGCACGCCACCACGCCCGGCTAATTTTTTTGTATTTTTTTTTTAGTAGAGACGGGGTTTTGCCATGTTGGCCAGGCTGGTCTTAAACTCCTGACCTCAGGTGATCTGCCAGCCTCGGCCTCCCAAAGTGCTGGGATTACAGGCGTGAGCCACCATGCATGGCCAAGTCAATAGTAATATTTCGATGTTGGTTTCTTAGTTTTGACAAATGCATTAGGGTATGTAATCTGGTAATCACAGAAGAAACTAGATGAGGGGTATACAGGAACTCTCCACTCTATCTTTCCAACTTTTCTGTTTATACAAAATTATTCCAAAATAAAAATTCTATGGGAGATTGCCTCACATACGGGAGTATCAGGTTAATTTTCATTTTCAAATTTTACATGTCTGTAATAATACCACAACTGCTTGGCTAACTTTGAGAGTAAAACTGATTGGTACACTTAGTCCTGCTTATAGAATAAATGCATACAGGAATAACATCCCCAACTATTTTAGTATGTCATTTCTAAAACTGGGCTAAACCTCTGGAGAATTCAAGAGGAGCATGGAGATCAGTACACTGGAAGGCCAAAGGTCTGCTTGGTGGGAAATTATGTACACAAAAAGATGGTTCTTCTTTATTCCCTGAGGCATCTCTAGCACTGCCTCCTCTCTTTCCAAATTTAACATGCCACAAGGCAAGAGGAGAAGCCAAACAGATTGTAATAGTTTTGTCCAGCCCTAAGTCTTAGATCCTGGAACACCTGTTTAGTAAAGGTAGGATCTGCAAGCCAAAGCAAGGAATTCTCTTGGGAAGTTAATGTGAATGAAGAGGGAACTTTATGCAAGCTCTCAGAAATGTGAGCACTACTTTTTAAATATTACTATCTTACACAGTAAGATGTATAGGTTTCTCAGATAATCTCTAATTATATGATTTCTAAAACATATGCCCTCTTTTTTTTTATTATTATTTGGCTGCTCCTTGAGAACAGGACTAACTCATAGGCAGTGAGCCCAGAGTAGTGCATATGTCCTTTAAAAAAAAATTTACACTATATGTCTTAGAACCCTCTGAGGAATGTGACAGTGGTTCTCCAAATTTCTGATTTTAGCAATTAAGCAAATTTCAACATGTATTTGAAGACTGGGAGAATATGCCACGCCAAAATATGCTACTTTGGCATAAAGATTATTTTGGGCTAAGGTTCTTTAAAAAGTAAGTGCAAGCTTTGGGAGGCCGAGGTGGGCGGACCACGAGGTCGGGAGTTCAAGACCAGCCTGGCCAACATGGGGAAACCCTGTCTCTACTAAAACTACAAAAATTAGCCGGGCACGGTGGCGGGTGCCTGTAATCCCAGCTACTGGGGAGGCTGAGGCAGGAGAATTGCTTGAACCCGGGAGGCGGAGGTTGCAGTGAGCTGAGATCATGCCACTGCACTCCAGCCTGGGTGACACAGCAAGACTCCATCTCAAAAAAAAACAAACAAAAAAAAGTAAGTGCAAGAAGGGCACTCTGATCTTCCCTTTTTCTTCCAGAAAGCAGAAGATAAAACTCCCATATGAAATACGTCCTCCCTGTACCAGAAGGAAAGTAACATTCTTATTATCAAGAATGGAAAGCTGAAACTGAGAGAATTCTATAAACAGACCTTATTAAAATAATTCTTATCTTCCTTTAGCCTCTCCACCTAGTTTACTTTTCCACAATTGCCTCTCTTTGTTCAATCAAGCAAAAAGCATTTAGGTTTTGCCACTTCTTTGTATTTTTAGTAGAAGTTAGGTCTTCATTTCCTTATGAGGGCTCCTGTGTCACATAAAACTTATTCAGGTATTAAAGAAATCTACATGCTTTTCTCCTGTTAAATTATAAGTTTAATTCTCAAGCTCAGCCAAGAAACCCTAAGAGGGTAGAATTTTGCCTCCTCTACATATGTAATCATGCCATTTTATTTCTTGTTTTTAAGAAAACTCACCATTAATTCTTGCATATGAATATTACAGAAGCCACCCTCTTTCACCCCATCTATTTAGCCCAGCTATTTGCAAGGGAAGTATCTTACATCTTTGTGGCCTCCAAAAAGAAGGAGATTTGCCGCTTTATATAAGGCTGCCTCAGGATGCTCCTCACAGACGGCCTTTCTTCAGGCCTTTTGCTCAGCATTGTTCTTATCAGTTCTGCCAGCTCTGGGCTGTAATCTCTTGGCATTGGTGGCAGCTACAAATAAAAATAATATTGTAATTATGACTAATGGTCTTGTGAAACAAAGTAAAAGCTGGTAGAGGTTTCCCAATATTTATTTATAGTCATATGTCCACATAAGCAGAAAACAATCAGTATATTAGTCTACAGGAAGTGTACTGGTATCCCAGTTGTAAGATAACAAGTTGTAAAATTATAAAAGTATATCCTCCAACCCAGCAGTCCCATCTGATGACACTCTCATTCAGAAATAAGAGTATGAGTTTCCTAAAGACTTATGTATCGGGATGTTCAATGCAGTACTGTTCTTGCAGTAGTAAACAATTGGAAACATAAATGTCCCTTAGGGGATTTGTGGAATAAATTATCATGCATTCTTCTTATAAAAACTAGGGCCAGTCGCAGTGGCTTACGCCTGTAATCCCAGCACTTTGGGAGGCCGAGGCAGGTGGATTGCCTGAGGTCAGGAGTTTGAGACCAGTCTGGCCAACATGGTGAAACCCCGTCTCTACTAAAAATACAAAAAAATTAGCTGGGCGTGGTGGCATGCACCTGTAATCCCAGTTACTCAGGAGGCTGAGGCAGGGGAATTGCTTGAACCAGAGAGGTGGAGGTTGCGGTGAGCCGAGATCACGCCACAGCACTCCAGCCTGGCAACAGAGCGAGACTCTGTCTCAAAAAAAAAAAAAAAGAAAGAAAAGAAACGAAACTAGGCAGCAGGTTAAAAAATACAAGACTTGGGCCGGGTGCAGTGGCTCACACCTGTAATCTCAGCACCTTGGGAGGCCGAGGCGGGTGGATCATGAGGTCAGGAGATGGAGACCATCCTGGCTAACACAGTGAAACCCCATCTCTACTAAAAATACAAAAAAGTGGACGGGCGTGGTGGCGGGCACCTGTAGTCCCAGCTACTTGGGAGGCCGAGGCAGGAGAATGGCGTGAACCCGAGAGGCAGAGGTTGCAGTGAGCTGAGATTGCACCACTGCACTCCAGTCTGGGCAACAGAGTGAGACTCTGTCTCAAAAAAAAAAAAACTTGCAGGTACCGACTTGGAAGGATGTGTTCCTCATATATTAAGTCAAAAAAACAAGTTATGTACCATGTGAACAGCCTGATTTCAGTTTAAGAATCTGTGGGTGTGCGCGTGCGCATGCACACACACACACATGCACACACACACACACACACACACACACAGAGTTATGTCTGTATAAAGACAGGAAAAAACCAGAAAGGCCATGTACCAATTTGCTAGCAATGGTCATCTTCCAGGGAATGGGAATAGAAAGAGAAGAGAATTTCACTCCCTTCTTGTTTGATTCTTAAGTAGTGGCATTATGGGAAAATTTTACTTTTGTGTGTGTTTTTCAATATGCTTCAAATTGAAAAATTAAATAAGTTGTGGGATAGTATTAAAATCAATAGATGATTTATGGCCTTTAAAACTTAACAGTACATTGGCCAGGTGCAGTGGCTCACACCTGTAATCCCAGCATTTTGGGAGGCTGAGGCGGGCGGATCACCTGAGGTAAGGAGTTCGAGACCATCCTGGCCAACATGGTGAAACCCCGTCTGTACTAAAAATACAAAAATTAGCTGGGCCTGGCAGCATGTGCCTGTAATCCCAGCTACTTGGTAAGCTAAGGCACAAGAATCACTTGAACCTAGGAGGTAGAGGTTGCTGTGAGCTGAGATCATGCCATTGCACTCCAGCCTGGGAGACAAGAGCAAAACTCCATCTCAAAAAAAAAAAAACAAAAAAAAAAACCTTAATGATACATGGATGCCTGAATCTATAAAGGGCAACTAGCCTCATGGAACATACAAAGCCAGTCACTCTGGAGTCTATATCAGACACAATGCTTTCTGTGATTCTTAACTAGTTACTGATTGTTGTGATGATTATCAAAGGAACGACAAGTTCAAACAGAGTAAACTCATTTTAAATGTAGCTCATTGAATCATAGGCTGCTTAGAAGAAGAGACAAATAGCCTCTCAGGGCATCGGCACATCCTATGACTATAGGCATAGGTTTTCAAAAAGCCAATTCTTTTGAGCCATTAAGCTGGCTTACAGATTAATATTAAGAAATGATCCATCAATCCCTTTTCCTCTAGTCTGACCTTCCCCACAGAAGGGACCCACCATTGTTAACTATCAACCCAATCTCAATAATTACTCATTGACTCATCAAAATCATCAATGATTTTGCTAGTAGCTATTTATAAAGCTGCACTATAGAAATACTGGTCAATTAGTTCTAGATTATTCTTTACCTTTCCTTCAATAATCCGATAAACTAAAGAATTCATATCTTTTGCATTGAAAGCATGCTTCAAGGTGGCCATTTCATAGACACAGCATCCTAGAGCCCAAACATCAGACTAGAAAATAAAAACAGTAAACGGTTAAATGTCAGAATAGCTTATTTACATTTTTTTCCCTTTAAAAAAAGAAAACATTTTCCTTAAACCAATTCATAGATAATTCTCTGACTTAATTAACTTCTGAAATTACAAGCACTCTCCCAGAGACAAGGTAAGCCAGCATACAGAGCCCAATCCTACCTTATAGTTGTAGGGTTTGTTTGAGAACAATTCAGGGCTCATGTAGTAGGGTGTGCCAATGAGGGTGCTAGCCATGTCACAGTGGTTCTCTAACACTCGGGCAATTCCTAGGTCCCCTACTTTGATGATGTTTGTTCTTGTTAGGAAGACATTTTGAGTTTTCAGATCTCGATGAAGGATGTGTTTTTCATGTAAATACTGAGGAAAGAAACAAGATTTTATTACATATAAATAGACTTAATTATGTATTTATTCCTGGCTTATTATATACCATCAGCAATGGCATGAGTTAGAGTCTTTGACCGTAAAGAGTAACCAACCATACAATTCCTTATTCAACAAGCAAATACCTACCAAACATTATTGCTTTATAATCTCTAAATAAAAGGTCTAATTTACAATTTTTGAAATGAGAAAATTAAGTTCCATGTGTTGACTTACCCAGTACCCATCAAAACTGTTCCCTGGTAGCTTGACAATTATACCATTTTGGCATTACATGAATCCAGTTTAAAAATATGTTTACAAGCCGGGCGCAGTGGCTCACGCCTGTAATCCCAGCACTTTGGGAGGCCGAGGCGGGTGGATCATGAGGTCAGGAGATCGAGACCATCCTGGCTAACAAGGTGAAACCCCGTCTCTACTAAAAATACAAAAAATTAGCCGGGCGCAGTGGCGGGCGCCTGTAGTCCCAGCTACTCGGGACGCTGAGGCAGGAGAATGGCGTGAACCCGGGAAGCGGAGCTTGCAGTGAGCCAAGATTGCGCCACTGCAGTCCGTAGTCCGGCCTGGGCGACAGAGCGAGACTCCGTCTCAAAAAAAAAAAAAATATGTTTACAGGCCAGGCGCAGTGTTCAGCAGTTTGGGAGGCCGAGGTGAGCGGATCACTTGAGGCCAGGAGTTCAAGACCAGCCTGGGCAACATGGCAAAACCCCATCTCTACTAAAAAAATACAAAAATTAGCTGGGCATGGTGACGCACGCCTATAATCCCAGCTACTTGGGAGGCTGAGGCACAAGAATCACTTGAACCCAGGAGGTGGAGGTTGGAATGAGCCACGATTGTGCCACTGCACTCGAATCTGGGCGACAGTGACACTCTGTCTTAAAAAAAAAACAATGCTTACAAACTCCACTGATGGTAGGACAACTTATACAAAGTCAGACGCACAGTCCTCTCAGACCCATGAAATCCTCAGCTTAATAATATTTTCAAGTACAGCAAGAGCATTTTTATTTAGAGAAAGTATCTCAGCCGGGCGTGGTGGCTCACGCCTATAATCCCAGCACTTTGGGAGGCCGAGGCAGGTGGATCACCTGAGGTCAAGAGTTCGAGACCAGCCTGGCCAACATGGTAAAACCCCATCTCTACTAAAAATACAAAAAAAAAAATTAGCCAGGTATGGTGGCAGGCGCCTGTAATCCCAGCTACTTGGGAGGCTGAGGCAGGAGAATCGCTTGAACCTGGGAGGTGGAGGTTGCAGTGAGCCGAGATCGTGCCATTGCACTCCAGCCTAGATAACAAAAACAAAACTCCGTCTCAAAAGAAAAAAAAAAAAAGAGAGAAAGTATCTCAGAATTTAAACATGGTCAATTAATTCTGGACAAGTCTACCCAGTTCCAAAATAGTATTTCATAAACGTCTCGCTTTTGAGTTATATGCATATTAAAACACAAACTTGTAGGAACACTTATTCCATCTTAAGGAATGATGTGCTGCCCAATTCTAAAAAATAAAAAAAAGAAAACTTGTTTTGCATTCCCATCTACTGTACCCCAGCAGACTGACAGATGAAATCACTGGGCATATCAATTAGCCTAGCCACCTTTCAGCATGACACGACTGACCAATGGATAACAAACATAGTCACTCTATGCTCTTGGTTGCCTCAGGGTCCTTAAAATTGACTTTGCTATAAATGGTAATTGAGTGGGCTTCCCCTGCAATCAGACATGAAATCTATGTCTATTTTAATATAGGTATCACTTACTTAGAAAAGTTCCAATGCTACAGAAAGAGTGACTGGGTCAACTTCACAAATGAATTTTCCAAAAAATACATTTCTATATGTAAGTATCTGAAGAAAAATTTTCCTAAAATACACCTGCCATCTTCTTGCCATCTGGGAACAAGCTAGGATGCTATTAGTCTACACAGTACCTGCAAAGCCATGGCGATCTGTACAAACCACTCTACCACCTGATTCTCAGGCAGAAGCTGCCCTTTCTGCTCCTTGAGCTTTCGGTACAAATCACCTCCTTCACAGAAGCCCATGACAATGTAGAGCAGACCATCTCCTCCTTCCCATGACTCCTTGTAGGTGACAATGTTGGGATGCTTCAACTGAGACAAGAGCTGGGCTTCCTGTTCAGCAGCTCGCCGCTCTCGGCTAGAGGCATTTCGGAGGTTCAGTTTTTTGATGACATACTAAAAACAAACCATGTATTTTTACAATGTGCAAATAAACGTAAGATTTGTGGCCTCAGAGTTATCTAAGGGCTCTCAAGAATACCCTCAAAACCAACCTTGTGGAGCCTGTCAGATAACCTATTCATTTTGTTTTTCACCAAGCACAAAATCGGGGAAAATATTTGCTATTATTGATACTTCTTATAAGTTAGATTTATAGCAGTGTAGGGCCACAAAAATTACCTTTCCCATCTGCATTTCACAATTTCATTAATGACTAAAAAAAGTGAGTTCAAGATAACATACCATTGGATCAATTATAAAACCTGTGTTAGCAATTCCTTAATATCTGGCCATACACAGTGGCTCACACCTGTAATCCCAGCACTTTGGGAGGGTGAGGCGGGTGGATCACCTGAGGTCAGGAGTTCAAGACCAGCCTGGTCAACATGGTGAAACCTGTCTCTACTAAAAATACAAAAATTAGCCCGGCGTGGTGGTGTGTACCCATAGTCCCAGCAACTCGGGAGGCTGACACAGGAGAATTGCTTGAACCTGGGAGGCAGTAGTTGCAGCAGTGAGCCAACATCGCACCACTGCACTCCAGCCTGGGAGGCAGAGCAAGACTCTGTCTCAAAAAAAATAAAAAATAAAAAAAGAAATTCCTTAATATCTAAGCTCTCCCAAAAAGGTGAATAAAATATAGCTTGACTATACATTTGCAGACAGAATAGTCTGTGGATTACGTTAGATACTCAAAGGGATCCATGGCCCCATAAGTTTAATAGTCACTGATCTTCAGCATACAAAATTATTCACACTTAAAAGAAATCAATAGCCTCTAATACCTAATACATTGCCCTCAATCATTTCAAAGACCATACAATTCATTTCTTCAACACATAGATAAATGTGTTTTGTGAAGTGTAAACTAAAGCTCAAATAACTAGCTATTGCTAGTTCCCTATCATCAGCCCCAAAATCCAATGATTCCCCCAATGCCTACTGAATAAATTTCTTATGCATGAGCTTGTGTTCCACGCAAAGCAACTAGCACCAGAGACAAGGAAGAACAGGCAATTGGGCCCTATATTTAGGGGGAACATCTCTTCTCAGCTTGCCTGGAGCAGTCCTACTGTCCTGGTGTAACTATTAATAATGCCTTTCAGTTTCAAAATTGTCCCAGTTTGTACATTATATTGTCACCCTATTAATAAACCACATTGAATAATTGGTTCATTATCCTGAGAGTAATGGGATAAAGTGTTTTAAACAGAGGAGTGACAACATCAGATTTAAATTTGAGAAAGATCACTGAGGCTGCAGTGAAAGTGATGGATTGGAGAAAAGCAAGTCAAGTGGCGGCGACCAGTTGGGAAACCGTGGCCATAGCTTTGCTAGAGACAACAGGGTGTCCTGGATTGGGGTGGTAGCAGTAGAGATGAGAGGAGGCCTATTGTCTTAGTGATAGATGAATATAATCAGTGTTGGGGTGCGTGGGGAGGCTTAAAAATGACTCCAGGTGTCCGGCTTGGGCAACTGGTGGGTTGGTGTCACTATTCACTGAAACGGAAGACATGAGAGAAGGTTTGGCGGGAAGAAAATGAGTCGAGTTTTAAGTGAATCCAGCAGTCTACAGTAGAGACGTTTGGGGCCCTTCATTCAAGGAATAATGCTTGCTAGGCGCTGTATTAAGTCCTGGGAATGCATGATACCGGCTCTCATGAGAGTATCGGGGTTGGGAGAAAGGTGTGTAGATCACGCATGCCAATTAGTACAACAAAGAAGTAGATAGGCAGAGACTGAAAATTTTTACATAAAACTTAGAATTGTAATTAAAGAAAATGAAAATTAAAAGGAAAAAAATTTAACACAACAAAGAAGTAGAAGTAGTTCTGGGCGCATATTACAGGGAGGCCAGGCCTCGTCTTGGTCTGGGACCATTTCCCTGAGGAAACGCCATCCGAGATGAGCCTCTTGCGACCACCCCCGACCTAATCTACCGGTCGGCGCCCTCGGCGCACTTCTGCCCGCCCCCGCCCCTTGCCGGGCCCCACCCCTGCAGACCTGCTTGCCGTCCCGCCGGTGCTTCACAAGCGTCACCTCTCCATAGCTCCCCTTGCCCACGACCCGCAGGTAGCAGTAGGCGGCCAGGGGCATGTTCCCAGCGCTGGCCCAGAGTCGGGATGCGGCGGCAGCGGCGGGTAGGGCAGCGGGCGGCAACAAGAAGCTCGGTTCATGCCCGAGAGGGGGCAGTGGGGGCGGCTGTTGAGGCAGCCGGGCCCGGGCGGGATTGCTGGGGCCCGGCCCGCGACGACGCCGCTGCCATAGCGATCCGGGCCGGGAGCAGTTCTGCGCATGCTCCTGCGTCCCCAAAGGACGGCCATAGAGCGGACGCCACGAGCGGCCAGAGAGGTTCCGCAGCCCCGGGAGGACCCGCCATAGAGCAGAGGCTCCAGGAGGCCAGAGCGACTCCGCCAGGCTCCGCGCACTTTCTGTGCGTCCGTTCCACCGTCCGGATCCCCGCCACAACAGAGTCAGGGAAAGCTTCCTCTTTTTGTGCACTTGTTTGTCCTAAGGCCGTTACAAGTATTGTTCGTTCATTCTGCAAATATTTGTTGACCGCCTATGTGCCAGGCCAACAAAGTCCCTGCCCTCCTGGAGCTCATGTTCTAATGACTGGGTGACAGACTCTCTACCAGTAACATTTGCTGTATCCGCTTTATCACATGCCGTCTCTGCATCCAGCAATCCATCCTATTTTTTGATACATTCAAAGTAAATTATCAGTACCTTTCATCCCTAAAAACTCGCCTGCTAATTGAGAACTACAAAGACTCCTCAGCATTTAACGACTACCCTAACCACTGCACTAAGAGACTTGACTAAACTCTAACATGGCATCATGCTAAGTTAACAGCCTAAGGGCGGATCTCTAGGTGGGCCTAGGCCCCTTTAAAATGCCTGCCCAAGAAAGCTCAGGGGTGCCAAAAGAATTCACCATTTGTTCCAGCCAAAGCCTCCCTTTCCCAGAGCGCTTCCTTTTTTTCCTTTTTTTTTTTTTTTTTTTTTTTTGAGACAGGGTCTCGCCCTGCCACCCAGCTTGGAGTGCAGTGGTGCAATGGTGCTCACTGCTGCCTAGACTTCCTGGGCTCAAGCCATCCTCCCAACTACAGGCACACACGTCCATGCCTGGCTAATCCTATTTTATTTTTTTTCAGAGACAGGGTGTCACTATGTTCCCCAGACCGGTCTTGAACTCCTCGGCTCAAGCAATTCACCCACGTTGGCCTCCCAAAATGCCGTTATTACAGGTGTGCGCCATCGTGCCTGGCCTCTTTCCTTTTTATGGCCAAATAATATTCCATTATATGTATACACCACAATTTGTTTATCCATTCATGCAGTCATGGACACGGATAGCTTCCATCTTTTGGCTATTGTGAATAATTCGGCTATGAACATGGGTGTACGAATATCTGTTTGAGTCCCTGCTTTCTTTTTAATTCATTTGGGTATACACTCAGAAGTGAAATTGCTGGATCATATGCTAATTCTAGTTTAATGTATTGAGAAACCACCACACCATTTTTTACAGCAAGCTGAACCATTTTACATTCCCATTAGCAATCCACAGGGGTTCAAATTTCTCCTCATCCTTGATATATATCTTGATAGGAGATTTGGGTGTATGAATTTGTCAAAATTATCTAATGGTACATTTAGTATTTGCACATTTTACTCAAAGCAATTTCATCTTCACTAGAAAACCAAACAAAAAGAACCATAAATAAAGATTGAACTCTAGTTAATGATATTATTAAAGATAAACAAAGCCAGGCATTAAAATGATGAAAATAGATTTTATTCAGTAACTACTGACAGTAGGGGAAGCAGCTGAACTCCATTCCATTTGCGCAGGGGTGATTGGGCATTCCAAAGGAAGAATAAGGGAGTAGGCAGGGGAGCATGCAGGGGCTCACTTAGAGTCTGGGAAGTGAAAAATTAAAAGGAGTGCTTAGCGTAAATGTGATTAGGCCAACTGTGTCTGCTAGCTGGCAATTAGGGAAGTTAGGATTCTATTCTCCCACATAGACTGGGAGACATGAGCCCTACCTTTATGATGATTACATTCCAAAGGAATGGATTTCAGGTCCTTGAGAAAGACATTCCTAGGTTGTAGGAAATACATAGGTATATATCTCAGAGGGACAGAGGAAGGATTTGTAATTGTAGCTTTTTAAAGTTAGTGCTCTAGAGGCCACACACTATGACTCACACCTAATCCCAGCACTTTGAGAGGCCAAGGTGGGAGGATCACTTGAGACCAGCCTACGAAACACAGTGAGACCCCCTTCTCTACAAAAAATTTTTAAAATTAGCTGGGTGTGGTGGCGCATGCCTGTAGTCCCAGCTACCTGGGAGGCTGAGGTGGGAGAATCAGTTGAGCCTCGGAGGTTGAGGCTGCAGTGAGCCATGATCCTGCCACTGCACTCCAGCTGAGTGACAGAGTGAGACTCTGTCTCAAAATAAATAAATTTTTAAAAAGGAAGGATGTTCTGACATGCTACAACATGGACGACCCCTGAGGACATTATGCTAAACAAAATAAGGCAGTCACAGAGGACAAAAGTATGATTTCGCTTATGTGAGGTACCTGTAGTAGTCAAAGTCATAGATTCAGAAAGTAGAATGGTGGTTGCCAGTTGTTGGAGAGAGGAGGGAATTGGTGGTTGGTGTTTAATGGGTGCAGAGTTTTAGCTGGGGAAAATGAAAAAGTCCTGGAGATGGATGGTGGTGATGGATGCAAAACATGAATGTACTTATGCCACCGAACTGTATTCTTAAAAATGGTTAAATAATAAATTTTATGTTTTGTATATTTTACCACAATAAAAAATTATGGCACACTGCTCCTGTAATCCCAGCTACTCAGGAGGCCGAGGCATGAGAATCACGTGAACCCGGGAGGCGGAGATTGCATTGGGCCAAGATCATGTCACTGCACTCCAGCCTGGGCGACAGAGCAATACTCCTTCTAAAAAAAAAAAAAAAAAAAAAAACCTATCATTCATTCTACAGACATTTAGCAAGGGTCTACTAGCCTGGACCTGGAGGACAACTATGAACAAGACAGACAAGGGCCTGCCCATGTGGGGCTTACTGTCGAAGAGGGAGACGGCCATGCATACTAACAAGCTACCCTTGCCAACTGAGGTCAGTACTGTTCAGAAAAGCCGCCAGGCCCAGCCTGGCCATCCAGGAGAGGTTGCCCCAAGCAAGCACCGCATGAGTGGAAGTTTAAACAAAAACTTTTTCAGGCAGAGGAGCAACATGTGCTAAGATCCAGTGGATTCATTTTGTGACTTTACCTCCACACCGCAATGTGAACTCCCTGAGGACGAGGCCAGGCCTGTCTGCTTCAACACCCTAAACCCAGCAGGTATAAATGAAGGAATTGCCGCTTGCTGAATGAATGAATGGAGAAGCACCTGCCTACCTGGATCTAAAAGAAGTCTCTGCAGTTGAAGCTGAGAGACTCAGAGGGGCCATGGGCTAGGTGACATAGAGGGGTCAGCAGGGGCCATACCACTCAGGATAGGGTGTGCGAGACAGGGAAAGGCCTGCGGCAGACTGACCTTTCTAAATGGTGACTCTGGCTGCTGCCTGGAGCAGAGCAGAAGGAGGAGATGAGCCGTCTAAATGAGGGATGAGGGCAGCTTGAACTAGGTGGTGACGGGGGATGGGGAGAGAAGTTAATGGATTAGAGGGATATTCAGAGGGTGGGAGGTGGGGTAGGTGGTCAAGGAGACTGAGGCACCCAGGATGCCACCCAGCCTTCTGGCTTGGATGGCCAACTAGATGGCGGTGGCCTTGACTGGAGTGGACAACAGGGGGAAGATCTGGCTTAGTAACGGGGTGTGGGGAGGAGGAGACAAAGGTCAGGAGTTCAGTTTGGACATACCAGATGGAGGGGCTGTGGGCACATCAAGCAGACAGTTGGCTGTGTGTGGGTGGCGCTCAGAGCAGGTCTGGGCCCATGTGCTGTCCCACCGGCACCAGCAGCACAGCTACACTCCCCATTCTCAATCCTCAGCAACCATAGCTGCTTTCTGTCCACCCTGGCCCCCACCTCCCACATGCATATGGTGGGCCAACGTCTCTTTCTCTGTACCATGAGGATAATAGTAACAATAATATCTGTCTCTTGTGGGGAGTTGTGAGCAGTAAATGAATTCGGACGTGATGCTAAGAAGCATGACAGGCACAGGTCATAGTTAGCTCTCCCCATCTCCTGTCCACCCTCCCCCTGTGCAAACATGCTTCTAGCACTTTACATGGACCAGGCTTGGTGCTAGCCATCTCTCAACAGCCCAGTCTTGAACTCATCACACCCTTGCTTAAAATATCTTAAGTATCTCCCACCCAAAAGGCTAATCACTTTCAGACCCCTGCGCCAGCTGGTCCCAACCCCCTTCCCAGCCACCTTCCCTACCCTCTTCATCAGCTCCTGCTCCCATCCCAGACACCTCTACCTTCCCACAGCATACATCCCACCTGCCCGTCTGCTTTTCTCTCCCTCCCTTCCCGCCTTCCCCTTCCCAAGCACTGCTCTTTTTTCCAGGCACCTCATCCAGGAACCTTCTCCTAATCCCTGCAGGAGATGAGCCTCTGCCCCTCCAAATTTCTATCTCTTCAGCTTCTCATCACTCCTTGGGATTCAGTGGGCTCCCTTTGACTTGTCTGATTCCCTTTTCCCCTGACATCAGCTCACTGAACACAGCAGGGCACTCAGGTTTCTGTATGGTGGCCTCTCAGTGCCTGGCATTGTGCCCAACACACTGCAGGGCTTGGTCGATACTGGTGCAGGAAATAAGCAGAACTTCAAATGTACACTGTCATGTCGATCCAGCTTCTCTTCTACAAAGGCCAGAAGACAGGCCAGAAGGTGACCGTGGCCTAAGGACAATAAACTCTTCCCAGAAGCTGCTCTGTGAGACAAAGTCCAGGACAAGCAAACAGAGATCAGTGAGGGCTCTGGGCCCCCTCCTCTTATCAGGGTCACAGCAGCCAGCACATCCCAACCCAGGTCACAGACTAGACTGGCCAGGGGCCCTGTCTGCCCAGTATGCTGTGGTTTTTGGGGAACAGGGTGGGTTTGGCAATAAAAAAATAAGAAACTGCAGGTGCAAGATGGGTCTCTGGGAACTCCTGTCTCTAGGATCTTCAAGTCTGCTTCTCTGTCATTACATGATGGCCTTGGGCTTTAGAGCCTGAGAGACCTGGTTTGAATCCCTGTTCTGTCTCTTGGTATGGGGCCAGTGTCCCAGGAACGTTGCGAGGATAAAATTAGACAATAAAGGGTTTAGAGGAATGCATGACACAAATGAGTCCTCGATTATGAAAACATGTCATTCATCTTCAGCTCCCCTTTATCTGCCAGGCCTCCCTGCCCAGGTGCAGGAACGAGGAAGCTCACTTCTGTTCTTTCTAGAACTGGGTAAGAACCTCAGAGAGGTGAAGCAACTGGCCTAAAGCGCAGATCTCCCATCATGCCTCACCCCGACCGTCCAGACTGTCTCTGACAGAGCTAATACCAGGTTAGCACTGTGAGAATCACCAGCATGGCTGGATGTCACACACTTTCTAAGCCACCGTGTCTGCCTCCCTGGCCAAAGCATGACTGAAAAGTGTGTTGATGCTGAAAGAATTTTGAAACAGTCTGGGCAACAAAGTGAGACCCTGTTTCCCTCCCTTTCTTTTCTTTTTTCTTTTCTTTTCTTTTCTTTTTTCTTTTCTGTTCTTTCTTTCTCTGTCTCTCTTTCTTTTCTTTTCTTTCTTTCTTTTTGGAGACAGTCTCGCTCCGTCACCCAGGCTGGAGTGCAGTGGCACAATCTTGCCTCTCTGCAACCACCACTTTCCAGGCTCAAGCTATTCTCCTGCCTCAGCCTCCTGAGTAGCTGGAACCACAGACGCATGCCACCATACCTGGCTAATTTTTGTATTTTTGGTAGAGATGGGGTTTCACCATGTTGCCCAGGCTGGGCTGGAACTTCTGGCCTCAAGTGATCTGCCTCCCTCAGCCTCCCAAAGTGCTGAGATTACAGGCATGAGCCACCTCGCCCGACTGAAACCCTGTTTCAACAAAAAATAAAAATAATCAGCTGGGTGTGGTGCCACATTCCTGTGGTTCCAGGTACTCAGAAGGCTGAGGTGGGAAGATCAGTTGAGTCTGGGAGGTCGAGGCTGCAGTGAGCCAAGATCGCACCACTGTATTCCACCTGTGCGATAGAGGGAGACCCTGTCTTAAAAAAAAAAAAAAAAAAGAAATTTGAAAGTAAAGCCTGGCCGGGCCCAGTGGCTCACTCCTGTAATCCCAGCACTTTGGGAGGCTGAGGCGGGCAGATCACCTGAGGTCAGGAGTTCGAGACCAGCGTGGCCAATGTGGTGAAGCCGTCTTTACTAAAAATACAAAAATTAGCTGGGCATGGTGGTGTGCACCTGTAATCCCAGCTACTCGGGAGGCTGAGGCAGGAGAATCACTTGAACCCAGGAGGTGGAGGTTGCACTGAGCCAAGATCCTGCCACTGCACTCTAGCACTCAAGACCAAAACTCCATCTCAAAAAAAAAAAAGTAAAGCCTAATGAAGTTTAGAAATCCATTTTTAACTGTTGCTTCTTGCCACATGTCACCGTGTCACTGGTGCTGCCTTGTGCCAGCCCGAGGATGAGATGAGCCATCCGGGGATCCTCACAGTTCACATAGGCTAAGCGCAGTTCTACACAGAGGGACATGGTCTGGAGCCCCATCAGTAGTTTAACCACCCAGAGCTGGGAACCCCCCTGAGGCAAAAAGCTTCCACTGCCAAATTTTGATTCCTCTAAATGTGTTAGGTTGATGCAAAAGTCATTGCGGTTTTTGTCATTAATATTTGCCTGCACCTTGTCTAATGTTTAATCCATGTTTATCCAGCACTGTATTGATTACTGGTCTGACTGAGGTGACAGGGCAGCAGGAGCCTTAGAGCATGGACGGTGCCATGGGGCCTCGGGGGCTGCTGTTGTGCATGTACCTGGTATCTCTCCTCATCCTGCAGGCCATGCCTGCCCTGGGCTCGGCTACAGGCAGGTCCAAGAGCAGCGAGGTATATGGCTAAGCCCACAGGGCAGAAATAGGCAGCTGAACCTGGATGAGGCCCCGGGCGGGACACAAGACCCCCATTCAAGGGGCCAGGGTCACCCCCACCACCTCCACCACTTCTGAGTGGAGAGGTGACCTCCCAGCACCACCAAGGAGGTGAAGCTAAGGGGCAGAGGACACAGGCTGTGTTCCACTCCCATCCCTGAACTGGCAGGCCGGTGGTCCCCTGAGTTTTCCTCTCACACTTGACCCTGATTTTGTTTTGCAGAAGCGACAGGCTGTGGACACCGTGAGTAAGAGTCCTGGCAAAGGGGTCTGTGACAGAGCCCTTTTTACAGGCTTGCTTTCCCCAACCTGTCAGGGGTGGACCCCTCTATCAGGGCCATAGGCATGGGGTACTCTCCAGGGTCCTAGAAATGGGGACTTGTTCCCATCTCACCTCATATCCCACAGCACGGTCTCAGCCAGAGAGCAGGGGTCTTCCTGCGGTCTGTTCTTCCTGCATCTGGGCACCATGCACTGGGGCTAAGTGCCAAGTCCCCGTACCACAGGAAGTCCCTCGCTGACAGAGGCCCTGTCTCAGGCCACAGCTCCTTCATGTCTCACTTTAGGCTGTCGATGGCGTGTTCATCCGGAGTTTGAAAGTCAACTGCAAAGTCACCTCTCGCTTCGCCCACTATGTTGTCACCAGCCAAGTGGTCAACACTGCCAATGAAGCCAGGGAAGTGGCCTTCGACCTGGAAATCCCCAAGACAGCATTCATCAGTGACTTTGCCGTGTGCGTGCCTGCCCAACTCCCATGCCTTCTCCCAGGGGTGCCGCTTACTAGTCCCAGCTTAAGAACAAGGATCGGAGTGGCCAGATAACGCAGAGCATCTCCTCATTCTAGAAGGGCCACAGACCAGCCCTGGCTTTGAGGGGAGGAAGAAGCCCTTTAGGTCTGTGCTTGGCTCCCATCTTGGAGGCAAACTGGGACCCATCACAGCATGTTTCAGGCTAGAACCCAAGGAGCCAAGGCCAGAGTCTGAGGCTTCTTGCTGGCCTCTGACCTGGGCTGCTCACCTCATTGCCCATGGACCCCTGAGTTCCACCATGGGCAGTGGAAGGCTCGTCAGGAGACGTCCTTATCCAAGGGCTCACATGGACAGGCCCTCTCAGGACCTGTGTGGTCAGGAGGCTCATCTTTCCTGAGGGTGTCCTTCCCTCCCTGCAGTACAGCAGATGGAAACGCATTTATCGGAGACATAAAGGACAAGGTGACTGCATGGAAGCAGTACCGGAAAGCAGCTATCTCAGGAGAGAATGCCGGCCTTGTCAGGTGAGTTCTGGGCCTGCTGGTCTCATCTCTAGGGCTGCCCTCCCCAGCCAGGACAGGTCTGATGGCTGCAAGGTGGCTTTAGTGGAGAACAGCCCAGGATGATGGAAGGGTAAGCAAACTGCCCAAACCCAGATGCCAGCACGGTGCACTGAACAGGCTGCCGTGCAGTTGCCCTTTTCCCAGATATGCCACTGGGAGAAGTGGGCCCCCGCCATCTTGGGCCCTGACCCTGACCAGCCAGCTAACACATTTGTGAGGTCCAGGGAAACCTGGGAGCAACACTCATCTAAGAGAAATAAATTCTGTGGGCCACATGTTAGGTGACAAGGACCCAAATGTCATTTACCCTCTGTCTGTCTGCTGTTGCCTCTGGTGGCACATCCAGGGCCTCGGGGAGAACTATGGAGCAATTCACCATCCACCTCACCGTCAATCCCCAGAGCAAGGTCACGTTTCAGCTGACTTATGAGGAAGTGCTGAAGAGAAACCATATGCAGTATGAAATTGTCATCAAAGTCAAGCCCAAGCAGCTGGTGCATCATTTTGAGGTAGATCACAGGTCCCGGGGCAGGGGTCCTGCCCCTCTCTCCGTCACCATGGCTCCCAACACTGGTTGAGCACCCACCATGTGTCACCACCCAGGCCTGAGAACACAGGGATGGGGACTAACCCCTCAGGGTGAGCTCTGATGTGCTCTTCTTGGGCAGGGAACTCCCTGAATTCTCTAACTTCCTCTTTATCTCTGAGCTTCGGTTTGCTCATCTGCTAGACGGGGGGTTTCTGTGAGTCCCAGGACCGCCACAGGGATCACGAGAAGTACTGAATGTCCAGGTAATTTTGTAAACTAGAAAGTCCCGCGCAGCCTGAGGGCCTGGAATTATTGCTGGCACCTAAGTGGTGGCTGAGTTGAGGGATGCAGGCATGTACACCTTCATTTGGTCAGTATTTTTGGAGTGCCTACTGAGTACCAGGCCCTGTGATCAGGGCTGGGTGGGTGCTGCACACAGTAGGTGGCCAGGACACATGCTGGCTCTTGGCTGAGACTTGGTGAGTGGGAGCCCTGGTAGAGAATTTGCTTCAGTGTGGTGTGAGCCTATAATCCCAGCTACGTGGGAGGCTGAGGCAGGAGGACGGCTTGAGCCCAGGAGTTTGAGGCCAGCCTGGGCAACAAAGCAAGATCCCATCTTTTTTTTTAAAAAAATAATTTGCTTCAATGTTGCAGATTGATGTGGACATCTTCGAGCCCCAGGGGATCAGCAAGCTGGATGCCCAGGCCTCTTTCCTGCCGAAGGAACTGGCAGCCCAAACTATCAAGAAGTCCTTCTCAGGAAAAAAGGTACATGGGATAGCAAGGGGGTGGTGGTGGGCCCTTTGGAGACTTCTCAGCCTGCCCACCCCTTATGGAATGTCCAGCCTTAGCCCAGAAACCAGGCAGGGGCTGTGGTCTGCCCTCAGGATGAGAGAAGCTGGTGTCATGTGATTGGTGCCTAGGAGAACTCAGCTATCCTGGTTCTCAGAGCAATTTAGCAAAAGCCTGCATGCTGAGGTGGGGAAGGAGCCAGCTCCAGCTCCACCACACACGGGCTGCATGGTCCAGGGTGAGTTGCTGGCTTGCTTGAGCCTCAGTGCCCTCTTTGCCCGCCTCACGCCCATGGGAGAGCATTCAGGGAAATATCCAGCACATAAGTAAACCTCATATGCTGGTGTGGTTAGGACTCCAAGCTTCAGGTTTCTTGGAAACATAAGTTTGGAAAGACCTTTGGCCTACCCAACGACTTGTCGCTTGCCACTATTTGCAGGAATCCCAGAAGCCCCTGGCTCACCCCCACCCCAGGTTCCTGGAGGAGTGTGGTGTATGGATGGGCAATGCCCTGCTTCCTGACTTGCCCCCAACCCGAGCCAGGAACAAATCCTTTAGTTCCCACTTATGTAGAGCCTGCACCACAATTCATTTAAAAGAAGTGCTTCTTACAGTTTAGAGGGGTTTCCTTTTAAACTAAATATGACACCTCAAGAGTGTTAGCAAACATGCTTGCTTTCTGTGGGGGAACAAAGGGATGGGTCCTTGTCTTCCCAAGACTTTTTCAAGGTTCTATTTTATCCTCCATCCTTTCTCTCCTCTTCCTCCTCCTCCTTCACCTCCTCCTCTTCTTTTTTTTTTTTTCTTCTTCTTCTTCTTCTTCTTCTTCTTCTTCTTCTTCTTCTTCTTCTTCTTCTTCTTCTTCTTCTTCTTCTTCTTCCTCTTCTTCTTCTTCTGCTTCTTCTTCTCCTTCTCCTTCTTCTTCTTCTATCTTCTCTTCTTCTTCCTCTTCTTTTCTGCTGCTTCTTCTTCCTTTTGCTTCTGCTTCTTTTTGATGAGCCTACCTTACTTTTATAACAAACAAAAATTTCTTTATAGAAAAATATATGAAGTCCAGGAATATAGAAAGTATTGAATAAAAACCATCACTAGCTTCCCCAAGCACATCACCAACTCCAACCAGACCTCAGCTTCCATTCTGCACCCTTCCTTCCAGTCTTTGTTCTTTGTCAACCTGGGCAGCTTTTATTTCTCACCACAGTATTGTAGTGCTGCTTTTTCACTCAACAGTTTGAGTTGTCAGATGTATCACATTGCTATTATTTTGTTATTATTTATATACCCAAAGTGATGATGTTCATTGTAGAAAATCCCAATGATTCAGAAGCATATAAGCAAGGGAATGGGTCATCTCTCCCACCACCTACAGGTGTGTGCTCTCAGCAGCTAGGTGAGTGAGTGGCCCACCGAACTCGTTTCTCTGTCCGTGCAAACACACACACACACACACGCATGCCTTCTTATGTTGTCTTTGCAAACATCTTGTTTGTGGTTACACAGACCAGTAATGGCTCACACTCTCGACGGTTCCAGGGTCATGTGCTGTTCCGTCCCACCGTGAGCCAGCAGCAGTCCTGCCCCACATGCTCTACATCCTTACTGAACGGGCACTTCAAGGTGACCTACGATGTCAGTCGAGACAAGATCTGCGACCTCCTGGTGAGCCCTGAGCTTCTGGCTCAGCACCCAGAGGATGGGCAAGGGGTGCTGTGAGAGTGGCCTCACTCGTTCTCCTCTATTTCAGGTGGCCAATAACCACTTTGCCCACTTCTTTGCCCCCCAAAACCTGACAAACATGAACAAGAACGTGGTTTTTGTGATTGACATCAGTGGCTCCATGAGAGGCCAGAAAGTGAAGCAGGTAGGCTGCAGCTTGAAACAGCTCACCCAGCAGAAGCTTCCACAGCCCCATCACTCACCACATGCCAGTTTTGCTGCCAGAGTCTGGTTTGGGATTTATCCTCCTGGTCAGAGGCAGAGTGATTTAACAGGAAATCCCAGTGGTTAGCATCTCTGGAATCAGCATCGCTTCCTCACTGTGCAGTCGTGAGGAAGTGCATTCACCTCTCCTCAATGGCAAAAAATGGGAATGACAATGGTGTCTGCAGGGTCATGGAGTTACCCCCTGGGGGAAGTGCTTAGAAGAGGAAACCTGTGCACTACAATTACGGTGGTCCGTGGGGAGGCATCTTATAGCAGGGAATAGCTCTCCGCCCACAGGGTTTGGAGTGCCCTGTCCATGGTGCAGTGTAGACATGGCTGGACAAGGAGTATTCTAGAAGCACAGCTCCTGGGGTCCTTTCTCTTAATCCTGCCCCTCCCGAACTCCTGATTATTTCTTTTCCCCATGGTGGGTTCCTTTGCCTTCTCCACCTCCCTCATCCACCCCAAGGCCCGGCAGGATGCTCCTGTCTCGGGGCCACCTGGTTGTCCTATCTCCTCCTGCTTGTCCACCCTGTGGATCTCTGAAATGGGTATTTGGAGTTGGAAGGTGCTGTCCTGGGGCCACCCTGGGGCCCTGTCTGTCTACTGACTGTTCTGTCCTTGCAGACCAAGGAGGCACTCCTTAAAATTCTGGGGGACATGCAGCCAGGGGACTACTTTGACCTGGTTCTTTTTGGGACTCGAGTACAATCGTGGAAGGGCTCGCTGGTGCAAGCATCTGAGGCCAACCTACAAGCAGCTCAAGACTTTGTGCGGGGCTTTTCCCTGGATGAGGGTAAGGGTGGGGGTCTCAGGCAACCTTGATGTCACCTCTGTCCCCTCAGAATGAGGGCATACACTGGTCTGCTTTCTCTTCCTTGCAGCCACAAACCTGAATGGAGGTTTGCTCCGGGGAATTGAGATCTTGAACCAAGTTCAGGAAAGCCTCCCAGAACTCAGCAACCATGCCTCAATACTCATCATGTTGACAGATGGCGATCCCACAGAGGGTAAGCACCTTGGGGGCTGCCTTGGGAGGTAGTGATCTCCTTGTCACCCGAGACATGCAAGCTGAAGTTGGAAACCCAACCATTGGAGATGCCATCAGGGGGCAGAAAAGCTCAGGGCAAAATCAAGCACTGGTCTAAAAACACAGCTCAGACCACAAAGTCTGAGGGAGCTCTATGGTGTACCTCTGTCCTGTGAGTTGAGAAATTGGAGATGTTTCTAAATGACACAGGTCTGTATGAGTCCCTGGAAGATGGGCAAGATTCCATGCTTCTGTTCACAGTTTAATGAACTATTTATTTATCACCTACTGTATGCTAAGCAAGGGGCTAGGGACTGAAATACCAAGGGAACAAGACATATTTCTGCCCTCAAAGAGCCCGGGACCTACTGGGGGAAGCAGATCCAGGAGTAGATACTGAGGGCCCTGAAAGAACAGGGTGCTTGAGGCTGTGGAACCATAGACAAAGGACACCTGACCCAGGGGGATGTCCGGGAAGGCCTCCTGGAGGAGGTGACTCCTGAGCTCAGTCTAGAAAGAGGGGAGAGTGGCAGGAAGGGATCCCAGGCAGAAGAGGCAGCTTAAGTCATAAAAAGGGTGTGTGCACTGGCAGGGCCTGCCCGGGAACTGTGGGCATGTGCAGAATGGGGTAAAACAAGCGTGGGAAGGTCAGCAGGGTCTCGCAGTCCATGGCAAAGGAGCCATGGCAGGATTTCGAGCAGAATCAGACCTGCTGGTGATGGACCCACCTAGATGGGCGGGGTCTGTGAGGAGCTGTTGATAGCTGCTGCAGTCTCCCAGGAGAGCCAGGAGGACGCGATGCCTCAGGATGCCCAGGAGCCTGGAGATGCTCTGAGATGGAAGGCTTGAGCCCCAGGGAGTGTTCCCCAGAGCCCCCTCGTGCCCCACATGCCTGTGGGCCAGCATCCCGTCACTACCCAGGTGTGTGGCTTGCAGGGGTGACGGACCGTTCCCAAATCCTCAAGAACGTCCGCAACGCCATCCGGGGCAGGTTCCCGCTCTACAACCTGGGTTTCGGCCACAATGTGGACTTTAACTTTCTGGAGGTCATGTCCATGGAGAACAACGGACGGGCCCAGAGAATCTACGAGGACCATGATGCCACCCAGCAGCTGCAGGTCTCCCCTCACAACCCCCTGTACCTCCAATGGCATGCCATAGGGAGCCCTGCCTTGGTGGCCGTTTGCCCATCAGCCTAGAGGAGCAGATAAAGCTCTGGCATAGAGTTCAAATCAGCTGCATGGGCCAGGCATGGTGGCTCAAGCCTGTAATCCCAGCACTTTGGGAGGCCAAGGTGGGTGGATCGGGAGTTCGAGACCAGCCTGGCCAACATGGTGAAACCCCGTCTCTACTGAAGATACAAAAATTAGCCAGGTGTGGTGGTGGATGCCTGTAATCTCAGCTACCTGGGAGGCTGAGGCAGGAGAATCACTTGAGCCCAGGAGGTGGAGGTTGCAATGAGCTGAGATTGTGCCACTGCACTCCAGCCTGGGCAACACAGTGAGACTCTGTCTCAGAAAAAAAAAAAAAAATCAGCAGCATGACCTCGAGCCAGCTACTTGACCTCTCGGACCCTCAAATTCCTTCTCTAACTTGGGAATTCCCAACACTCCACTTTGTGGGCAGGCTTCCCATTAGGAGCCCAGGGTGCTCAGCTCTAAGGCTGCAACCTCTATCCCTGCAGGGTTTCTACAGCCAGGTAGCCAAACCCCTGCTGGTGGATGTGGATTTGCAGTACCCCCAGGATGCTGTCTTGGCCCTGACCCAGAACCACCATAAACAGTACTACGAAGGCTCAGAGATTGTGGTGGCCGGGCGCATTGCTGACAACAAACAGAGCAGCTTCAAGGCTGATGTGCAGGCCCATGGGGTAAATGGTGGGCCATGGAGGGTGGAGAGGCCAGGCAGCACCCTAGAGGCTCCAAACCCACACTGTTCCCCATTCCTGCCATCCCCCAGAGGCCTCTCTTTCCCCAGAGTAGTACCCTCATCCCCACCATGCCACATACACCCCAGGCCTGAACATCCCTCCACACAGGCATCCTGGGGGCTGGATTGGCTGGAATGGGGCCAATATGGCCTTTATCAGTTGCAGTCCCTCGGCCCCCAGTGACCAATTGTTATTTTTCGCATCATTCATCCCAAGGTGCAAGAGAGCAAGAGACCAACCTCTCCCTTCTCATTTGATAACCATTTCCTGAACACCTACTGTGTGCCAGGCTTTGTGCCATGGTGCAGTGCATGCATGTATGTGCACCTGTGTGTGGTGGGGACAGGCATGTGAGACCTGGATCCTGCCCTCCAGGACACAGACAACGCCCTAAGTGTGGTCGAAGGTTCAGAACTCAGGCTTTGAGTAAGGAGAGTTGAGCTGGACCTTGGCTCCATCCTGACCAGCTGGGCATCCTTGGGCAAGGGGTCCAGTTCCCTAGGCCTCAGTTTCCTTTTCTGTACCATACTGCATCAGAGCATTGTGTGGAGTAAATGGAATAATCCATATAATACCCTTAGGCAGCAGCTGGTGCATAGGATGCCCTTGGGAAGTGGTGCCCCGGTTAATGTAGCTGGATGGAGGAGGCACATTTGTGTGCCGTGGCAAGTTGAATGGTGCAGCCCACCTAGAATTTGGTGGGCATTTGGAGTGGGTCATAGTGGAAACAGCCGGGTGCTTATTGGCCTCCCCTAGAGAAACTCCACAAGGCAGGGCCTGGTTCTCCCATTCCATGGGATCCCTAGGGTCCAGGCCAAGCCTGGCTTGCAGAGGGTGCTTGGCAAGAATCAACGAATAGGATGAGGCGAACAGGCTCAGGGAAGCAGGTGATGCTGAGGACGAAGCTGCAGATACCAGACGAAATGGGCCCCTCAGAGCCCCTAGCACCAGCCAGGGGCCGTGCTTATCATGGTGCACCACCCCTCTCTGTACCTCAACTCTCAGGAGGGACAAGAATTCAGTATAACCTGCCTAGTGGATGAGGAGGAGATGAAGAAACTGCTCCGAGAGCGTGGCCACATGCTGGAGAACCACGTCGAGCGCCTCTGGGCCTACCTCACCATCCAGGAGCTGCTGGCCAAGCGGTAGGGCACCTGCAGCTGCCCCAGGTGGGCACTGCCCACCCCAGAGTCCCCCCACCCCTTGGAGGTGAGCAGAGGAGGGGTGGTTCTGGGGCAAGTAGGTCAGATTTACTTTCCTCTTCTGCTTTGCTCACTGAGTTAATATCAACCAGTCAGTCAACAGTCCGGGCAGGCCCACCAGGGCACAAGGCAGCCTGCTATTTACCCACACTCAGCACACAGAGGCTCAGCGAGGTTAGACCTCTTGACCCAGATCTCACAGCTGTTAACGTCTCTGCGTATCTCTGAGGCATGCCCCTCAACCCCACCGAATCTCCAAGTGATCTCTGTAAGAGATCATTAAACCTGGAGGCCCCTGAGGATGTAGCCACTGCATAGGACACCATGGGGGCTTAATACTTATGTGTCGAATGAATGAATGAATGAATGAATGAATGAATAAGTGAATGGATAGGTGAAAGGATGAGGGCCGTGCAAGTCGGGGCTTGGAGCCAGCCTCTGTCTTGAATGCAGGATGAAGGTGGACAGGGAGGAGAGGGCCAACCTGTCATCCCAGGCCCTGCAGATGTCGCTGGACTATGGGTTTGTGACCCCACTGACCTCCATGAGCATCAGGGGCATGGCGGACCAGGACGGCCTGAAGCCCACCATCGACAAGCCCTCAGAGGGTATAGGCTGCAGGGGTCTACAGAAGGGAGAGGCCATGGGCCAAAAACCTCTGGGGCTCTAATTATTTTCTCTTTCTCTCCCTTCCAGATTCTCCGCCTTTGGGTGAGTTTTAAATTGCATTAGTTTCAGTTCTGGGCTTCGGTAGCTGGGCAGGTGGCAGGTGCTCCAGCCCCAGGCTCGCAGCTCCCCATCCCCATTCTTCCCTGACTCCACTCCTTCCCGTTCTTCCGTCCCCTGAGCCGCCCTTCTCCACATCACCGCGAACTCCCTGCTGCGCTTTGTGAGCTTTTGTGCAGGCTGAACCCCCAGCAGCCTCCACTGGTCCCCTCTTGGTGTGAGTGTATGTCTGTGAGGAGGCAGGACCCCAGGGGAGGGCTGAGACCCCCAGAGGGACGGCTGGGCCCAGGCCTGTTGTGGACAGAGCTGCATGCCTTTCGTGTGGGGCACCGTGGGTGACACTGTCTTCGATAATATGTCCTTGTCTTCTACAGAGATGCTGGGACCCAGAAGGAGTAAGTGGCAGCCATCCTGGCCATTCACATCTCTACCCCTCCTTGATGATCACCCCGTTGGCTTTCTTCCTCCGTTCTAGCTGTCTTCACTGCTTGTCACTGGGAATCTTTAGAACAGACCTCTGAACAGCCTGGCCTCCCCAGCCTGAGGTCCCTGGGGGAGGAGACAGAGAGGGGGCCAGCTAAACATGCCAGGCCAAGCTTCTGTCCCCGTGTCCCGGGAGCCAATCAAGGGCATGTGATGTTGAGTGGACATCCCTGCTTGGTGGCCTCAGGCCAGCCCCACCAGTGAGGAAAGAGTCATCAGAGGGATCAGCAGCTCCAGGGAAGGCCTGGCTGCCCCGCTTCTAAATGCCACTCCCCCTCCCATCAGCGTTCGTGCTGTCAGCCTTGCAGCCTTCTCCTACTCATTCCAGCTCCAATACCCAGCGGCTGCCAGACCGAGTGACCGGCGGTGAGTCCTTGGAAGGGTCTGAGGGACACCCCTGTTTGGGACCCACCCTATCTGGCTGTCTCTCTCTCTCTGTCTCTCTCTGGGACCTGCCTAGCTGAACCCCAACCCCTGGCCAGCCCCATCTGCCCGATGTCCAATCTAACGAATTCCATGCTGTGCCCCCAGTGGACACAGACCCTCACTTCATCATCCACGTGCCCCAGAAAGAGGACACCCTGTGCTTCAACATCAATGAGGAGCCTGGTGTTATCCTGAGCCTGGTACAGGACCCCAACACAGGTATGGCGGGCATCACACCTCTGCCAGACAGGGCCAGGGCTCCTCTGCCCTCAACATTCAGCCAGGAACAGGACTATGGCCAAGGCCCTCACTGCCCTCTGCCTGGGCACCATCCACCTGGCTGGGCTCTGCCCGCTGCCTTCCCACGCCATCCTCCTGGCTGCACCTACACAGGGCCAGCTTTATCAGCATGTGACTGGGGTAGGCACACAGGGGCTTTTTTTTTTTTTTCTGAGACAGAGTCTTGCTCTGTTGCCCAGGCTGGAGTACAGTGGCGTTATCTCAGCTCACTGCAACCTCTGCCTCCTGGGTTCAAGTGATTCTCCTGCCTCAGCCTCCCAAGTAGCTGGGACTACAGGCGCATGCCACCATGACTGGTTTATTTTTGTATTTTTAGTAGAGATGGGGTTTCACCATGTTGGCCTGGTTGGTCTCAAACTCCTGACCTCAGGTGATCCGTCCACCTCGGCCTCCCAAAGTGCTGGGATTACAGGTGTGAGCCACCGTGCCCAGCCAGTTTAATGCTCTTCCGTTGCCGCCTTGAAACCCTTAACACTTTCTAAACAAGGGGCCCTTCCTTTTTATTTCATACTAGGTCCTGCAAATATGTCACAGTCCTGCCCCACCTTCCCCATGAAGCATGGCTGAGCAGAGCACCTCTCTCCCAGCAGTGCCTTGGTTATGGGGAACAGCTCCCTCTCCTTCTCTCACCCCTGCTCCCTCCTGTCTCCTTCCCTCCCTGTCCAGTTAGTCCATCTGCAAGTGTTTGTTGTGCACCAACGAGGGGCTGGGAATGCAGTGGGAGCCAAGATAGTCCCGCTTTCATAGAGTTTAGGGAAGGGGAAGACAAACAGGTGAACATTCTGAGATGATCATTTCAGAGCATGAGACGTGCTGGGTTGGCAGCGTGAGGGTGGGAAGGGGGCTTTGTGGCTGCCCAGGTCAGCGGAGACCTCTGTGAAGAGGTCCCACAATGCATTTCCAGCACAATGGGAGCCTGTCCCTGTGTGAGGGGCTGGGGCCACAGAGAAGGAGCAGGCTAGGTCCTGTTCTCGGGGAGGCACGACCTCCGTTAGGACCCAGAACTGAGAGCTGAGTATGGGATATTTGGCATGGCAGGAGGGGTGGAGAGGAAGGAGAGGTGGTGCTGTGTGCGGGACCAGACCTGGAGACCCTGAGGCAGGAGACTCTCAAAGACAGAGTGGCACAGGCAGGGCGTAGAGGCCTCTTAGGAAGGAGGCATGATCCTGCTAAGCAAAGGCAGGCAGGCCCCTTCCCAACCCGGATGCCCTCTTGCTCCATTGCAGGCTTCTCAGTGAATGGACAGCTCATTGGCAACAAGGCCAGGAGCCCTGGGCAGCATGACGGCACGTACTTCGGGCGGCTGGGAATCGCAAACCCTGCCACGGACTTTCAGTTGGAAGTGACTCCTCAGAACATTACGCTGAACCCCGGCTTTGGTGGGCCTGTGTTTTCCTGGAGGGACCAAGCTGTGCTGCGGCAGGACGGGTAACCTGCCAGGGCCTGGGCAAGATGCAGGGGGAGGTGTGGCCTGGGCCCAGGACTCTGCTGAGTCTGCAGGGCCCTCGTCCCTGAGCCATGTCTGTGGGTGACACCCATGTGGCCTGTGCAGACATGTCAGACTCCATGGCCCACCCAGCCCTCCATTTCCCTTGGTTACTGGATATGTCCTCTGGGCCCAGCTGCATGGCAACTGTGCTCCCACCGCACCTTAGCTCTGAATGCCACCCCTGTCTCTACCAAACAAAGCCAGCTCATCCTCCCAGGCCCAGCAAAGAGGCCACCTCTTCCCCTCAGCCCTCCTGCTCTCTTCCTCTGCTGAACTCCAGATTTCTCTGGGCTTCTCATTTGGCATGTCTTAGTCTGCATTGTCTCATGACTTTTCCTTCCTTTACTAATTCGTTCATTCATTCATTCATTCATTCAACAAACTGTGCCAAGCACCAGAGCAATGCTGGGCAGCAGAGCTATAGGAAGAGGTGGGGAGAGTCTGCTGTGGAGGTCACAGGTGATGAGTGGGAGTCACAGAACACGGACTCTGATATTAGACAGCCTGAAGTCCAAGTCCTGGCTCCACTGCTTACCAGCTGTGCTACCTTGGGCAAGTTACTTAACCTCTCTGAGCCTGGGACTTCACAGGCTCGGAGTGAGGATTGAATGATGCAGTTTGCACAGAGGGCTTAGCACAGGACCTGGCACATTGCAAGGGCCCCAAGCAACATGTGGGGAGGGGCGTGGAACAGGTAACAGCCGGCCATCTGGGGATGAAGGCCATGGGGTGGGGGCGTGGTCATAAGGGTTGGGTCCCAGATGACAAGGGCAGCTGAATGGAGAGGGATGCAGTGCAGCCGCACCTGCCCTCTCGGCCACCTGGCTCTGCAGGGTGGTGGTGACCATCAACAAGAAGAGGAACCTGGTGGTGTCTGTGGACGACGGTGGCACCTTTGAGGTTGTTTTGCACCGAGTGTGGAAGGGGAGCTCGGTCCACCAGGACTTCCTGGGCTTCTATGTGCTGGACAGTCATCGGATGTCAGCCCGGACGCACGGGCTGCTGGGTACGGCTGGCCAGGCTGGCAGGGCTGTGGGGAAGGGTGTTGAAGCCAGAGGACATGTGGGACCTGGGGCCACCGGTCAGTTCTATAGCTGGGCACCAGGACAGGCCCACCTCCAGTGTGGCCTCCAAGGAGCAGAGCCGTCTGAGGGGCTGTGTTGGTGAGGCTGTGAGCAAACACACAGTGAAACAAACGCTTAAGCGAGCCTGGGAGCAAGTGAGGGGCAGAGGTCTGATCGCAAAAAGAAAGGCCCAGAGGGTTCCCAGGAACCTTGTGAGTAGGGTGGGTCACTGACCACACTGCTCCTGTGTGGCCTTTCTACAGACACTGCTCTCTATGGGCACCTGCCCTCAAACCTCTCTCCCCAGACAGATCCCGTTTTAAAAGACAGGAGGTAGGACCACCTAGAAATGTATCTACTTCTCTATAGCAAGTGAACCAAAGGTAGCTTTTCATGCTGGGACTGTTAGCAGAAACAGTCAAGCCCTGGAAAAAAAGCGGTCCAGCAATGCTCTAACCCCGCAGTGAGCACCTGCTGAGTGCAGGGCAGGAGCAAGTCCCCGAGATGGTAACCGCTGTCTCCAATGTGCCTTTCTAGGGCAATTTTTCCACCCCATCGGTTTTGAAGTGTCTGACATCCACCCAGGCTCTGACCCCACAAAGCCAGATGCCACGATGGTGGTGAGGAACCGCCGGCTCACGGTCACCAGGTGGGTGGGCTGCTTGCCCAGCACGTCTGCCCTCGGCCACTTTGTAGTTCTTCCAGGTCTTCCTCCAGGTGTCACATGGGTGGGGTGAGCTTCCTGGGGAGGTGCTGCCCTACTGGTCCGAAGGGTGACCCCAGCTGACTTGTCTCTGCACAGGGGTTTGCAAAAAGACTACAGCAAGGACCCGTGGCATGGGGCCGAGGTGTCCTGCTGGTTCATTCACAACAATGGGGCTGGACTCATCGATGGTGCCTACACTGATTATATCGTCCCCGACATCTTCTGAGCCCTCTGGCCAGCACGCCTGTCCTCCCCCGGGGCCAAGGCAGAGGAGGAGGACGACATCCTGACCTGCTGCTGAGGCTGTACCTCCTTGACTAAGCTGGTTCCTTGTGTCAAAGCACCTCATGCCTTCCATTAAAGAGAGGCCGTGTCCACCCTGAGCTGGCTGATTTTGGGGAGGGAGGATGGCAGGGAGGCAGCCCAAGATGCTGCCCCTCAGATGGACTAAGGGGTTACAACAGACCCAGGGAGAGGAGAAGCAGGTCAGAGGCTGGGAAGAAAGCTCACACCATTTCCCTGCTGAGGGTTTGTAACGTCTGGCAGCCAGGCTGGTATTTTCCAAAGGCAGAGATGGTCCCTGCCCAGAAGCTGTGATTTCAGGGGGCCAGGAGTGGCACCCTACCATCTCCTCATGTGAATGCCTGGAATTACCCCATCAGGGTCCCCTCCCTTGGCTTGACCTTGGGGCCCAGTCAAAACACAATGTCACAGGTGCAGGGAGGTGAGCCACACGTCAGAGAGCTCTGTGTGTGAATGCGCACAGGCCTCCACCCACTGCTTTCCAGAGGCTTTCTGCTTTTTCTTGCTAGTTTCTGTCCAGTTTCCACTATAAATGAGGCTCACAAGGGACCAGACAGAACAAGGACTGGTTTTGAGGGCCTGGATCAATAACACCAATGCTGAGCTCAAAGGCTGCCCCAGGCCCTATGAACACAGAGCCCCTAGCGGCAGGCTGTGGGGCGGCCAGCCCACCTTCCCAGGTATCCTGGGGTTCTCCAGGAAGAGCTGTGAGCTGCCAGCTGTCGGGGTCACCCTTGGCAAGGCCTGCCCAATGGGGGCCTCATCTCCCTCTCCTGTAGAATGGAAAGGCGGTGAACCCAAAGATCTCTTAGATTCCGTCTAATTATAAAGTCTGCATGACGACTCTGGTTCCTCCAAGTCCCCAGCCATCCCTTGAGGCTGCTTGAGCAGCTACAGAATCCCTATTTCGAGTTGTCCGTCTCCCCAAACTCCAGGCACTTGGGGATGAGGCAGTGGTCCAGATGAGAGAGTACAGGAGAAGCTCTGCAGGCAGCTGCAGGTCCGTGAGGAGGAGCCATTGGGCAACAGTGCCAGCCACCCAGTGCCAGCAGCCACAGGACTGAAAACATCCCAGAAGCCAGGAAATGAGGACACGGCAGCTCTGAGGGGTCTTCTCTCCACACCCAGGCGCCAGCACCTGCTGGGTTTGGCCTCCATCAGGCCCGAGCTTGGTGCCTGCTGCCAGTGAGGTTGGTGTAAGGGTTCAGGAGGCCCGAGGGAAACAGGCACCGCCCAGCCAGACACCAAGCACAGGCAGCATCTGCCACTTGGCCATCATTTCACTGGCTTGGAAACTCCCTCTTTTCAATTTTTTTTTTTTTTTTTGAGACGGGGGTCTCGCCCTGTCATCCGGGCTGGAGCGCAGTGGCACGAACACAGCGCTCACTGCAGCCTCGAACTCCTGGGCCCAGGTGATCCTCCAGCTTCAGTCTCCCAAAAAGCTGGGATTACAGGCAAGAGCCATAGTGCCTGGCTGATTTGGCAACTCTCCATCATTGCTCTGTGGCTGCTGCCTCTTCCAGCCATTAGACCACACCCTCCTCAGGGCTTCCGCTGCCCCGTGGCATCTGCCTTTTGCCTTCTTGGTTCCTCTGCTCCCAACAACTCTCTCTGCACATCTCCCAGTCAGCACCAGAGCTTTCAGCTGAGGCCGCTGAACTCCCCATAAGTTAGTTGTCCTGGACCCAGCCGTCCTTGTCGACTCCATTCAGTAGTGGGCTGCCCAGTGGGAGGGTCACAGGGTCAGCTTGGCTCAGAGAAGCCATGGGTATGGTGGGTGTGCAACAGCTGCCCTGATGGGGCTAGGCTGGCAGGGTCCTGAGGTGGCTCAGGAGGTCCCAGCCCCCACTGAGACCAGGTCCTGCCTCTAAAGCTCCTGTTGTCCTGGAAGCTGGAGCCCAGCCTCACTACGACTTTTAGGGCAATGACTCCCCAAAAGGCTGAGGGCAGCCAAGTCCCTGGCTGGGCCCTGGAAGCACAGAGGGAAACATGACATGGTCCAGCCCCCAGGAGCTCTGGGTGCAGAGGGGGCAGGCAGACCTGAGCACATCCACCTCAACATAAGGTCATGACAAAGCAGGCCCTCAGGGGGCTTGGGGCTTGGAGCAGGGATGTCCCATAGTCCTCTAGGGGATGGCCAGGGAAGGGTCCTGGAGGGGAGGCACTGGGACTGGCAGAGAGATGAAAGATGTGACATGTGCAGAAGGGGAGGGTGTGCTGGTGCAAGAGAGTGAGCTCAGAAAAACAAGCTGGGGTCAGATCACAGAGACAGCTGGGCTTCCGGGATCGTTGTGTGTCCTTTCCCTGGGGCTTTGGGGGCCATAGAAGGGTAGTGAGCGAGGGGCTCTGCTGTGGAGGTCCCAGCCTGAAGGTGACAGTCTAGTTTCACGCCCTGGCTGCCTCAAGAAGGGAGGGGCTGCAATCCAGGAGGCCAGAGAGAGGCTGTCCCAGTGGTAGGGATAAGAGGCAACAATGCTGAGATGCCCTTTGCCCTAAATGCAACTCCACACCCCATCTCCATCATCCACGCCAGGGAGTCCCAGGGTCCATTTGTTGGCCCACAGCTTCTGCTTTCCTGCGGGCCTCTTCCGAGTCCCCCGGTCTCTCAGGAATGAAGCCCCAACGCTGTTGGCAAGACCCACCAGGCCTTCTTCAGACAGACACATCGAGGGACCCGTCATTCCACCCATGCCCAGCTTCCCGGAGGCCCTTCCTGCCTCCACTCCTCCCACCCCCGCTGCAGGTCACTGACCCTGCTTGGAAAACACCAGGCTTGCTCATATAAGGAGCGTGGGCCAGGCCTGAGTATTCAGCGATGGCATTTGCATGGTGGCCCTGTCTCATCTTGGCTCTGCTCTCCAGCTTGGCAGCCTCTGGCTTCCCGAGAAGCCCCTTTCGGCTGCTTGGGGTGAGTCTGCCCCCTCTTTGCCATCTGGGTCTTGGTGTGGAATGGGCAGAAGGCATCATGCTGGGCAAGGCCTCTGAGTGGAGTGAAGAGGAGGCAGAGGGCTGGGCACTGAGCTGCTGGGAGTAGTGTGGACACTGGGAGAACCGGGCTCCAGCTGAGGCCTATGCTAACCTGTTGTCTAACCCTGGGAAGGCTCTTAAAACTCCCTGGGCCTCAGCTTCCCCACCTGTCAAAAGAGCAATGCACCAGGAACTGCTCACTTCACTGAGGGGCAATGAAGGTTCAAGTCTCAAACGAGTGTGACCTCTACAAAATGCTCAGTTGAGCCCTGCGGGGTGTGGCGGGGGCAGGGGTGCTCTGGAAGGAGGCCTAAAGGGGCCTGGGGGCCAGGGAAAGGCAGAATGGGAGATAGAATGAGGTGGGGCATGTAGGGTGTGAAGAGAGCTCTGGGTTCAGTTCCCCCTGCCCTGCTCTCCTGGTAACCTGGATACCTGCCCCTCTCTGGACCTCAGTTTCCCCATCTATTCAGAGTTTTTCCTACTCTGACATGTGGCTCTGGAGGGTCCTATGTCTGGGGGCCACTCAGGTGTGTGGGGGGCAGGGCACCACTGAACCCCTGGTCTCAGCCCAGAGCCTCCCAGGCCATGCGGCCTTGGTGTTGGCCTTGGCCTGATTCCTGTGTTTGTGTTTGTTTTTGTTTTTTCAGAAACGGAGCCTCCCGGAAGGGGTAAGAACTTTCACCAGGGGGTGGGACCGAGTGGGGCAGGGCAGGATGGAGCTGGTTCCCCAACTGCTGAAGGTGTAGGCTATAACAGCTGACTCCTCACAGCTGGCAAACAGCTTACGGCCCTCTGCCCTGGCAGCCTCCAACAGCGCAGGACTCCTGGGAAAGAGCACCACAGAGTGACGACCCCTCCAACCTCGCAGGATGTAGCCCAAGAGGGCCCCTCACAGGCATCCCTTCCTTCCGCAGACACTTCCTTAGCACTTGCTGGTACCTGGCTCTGTGAAGCGGTCCCTGCCACACCCTCACGAAGCATCTTTATATCCCTAGGGGGAGGGGGCTGGAACACCTCCCTAGAGCCTCTCAAAATTCAACACCCCTATTGGAAAGAGGGTGTTTGGAGACTTCCCTTGGCACAGGAAATCAGTTCCTCTTTGGGAGACAGAATGAGGCAATTACCTAAAGACCCAGGAGGTGGGCTGGGCTGTGTGCTTGAGGGAGTGTGAGGTGTGGAGGATGAGCAGGAAGAGCCAGGGGCAGATGCTCCAGAGCCAGTGTCCCACGCATAGCTGGAGCTCAGGGTGACTGGACGGGAAAGGGCAAGCTCTCACTGGCTGCAGTGGTGTGTAAACGGATCGCAGAATTAAGGAGGCAGGACAAGCATCTGAATAATGGTGGCCACCAGAACATGGAGACTGGAGACGCCACCAAGTCTTCCAGTGTAGAAGACCTGGAGGATGAGGGTTGCGTGCCGGGCAGGGGCCTCAGAGCCTCCAAGGGTTTGCAAGGGAGGTGGCTGGGTTGCAAACCTGCTTCTCCAGTGTCCCAGTCTGGCTGATTCTCCACCCACCTCCCCAAAGGTGGCCAATGGCATCGAGGTCTACAGTACCAAAATCAACTCCAAGGTGACCTCCCGTTTTGCTCACAATGTTGTCACCATGAGAGCCGTCAACCGTGCAGACACGGCCAAGGAGGTTTCCTTTGATGTGGAGCTGCCCAAGACGGCCTTCATCACCAACTTCACCTTGTGGGTACCACCATGGCTGCTGGCTCTGGGCTCGGGAACAGGGGGTCTGGCCCAGTGTGATCTCCCTACCCCCAACTCTCTTTCCCTGCAGGACCATCGACGGTGTTACCTACCCTGGGAATGTCAAGGAGAAGGAAGTTGCCAAGAAGCAGTATGAAAAGGCTGTGTCCCAGGGCAAGACGGCCGGCTTGGTCAAGTAAGTATGGACTCCCAGGCCTTGGGGAGAATGTCTGGGATCCAAGGGCCTTCAGGGCTACAAACAACAACAACAGCTATTATTATTGGTATAGCAAAATGTGCCCATAATTTTGCCATTATCCCACGTTGAGGCTGAGGCAAGTGAGGCTCAGAATGGTTAGGGATCTCCCTCGCCAAAGGGCTGGGCCTGGGGCCGAGGGCCGAGGAAGGGTGGGCTCCTGCAGTCTTTGAGGGAGTCACCATCTCGCACCCTGGTCAGGGCCTCTGGGAGGAAGTTGGAGAAGTTCACAGTCTCGGTCAACGTGGCTGCAGGCAGCAAAGTCACCTTCGAGCTAACCTACGAGGAGCTGCTGAAGAGGCACAAGGGCAAGTACGAGATGTACCTCAAGGTCCAGCCTAAGCAACTGGTCAAACACTTTGAGGTAATCAACCGCCCCTGCAGACCTGGGGGGACGGCAGCGGGGTGCAGGAACCCGCCCATGGGGCAGTCTCAGACAGGGGTCAAAAACAAAAGTTCTGCCTCACGGCATCCCCCATCCTTGGCTGGGAAGGCTGGAGGAATTCAATGGTTCTGGCCAAAAGCATCTGGGGCCAAGGGGAAGAGGCTGGGATGGACTCCACAGATGCAGATTCGGTGCTGGGCCCTCAAGAGCAACACCAGCAAGTGCCTCTGTAAGGCTTCTCACTGGGCACATGGGCATTTTTCCTACCTCAAAGCTGAAAGCCAAAGGAAAAGCATCAGTGGTGGAATTTCGGGCGCATATGGCAGGCGGTGGTAACACCTCCCGATCAGCATACTCTCCTCCAAGCCCCTGTGGTCACTTTCGCAGTGGGAGACACCAGGCTTGGCCCTCAGCACTGTCCTAGAGGGTCCCTGCATCACCACAGACCCATCTCATTCCCATTGGCCTTGTTCTGGGAACTGGCCTCTGAGGTCACTGAGTGACATTTCCTTACTTTGGCCATTTCAGATCGAGGTAGACATCTTCGAGCCTCAGGGAATCAGCATGCTGGATGCTGAGGCCTCTTTCATCACCAACGACCTCCTGGGAAGCGCCCTCACCAAGTCCTTCTCAGGGAAAAAGGTGATGTAGATGCCTCTCAGACCTGGTGGGGCAGGGGACAGGAATACTGACTCCAGCAGAACAAGCCTGCAGCCTAGGGCTTAGCTGCTGCAAGCATGCATGTGTTGGGGTGGGGCTGGGGATCAATCTGCAACTATCACCTTCCTCCTTGCCCACTGGGGTTGGGAGTGAGGATGCTGAGGGCAGGGGCTGCTGACAATGACCTGCCAGAGGAGCCATTTACAAAGCCTGGTCCCGTTCCCCCTTGGGAAATGGACAGGGCAGGGCTTATCTTCCCTGTTTTACAGGTCCCGAGGCTGAAGCCCAAGGGAGTCATTTAGATCTACTGACTCCACAATGAGAGGTGAAAGACTAAAGAGAACTTCATTCTTGGTGCTAGGTGGTTGACTCCAGTCCCCAAGGCTCCCAGCTGTTCCAGGGGCCTTAATGGCAGTGGACAGTGGGTGAATAAATGTTTGTATAAACAACAAACCAATCATCCAGGACTTCCAGGGCGAGGCCCGAGGAGCACACACTCAGAGGACTGCTGGCTTCTGCAGGGCCACATCCTGCCCCGGGACCCTCCTCCTCCCCTTTCTCCTCCTTTCTCCCTCCCCTCCTCTTGGCACCCACACACCAACATTCCAAACCTACAAGAAATTCCTTTTAATGGGAAGCTACCCCTTCCCTAAGTAGCTTCTCAGTGCTGAGCTCCAAGGTAGCCTGGGCTAATGGGTGTGTGAGGCCAAGAAAAAGGGAGCTGGAAGCTGAATCAGCCAAGGCCTGTGCCCAGCCAGGAGCCCTGATCTCCAAGGGGAAAAGCGGTGCTCAGAAAGGCCGGAGCGTGGTAAACAGTGCCTTCCAGTGAGTCCTGGGAGCTGCAGAGCACGCCACCGGCGGGCAGGGCTGCCCAGGCCTCCAGCTCTTGCTAGCCTCTGCCCTGCCAAGGGCTCCTCCCTGTGAGGCTGCACCTCTGCTCCCTCAGCTAAGGGCTGAGGTCTCCCAGTGGGCAGGCCCTGGCCGAGCTGAGCAAGGTCTTTCATCTCCATCCCTTAGGGCCATGTGTCCTTCAAGCCCAGCTTAGACCAACAGCGTTCATGCCCAACCTGTACAGACTCCCTCCTCAATGGAGATTTCACTATCACCTATGACGTGAACAGAGAATCTCCTGGCAACGTGCAGGTACCCGGGCTGGCTGATTCATCATCAGGGTGGGGCGAGGGCTGGTCGGGCGGGGGCTGCAGCTGGATCTAGTGCCATCACCCTGGGTCCTCAGCCCAAGGCTGTTTTCCTGCAGGATGTGGGACAGCTGATGGCCTAGAGCCTGGTGCAGCACCCCCTAGAGGGTGGGATAGGAACGTCTTTTTCTTGGGCTGGTAAATGTCTGGCTTCTACCTGCAAGAATAGTCAATGTGGTGTTGCTAAAAGGACACCGGCCTCCGTCCCTCTCCCCACTTTCCAGATAGTCAATGGCTACTTCGTGCACTTCTTTGCACCTCAAGGCCTTCCAGTGGTGCCTAAGAACGTGGCCTTTGTGATTGACATCAGCGGCTCCATGGCTGGTCGGAAATTAGAGCAGGTAATCAGCACCAGTGGCACAGCCAGGGCTCGGGGTAGTAGGGGGTGGAAGAGATTTTTTTTTTTAACTGGAAAAAGCTGATCTTTGTGGTGAATGAGGAGAAAGGGGACAGGATAAGAGAAGGCTCACGGCCTCTGCCCGCTTCTGTGGCAAGCCTCAGGCAGGGCTCGCTGGTGCAGATGGCGTGGGCTGCACCGCCTGCTGAGCTGAGAAGGGACCTCACTCTCTGCTGCGGCTTCTCCCAGCTCTTTGTCTCTCCTCCAGACAAAGGAGGCCCTTCTCAGAATCCTGGAAGATATGCAAGAGGAAGACTATCTGAATTTCATCCTGTTCAGTGGAGATGTGTCCACATGGAAAGAGCACTTAGTCCAGGCCACGCCCGAGAACCTCCAGGAGGCCAGGACGTTTGTGAAGAGCATGGAGGATAAAGGAAGTAAGAGCGGAGCTGGAGCCCACACACCTCCTAGCGGTGCCTCCCTCTGTCCCTGAGCAGCCTGCAACCCCCCTCTTAGGGACTCTGCTGGTCTCAGGCCCTCTTCAGATCTGAGCTGGGGTAGAGGTGGGAGTGGATGGTCCTCAGGCTTGAAGACAGAATATCGGCTGTCTTCTCCGTGGTCCAGGGAAACCCATTCTTTCTGTTTCTAATCCATGATCCTGGTATCTCACAAGTCCCAGCAAGATAAGGCCACAGAGAACCCTTCTTCTTGGCCCTGTTTCATATGGAAAATGGCACGATGTCTACACTGCTCCCCTCTCCTCCCAGCAAGAGGTACTGGGAGTCCATCCAACTCTGCCAAAGGGCTTTCACAATCACCATGTGCTTTTCGTCTTCACCATGTGCCTTTCATCCCCATTTGAAAGTGGAAGTTGTTTGTTTGTTTGTTCATGTGGTGGTTCATTCATTGTTTGCTGAGTACCACCATGGGCTGGCAGATAGGGTCCTTGGGCACATGAGTGGGGCCGGCTGTCCCGGCCTCCTCCGCTCCAGCCTGTCTGCACACTGGCACCCTGAGGACACCCTCCCACGGTGCTGTCTGTCTGTGTCCCAGTGACCAACATCAATGACGGGCTGCTGAGGGGCATCAGTATGCTGAACAAGGCCCGAGAGGAGCACAGAATCCCAGAGAGGAGCACCTCCATTGTCATCATGCTGACTGATGGGGATGCCAATGTTGGTGAGGAGCACGGGCATGGTTTTGAGCTAGGGCTGGAGTGCTTGGCTGCTGCTCCTGGCTCTGTAGCTGGCTCATTGGAAAACCTGGGGCAGCTCTTCCCTGGGTTCCCTGTGGTCTGGGAGCCCCTCAAGGGCAGGGTCCTGCCTCCCTCTGCCAGGGCTCTCCACCACCTGCCCCACAAGGGCTCATGGTCGTGACTCCAGCAACTCTGCATGTGCAGGAGTCCGGTCTCCCCAGACAGAGCTGGTCTAGACCATCCCCAGGGCTGGGGCTGGACTGTGAACACCCCCTTCTCCAACAGGTGAGAGCAGACCCGAAAAAATCCAAGAGAATGTGCGGAATGCCATCGGGGGCAAGTTCCCCTTGTATAACCTGGGCTTTGGCAACAATCTGAATTATAACTTCCTGGAGAACATGGCCCTGGAGAACCATGGGTTTGCCCGGCGCATTTATGAGGACTCTGATGCCGATTTGCAGTTGCAGGTATGCCTTGTCTTGCACACTTCCGGGCATAAGGAGCTCACTACTTCCTCAGACAGCTGCTCCATAAGGTGACAGTTCTAGTTATTAGGAAGAGCTTCGTCTTGGGTCAAAATCCACCTCTGACTATCTCTTACCCATCAGTAAAGATTCTGATTTTGTCCTTGGGCTACACAACAGGCCCGTTTCTTCAACAGGATTATCAGAGCAAACACAGGACATCTGGTTCAATATGAATTTCTGATAAATAATGAATTTTTGTAGTGTAAGTATGCCCCAAATATTGCACAGGACATTGTATTAGTGTATGGCGGCTGCCATACCAAAGTACCAAGTGGCTTCAATGAGAGAAACGTATTGTCTCCCAGTTCCAGAGCCCGGACATCCCAGATCCATGTGGCGGTGGGTTGGTTCCTTCTGAGGGCTATGAGGGCAGATCTTTCTAGGCCTCTTTCCTTTTCTCCATGGCTTATCAATGGCTGTCTTCTCCCTGTGTCTGCACATGTCTTCCCTCTGGATGTCTGTGTCCAACTCCCCTTTTAATAAGGACATCAATCATATTGGATTAGGGCCCATACTCATGACCTTATTTTGTAGACCCTATCACCAAATAAGGTTGAACTTTAGGAGTACGCTATTCAACCCATAACAGACATACCTACACTAAAAAATTATTCATTGTTTATTTGACCTTCAATGTAGCTGCACGTCCTGTCTTTGCATTTGCTGAATCTAGCAATTTTGTTCCTTCTCTAGGCAGGTAATGGCATCTCCACCTCTGCAGGGCGACCACCCCATTCCCTCCCTCCTCTGTCTCCAGATCTCTGCACTCCTGTCCACATCACTTTATCATCTGCCTCTCTTACTTCCTTTTCTCCTTCTTGCTTTCATTCCAACAGACATTCCTTAAATACTTTCTTTGTGCTAAGAACTCTGTCCTTTCATATTTCTTTTTTTTTTTAATAGGAAATACTTCTGAAACTGTCCTTTCTAGTCTTCCTCGTGTCTATCTGGGAGCAGGGAGTTGCCGGGGGGAGGCCCCCACAGACTGAAGGACGCAGTCAGGGACAGGCAGAGTGAACATTAGGAGCCATTAGGACGGGCCCAGCCCTGGGGCATGGATGCCCAGCTGCAGCATCAGTGGGAGCCTGACCTGGGGCTTGAGATGACTGGCCCCGTGCGAACTTCAGGGCTTCTATGAGGAGGTGGCCAACCCACTGCTGACGGGTGTGGAGATGGAGTACCCCGAGAACGCTATCCTGGACCTCACCCAGAACACTTACCAGCACTTCTACGATGGCTCTGAGATCGTGGTGGCCGGGCGCCTGGTGGACGAGGACATGAACAGCTTTAAGGCAGATGTGAAGGGCCATGGGGTGAGTGGGGACAGGGCCTGGAAGTGTGCTGGGGATGGGGTATCAGCAGTGGTAGGGCTCTGGCCTCATGAGGGTCCAGGAGTGGTGGCCCCTGAACCTGATCCACCCAAGCCTCCAGCCCCTTGCCTCCTTCTACCCCCACCCTAGGCCACCAACGACCTGACCTTCACAGAGGAGGTGGACATGAAGGAGATGGAGAAGGCCCTGCAGGAGCGGGACTACATCTTCGGGAATTACATTGAGCGGCTCTGGGCCTACCTCACCATTGAGCAGCTGCTGGAGAAGCGGTGAGCAGAGTCCCAGCCCCCACCTGTGCCTACCCCTGGCTGGGCTCCAATGCAAGGGCACCCCCATACGCAGTCCCAGCGGTCCTGCCCTCTTCTTGGGCCAGCCCAGGAAGTGTCTGTAGAGCAGTCTGTAAGGAACCCCAGGCCGCCACTCCCCATCCTGTCAGCCCCAAGGCTCAAGCTGGCAAGTCCCCTGGCCAGCAGCCTGGGAGTGCCCCGGGGTAGGGGGGACTTCAGCACCCTGCTGCCCACACTGGGCATGGCCCAGGGGTGGTGAGGCTGAGTGGAACTGAAGGCCGGGATCCCAGCCCTCAGTGCCCAGAGGGCAGAGCTGAGCCCACTGAGAGGGTCAGTGTTGGTGTGGGTGGGATTAGACTGTGAAGCCGTTAGTACACAATCTAGCACATGCTGAGTGCTCTGCACATGGACACCATTGCGAGTGGCTGTTGTAGCCCCTTATTTTATTTATTTATTTATTTATTTATTTATTTATTTATTTATTTTATTTTATTATTATTATTTTTTTTTTTGAGACGGAGTCTCGCTCTGTCGCCCAGGCTGGAGTGCAGTGGCGGGATCTCGGCTCACTGCAAGCTCCGCCTCCCGGGTTCACGCCATTCTCCTGCCTCAGCCTCCCAAGTAGCTGGAATTACAGGCATGCACCACCATGCCTGGCTAATTTTTGTATTTTTAGTAGAGATGGGGTTTCACCATGTTGGCCAGGCTGATCTCGAACTCCTGACCTCAGGTGATTCACCCGCCTTGGCCTCCCAAAGTGCTGGGATTACAGGCGTGAGCCACCATGCCCGGCCGGTCCTTACGTTTTATAGGTGGGGAAACCAAGGTCCAGCAAGGAAACAGGGCTTGTTCACATGCCCCAGGGAGTTGTGAGCCAGTCTTCTCTGAGCCCAACTGGGCTGTACCCTGGGGGACCCCACAATGGGGAAGGTGGAGTGGGGATCCCCAGCTGTGTCCACTGCTCCAGTGCAGGGGAAGTGGGCAGGGTGCTGCTCTCCAGGCTGTCCTCCTGACTGGCCCCTCCTCACAGCAAGAACGCCCATGGCGAGGAGAAGGAGAACCTCACGGCCCGGGCCCTGGACCTGTCCCTCAAGTATCACTTTGTGACTCCACTGACCTCAATGGTGGTGACCAAGCCTGAGGACAACGAGGATGAGAGGGCCATTGCCGACAAGCCTGGGGAAGGTGGGGATAGGGATGGAGGCCGGAACCCGGAGGCCTCCTGTGCTGGGCACCCTACCTGGGTGTCCAGTGGAGGAGTGGGCCAGGCTGGGGAGACCCAGACCTGCTGAAGTAGGGCATCTGAAGGAAAACTGGCCACGGGATGGGGAAAGTGGGGTGGAGCGTGAAGCAGTCAGCATGGACAGTGGGGTGTGGGGTGAATAGGAGCCTCTGCACCTCTAAAGGGAAGTGAGTAAAGGGGGCACACTGCCCATGGGGCATTTCAAGGAAAAGGACTGAGGCTGCAGCATGGAAGGGCTTAGTTAGACAAGAAGAAGCACTTCCAACATGAAAGGCCTGGAGCAGGCTATCAGGCACCTGGAGATTGTTAGGGGAAGAGTCCCTGAGAGCTGGAGGCTGGGACCCCCTCAACCAGACCCCAGATTGCCCTACTCAACAGGGGGTCCCAAATGCCCACTGCAACTAGGTACAGGGTCTGTGTGTGGTGGTGGAGGATTGGCATTGGGAGACATGGGAGGCAAAGAGCTGGGCCTGGCCAGGCCAGGCCTCTGGCTTCCAAGAACTCCTAGTTCCAGGGGACACCCAGTGGGGGAAGAGCTGGCTGCTGGGAGGCCCACAGCCTAGGGCTGGTCGGCCAAGCAGCCAGCTCTGGTCCCTGCTCACAAGTGCCCTATGGCTTCTAATGCATTTCTCTTCTTCCTCCCTTGCTGCACCTGCAGATGCAGAAGGTAAGCCTTTAGCCAGCCACCGGGTTGGGCATTATGGAAGGGAGACAAGAGAGAACTGAGGAGGCCTTTCCAAGCAAGATAGGACCCCCAGCCATGGGGGCACACTTGGGACACCTGGGCTCAGGCCCAGCCCTATTGCCAAATCATGAACGTGCCCCTCTCTGAGCCTGAGGATCCCTGTGAGTTAATTGGGGGTGGCTTCCCTTGCCCAGGGAGACACAATCAGTATGACAGTATCTATGACCTGCAAAAATGAGCAATTTAGCATGTCAGTCATTTATACTTCATTAGTCCCATAGCAACCCTCCAAGAGGGCCCTTTTATGATCCCCATTTTACAATGGGGAAATTGAGGCACGGGGGGTTAATTTGCTCAGTCTGTTTGCTCACAGACTCAGCAGATGGCCAAGCTGGTACTTAGGCCAAGGCAGTCTGGCCCCAATGCCCATGCTGGGAATTGCTGGGGATCACAGTCCTCTGTGCCTCTCTCACCACAAAACTGGAACCTCACAAACTCCCTGCCACTAGGCAGGGCCTCCCCAGCCCCTACTGGCCTGCCCCACCTCCATTTGGACTGGCACATTTGGACTGGGCCATCACATTCCCCTCAGAACAGCCCTGATAAATGTACCGGTGCATGTGAGTACATATATGCATGTGCACGCATATGTGTGCGCCTGTGTGCACGTGTGGGTGGGTGTTTACTATCAAGAAGCAACAGACAGCCGTGAGCCTCACTCACCCCAACTAGGGGGTGGGAAGCCCAGGGGTGGGGCAGATGTTTGCTGTGAGCATTACTCAAGAGAGAGAAGATGACTTAATGGCTTGCATTTCAGCCACATCAAAAAGCCCTGCGCCAACGTTAAAATCACATCCCATTGCCACCAGCCCCATAAAGGGCTTCCCTGGACGTGCCCGATTTCCAAAGCCTAATCTTTGTAGTCACATCTCCACCTCTATCTGCCAGTGTTGGGGCCCCTCTGGGGCCCAGCAGCGCTAAGACAGGAGGAAGGCACGGGGCTGGGGGAGAAGGAACCCCTAGACCCTGCTCACCACTGCCCTTCGGCTTTTCAGCCACACCGGTGAGCCCCGCCATGTCCTACCTGAGTGAGTACATGCTGGCAGCTGCCACTCCTCCCACTGCTTAGAGCCTGCCCCTGCCACATGTCCCTCCACCGTGGCTACTCACTCAGCTCTCCGGGATGGGCAGATGGACAATGTGCCCTGAGGAGATTGCGGGGTGGGAGGGCAATGGCATTAGCGAGCGGGAAGGGGAGGGGAGGGGCATAAGCTGAACTCCTATGGGGGTCGTCGGGCGCCTCCCAGGGCCACTTGCTTAGCTCAGCCCTCTCTCCCTTTGTATCTGCAGCCAGCTACCAGCCTCCTCAAAACCCCTACTACTATGGTGAGTCCCTGGCTGCTCCTCGGGAAGGCTCAGGGGCCTGGGCACGTGCTCCTGCCTGTCTCGGAGTCGAGCCCATGGAGGCCAGAAGGCTGGGGGAGGCCCCAGGTATGATGAGAGGCCCCGGGAGTCAGCTCCTTCTCTAATGTGTCACCAGTGGACGGGGATCCCCACTTCATCATCCAAATTCCGGAGAAAGACGATGCCCTCTGCTTCAACATCGATGAAGCCCCAGGCACAGTGCTGCGCCTTATTCAGGATGCAGTCACAGGTGAGGCTTGTGGGCTAGGGCCGGGGCCAGGGGGCTCTTCCTGGGAGGGCTTGGGTCCCCCGAGGTAGGCACAGGGAACAGGTTCTCACTCTGCCCAGTAAGGCATCATCTTCACATGCAAAGAAACCCCTGGGGGTGGGGAGTGCCCAGGGCCACAGGCTTGCTCAGCCCCACATGCCAGTGCTATTGGGAGATGATTAGCGTGAATGGACCACCTGGGCCTAGGGTAGGACCCAGCCTGTGTCTGGGGAATAGCTTTTCTCTGAACAACACTCCCTGGCCCAGGCAAGTGGCAGACCCATAAGGTCCCAGCATGACCCAAACCTAGAGTGTCTAGGAACCAACAGGCTTGGGCTCTGAAGTCCTGGTCTCTCTTGTGGCCCCCGCTCTGCTGCCCCTCAGCCAGTCTGGTTGAAGAGGAAGGCACACCCCTAAAGGCAATCTGGACTCAGAAGTTCTCGCTGGTCTCTCTCCCTGCCCCATCCCTCTGGCAGGCCTCACAGTTAATGGGCAGATCACTGGCGACAAGAGAGGCAGCCCTGACTCCAAGACCAGAAAGACTTACTTTGGAAAACTGGGCATCGCCAATGCTCAGATGGACTTCCAGGTGGAGGTGACAACGGAGAAGATCACCCTGTGGAACAGGGCCGTGCCGAGCACTTTCAGCTGGCTGGACACAGTCACAGTCACGCAGGATGGGTAAGCTCCCCTACAAGGTCTCCAAGGTGGACTACAGGGTGAGAGTCTAAGGAGGCTCTTGAGGGATTTAGAAAAATCCCAGGACAGGAGATCCATGGGGGTCACAGGAAAGATCAGAGACCCCAGAATCCAGTCTCCTGTCACAGGGGAGGGTGACCATAGTGGCCCCCAACCAAACCCTGGGGCCCTATCAGAGCCAGAATTGGTAGCTGCACAGTTCAGCTGGTTGGGTGAAGGCATTAGGTGATAATGGCCCCCATTTGCCTCTTCTGTGGCTGCTCTTGTCTTCTTAGCTCTCCTGTCTTCAGATCCCCCAGAGCCTCCCACTGAGGCTCAGAGAAGGTGTGGAGCCTGCCCAATGTCACTCAGGAAGTCAGTGGCTTAGCTGAGGCTGGACCACAGGCCTCCAGATTCATAGGCCAGCCCTCTCTTTCCCACTTATAGACACTCAAGGATCCACTCACGGGAGGGGAGACAGTGTGCATGAGGCATCCTCTTTCCAACGCCCCTGAGATAGTTTCTGGAGTCTGTGGGCCCTCGGGTGCCATGTACAGGGGAGGCCCCACCAAAACGCCCTTGAGTCAGATGCCCAGTGTCACGGCCACTGGGCCCCACAGCCACTTTCTGGCTTCCTCTCGTAGGCTGTCCATGATGATCAACAGGAAGAACATGGTGGTCTCCTTTGGAGATGGGGTTACCTTCGTGGTCGTCCTACACCAGGTGTGGAAGAAACATCCTGTCCACCGTGACTTTCTAGGCTTCTACGTGGTGGACAGTCACCGGATGTCAGCACAGACGCATGGGCTGCTGGGTACGAAGTGTTCAGACTGCAGGCTGTTCAGGCCTGAGAGCAGCATGGGAAAGACATACACAAGGCCTTCCTAGGCACCCTGTACCCAGCTCACAACACCCCATTCAGCCTTTGCATCAACCCTGAAAGGCCAGTGGCCACGTTACCCGTGGCAATGGCCAGGGGCTGACAGCATGAATATTTTTCTTCCCAGGGCAATTCTTCCAACCCTTTGACTTTAAAGTGTCTGACATCCGGCCAGGCTCTGACCCCACAAAGCCAGATGCCACATTGGTGGTGAAGAACCATCAGCTGATTGTCACCAGGTGAGGAGACTTCTCCCACACCCTCACCTGCTCAGCAACGAGAGGAGGAAAGAGCACCTGCAGCCCAGGCACATTAGTCTGGTGGGCTTTTGTCTTCTGTGGGGTACCCTTGTTTCCCTTTGAGGTCTTGGCCCCTCCCAGGCTCTTGCTAATCAAGAAAAAGCCCAAACTTGGCTTCCTCGAAAGAGTAATCATGTAACTTCATTCTTGACCAAAGAATTCTGGGCTGTTAGAATTGCCAACTTCCCACCCTTTTTCAATCTCAGGTCCGCTAGCCTAGCAGCCATCTTACCCACCCCGTGTATTGCAGCATCTCTCTTCTTTCCCCAGGGGCTCCCAGAAAGACTACAGAAAGGATGCCAGCATCGGCACGAAGGTTGTCTGCTGGTTCGTCCACAACAACGGAGAAGGGCTGATTGATGGTGTCCACACTGACTACATTGTCCCCAACCTGTTTTGAGTAGACACACCAGCTCCTGTTGGGATGGATGGCCCGGATTTTATGGCATCTGGAACATGGGCACAGAGAGGGGCCTGTGGGAGGGGCTGGGAAAATAAAGTCCAAGGTCGAGACCAGACAGCTGCCAGCCTCTACATGCCTTCATGAGCCTCTGCTCCAGGGAACAGGCAACTGGGACCCACAGCAGCTCAAAAGAGGGGATGGCTAGCAGGAAGGCAACTTCTTGGGCCTCTCCACTGACACAGCTGAGAGACAGAGTTGGTTGGACTAGAACTTTAGGGATTCAAATGTATGACAGCTTGGGGGAAAAAATAAAGAACTGACTCTGAAGGAAAGGGGCTCTGAGAAGTCAGGAAGGGTTGAATGTATTTCAGTATCCAGGAAAGTCATAAGATAAGTAAATGGTCCCGGCTCAGGAGCTCCAATCAGGACCTTTAGAAGTAGATAATACTCCAGTGCAGATACAGCCCACATCTAAATGGGGATGTCAGCCACCCTTCCATCTATCCATCCATCTATCCACCATCCATTCACCCATCCCTCCACCCATCCATCCATTCACTCACCCACCCACCCATTCACCATTCAACCATCTGTTCACCCACGTATCCACTCATCCATCTATCCCTCCACCATGCATGCATCCACCCATCAACCTATCTATCCATCCCTCCATCTGTCTATTCATCCATTCATCCCCCCAGCTACCTATTCATCATTCAACTATGCATCCATCCACCCATCCATCCTTTCTGTCCATCTCTCCATTTGTCCATCCTTCCATCCATCCATCCAACCATCAATTCACCCACCCATCCACCCACGTACCCATCCATCAATTCAGCAGATAAACCCAATACCTTGGGCCAGGATCTGGGGGTACAGTTGAGTAATCCAGTTCCTATTTTCATGAGTGCTCAAGTTTGTCTTCAGCTGGGCCAGGCATCTCTGGGATCCTCTGATTGTACCTTATGATGACCACTTGGTGTATCCTCCCAATGAGTCTGTGGTGGGGTAGAGGGTCAGAGAGAGGTTCCTGGACGAGGGGCTCTAAGACCTCTCCAGTGTGGATAACCCTCTCCCACCTGGACAACTGCAATTGCCACTTCCTGAGTCTCCCTGCCCCCTCTATTGCTTCCCATAGAGAGCTTTTTATAGAGCAGATGTGATCACCACTCGCTGACTAAATCCCTACAAATGACATCTTCCATCCTTTGCTCTTGGAACCATGACAGAAGTCCCTCCTATGGCCTCTTCAGCTTCCCCTCATACACCAGGTGCTTCCCTTACTTTCTGGGTTCCAGACACACAGGCTGCTCTCAACTGTGCAAACATAAGCTCTCCTGCCCACATCCTCTGCCTCTGCTGTTCTGCCTGGGGGTGGGGAGGGGGTAAGGGCATGCTGGGCAGACAGTACCCCATCAGAAGACGCGGTGAGTGGCTTTGCCTGATGTCAGAGTAGGGGGCACAATAGGACTGGAGGAGGTTGGAATCAGACTGGGGAGTGCCACAAATGTCAGTGGGGCATGGCATGTGGCCTTGGGGACATGAAAGGAAGTTGTCCTGCCTCCCAGTGCAGGGGTCCCTGGAGAGAGGACTAGAGGCCACGAAGGGCAGTCCAGGGGCAAATGTTTGTCGTCAGAAGAGCCCCCCAGGTGGCTACAGGATGCTAACGGCAGACTGGTGCCTGTTGTTGCTCTAGGGAAGGGGCCACATAGACATGGCTCCCATCTTGAAGGCCTCCTCATAGCCCCAGGGTGAATGTGGCAGAAGGCCAGGCTGGACTGGCTAAAAGGGCCCAGGCCTGAGAAAGGAACCCTCCATGGTGGGCAAGTCCCACCATTCTGTTGAAGCCTGGGTTGGTTGAGGAGCCATATGGCTATTATTATTATTATTATTTTTCTTGAGATGGGGTCTCGCTCCCATCACCCAGGCTGCAGTGGTGCAGTGGTATGATCACCGCTCACTGCAGCCTCGAATTCTCAGGCTCAGGTGATCCTCCCACTTCAGCCTCCAGAATAGCGGGGACTACAGGCATGGGCAATCACACCCGGCTAATTTTTTATTTTTTGCAGAGACAGGGTTTTGCCATGTTGTTCAGGCTGGTCTCGAACTCCTGGGCTCAAGCGATCTGCCCACCTCAGCCTCCCAAAGTGCTGGGATTATAGGTGTGAGCCACTGCCCCCAGCCCACATAGCTTTAAAACAGTCATCTTGAGGTCAGTTTCCACATCTATGCAGTGGGGAGAAGGATCCTGCCATGCGAAGGATGTGAAAAGGCGTCCTCGTTATGGTTTCTGGTCGTCCTCAGGTGTCTCCAGAAGGACAGCTCCAGGTAGTAGCCATGTGAACAGGTTGGGAGGCAGGAGTCGGCTGCCCTCAACCCATAGGCCGGGAGGCCATCTATGTGGGCAAAAGCTAGGTGGACTCTGCCTTCTCCCCATTCCACGTCACCCTGGTCCCTCCTGTCCCTGCCTGGCCCTCCCTCCCCTTTCACGGTAGAAGCCACGCTCTGTGGTGAGGTGTGCACCACCTGTGCTGGCCCGGTCCCCCTCCCCTTCCACCTCATCCAACAGCATCTCCTTCCATCATCTTCCCCAAACTTAGCACACAGTGTCCTGGCTCTAGGCCTGGGCGCATGCTGTTCCCACCACCTGCTGTTCTTGCTCTCCTTTTCCACTGGGCTAACTTCTCTCCATTTTTCAAATCTCAGCTCCCACATTACCTGCAGAAAGCTTTCCCTGCCACCCCCAGGCTTCCTGGTCATCCCCATGTCTCCCTCTGGGCTCCTGCAGCACCTGGCTATTTTCTGGGTGGCAGTTATCACCACAGGCATTGTGTCTGCCATGGTGCCCAATGTGCCCACAGTACTCAGCCCAGGGCCTGGCATAAGCTGGAAAGCACTTGCTGGATGAAAGAGTGAAGAACATGGGCCTATTTCCAACTGTCACAGAAAACACCTGCCCCGCAGGTGCTGGCAGGGCCAGAAAATCAACTGTGACTCCTCTGCTGTTGCACAAATTCAGCAGCCAGTCCAGGGGGTCATGTCCCAGAAGGGTAAGCTCGGGGTGGCACTCCTCTCTCATCCCTGTATGTCAGGGCCACCCCCACAGCAAGTCCCTCTGAGCTACTCTCATGTCACACAGCCCTGGCCCGAGCCCCCTGGAATAGCCTTTACAAAGCGACTCTGCCTGAGATCCCTATCTGCCAAGGAGGCTCGATGGGGAGGCAGCAATGCAGGGAGGAGCGTTTCCGTGTGTTGGGCAAACCTGCTGCTGGTGACCCCTCCCACCAGCCAGTACTTTGACCCTTTTAGAAAGACCCATCCAGCAAATATCCTCTTCTAGCTCAAGACCGGGGAAAGGATGTCTCCCTGATGATCTGGTGTTTTTTAGCAAGCAAATGAGCTCAGTTTCTTCTTTACATTGGCTTCCAGGAAGCTCATAGCAAAGCCTTGTGCTCCATCACTGCTGCAGCTTTCCCTACCCTGATGTCCCTGAGTTCACTATCCTTCTGCTTGGCTCTTTTATCCTTATACTCAGATTTTGGTTTCTTCCTCTTTAAGTTTTGTATTGGTAAGCCATAGACTCATATCCTTTTTTCAGAAGTAGGTGGGGTAATAGTAATTTTTGTTTCTTCTCTGAGACAGGGTCTTGCTCTGTTGCCCAGGCTGGAATGCAGTGGCATGATCATGGCTCTCTGCAGCCATGACCTCCCAGGCTCAAGCGATCCTCCAACCTCAGTCTCCCAAGTAGCTGTGACTACAGGCATGCACCACCATGCCAGCTAATTTTTGTAATTTTCGTAGAGATGGGGTTTCGTCACGTTGCCCAGGCTGGCCTCAAATTCTGGGACTCAATCAATCCTCCGGCCTTGGCCTCTCAAAGTGCTGGGATTACAGGTGTGAGCCACTGCACCCAGCCGTAAATTTTTTAAAGTATATGTTGCCCGTACAGGAATTGGTGGAATCTTTGGGGTGCCTAACCCTGGGGCAAGAACAGGAAAGGAGACCCTCAAGCACAGGATTCAGAGTTGGGACCCAGATCAGCCCCATTAGACTAGAGGTTCCTGGAAACAGGCCCTATTTCCCTGCTGCACCTGGGGCCTCGCCTCTGTGTCTCCTTCAAAGATCCAGTGCTTCCTTACAAGCCAATGAGCAGACAGGCCTGCTCCTCAGCACAGGTGTGAAAATCAAATTGTGTAAAGCAAATCCCATTGCAGAGAAGTCCAAAAGCTCACTGAGAAAGTTTAGGAGTTGGACTAGAAAGAATTCCAACCCAGTTCACTCTATTTTTTTTTTTTTTTTTTTTGTAGTCAAAACTGGTCCAAGAGACCATGAAGCAGACTGAACCTCTGCTCCTGGAGAATGCTCCCAGCCCTGGGCCTCTAGCTGGGGGCCACAGTGACATCTCAAATGGGTGGTTCGAGCTCAGTTTCCTTGTTTGTAAAATGAAGGGGCTGGACTGAAAGCTCAGCATGGGCCTTCCTGGCCATGGGCTCTTGAGAGCTGACAGTGGAAGCTTCTGTGTTCCACGATGCTAAGGTTCAGGATGCGAGGTTGAGGCCCTAGGATTTGGCCACATGGAACTGGAGACACCCACTTCCCAGGCTCACACCACCTTTCTTTATTTGTAATGAGTGGGACTCTTCCTCCCCATGGTGGTCCAGGCCCCAGAAGCGGCCCTGCAGTTGCAGGGGGAAGCCAAGTGTACAGGGTGGGCACAGCTCCTTCCATCAGAACTACAGCTCCACAGACCAGCAGGAAATCTCCACTCCCGGGGGCCCCTCCTGGTAATCCAGCCTGCGCTCTCTGAAATGGAAAGACAGACAGATAGGCAGGTGGTCAGCAAATCTCAGGTGTGGTGCGAAAAGAGGGAGACAGCTGGGGACAGGAACATGGAGGGCAGGGAGTCCTGGCGTCCCTTTAGAATTCCCTCCAGCATAGGCCAACAAGGCCCAGTCACCCAGAGCATTACCCTAGAGAAGCCAGTACGTGAGGTCTCCAGGGTTTAGGCTCTGGGAGTTCAGGGTGTGGACAGGGAGAGGTTCCGACTGTCCCCAACCAACCCCAGGGATCTCAGGGCCCATGTGTTTTCTGTGGGTCTGAGATGGCCATCCATCTTTTGTGGGGTCACTGAAAGCTGGCTTAGACACTTCTACAGCATCAACCTTCCACCGGACTGTGTCTAGTTCCTGGGCAAGGACAGGAGTGGGGCCCTGGAGAGCCTGGCTCCTGGCCTGCCAGTCCCCACCCCACCCCAGCTGGGCTCAGCGGTCTGCTTGTGCCAAGTCACCTGGTGGCAGAGTGGTCATTGCCCTGAACCCTCAGCGTGCGTCTGCCGTCATCTGATGCTGCTGGAGATCCCCAGAGCACCTCCTGGTAAAACTGGCCTGAGATACAAAGGGTGGATCAGTAAGGGTCAGAGACAGAGGAAGCCTGGGAGACACACGCAGGGGAGGGGCGCTGCCTGTTCCCAAGCACAGCTGGTTTCTGAGGAAGGCCTGGGCCCCGGTAATGGGCTCAGTACCAAGGGTCCCTCCAACGTGGCTGGAGAAGCGGTCAGTGTCACGCAGAAGGAGCCGGAGCCCCTCCCCACGGCCATCCCAGAACAACAGGCCGATGGTCACTTTGTCTGGGTCACTGAGCAGCAGGAGACCCGTCTTGTCCATGGTCATCTTCAGGCTGTGGAAAGACCCAGTGTCTTGAGCAGGAAGGTAGAGACGTGTGCACAGAACCTCAGTAGTCAGGGTGGGGAGTGGGCTGGGCTTCCCCTCTTGTCCAGGAAGTCACGGAGTGGCCTTGGGTGGGAAGGCCCTTAAATCTTCTGATTTCAGTTTCCTCATTGGTAAAATAGGACCAAAGTTAACTTAATGATGTCTAGTTTCCCCATCACTTTTTTTTCTTTCTCTTTTTTGGTGGGGCAGGGACAGGGTCTCACTCTGTCCCCCAGGCTGCAGTGCAGTGGTGTGATCTCAGCTCGTTGCAACCTGTGCCTCCTCGGCTCAAGTGATTCTCCCACCTCTACCTCCCAAGTAGCTGGTACTGCAGGTACATGCCACCATGTCCAGCTAATTTTATTTTTAAGAGAGACAGGGTTTCACCATGTTGCCCAGGCTGGTCTCAAACTCCTGAGCTGAAGCAATCTGCCTGCCTCAGCCTCCCAAGGTGCTGGGATTACAGGCGTGAGCCACCGCACCCGGCCTCTGGTTTTCTTAAATTCAGTTTGTCATAAATTAATTTTATATGATTGAAGGAGTTTCTCTGATGCATCCACTCTGTCCCTTTTGTTCTACAGCTGGTGCACTCTCTTTGGATGACTTGTGTTTAATCATGTGTTTAATGTCTAAAGGATAGGCCTCTTCTCATTCTGTCTCCTCAGATTTTTAGTTAAAATAACCCTTGAAATTCTTGCCTTTCTGGTGTTCTCATGAATGTTAGGTTCCTTTGAGCATGTTGAATAAGACCCTGCTGTTACTCAGAGGTTATTTGAAACAAATTTTCCCTAAACATACACTGTTCTATTGCTTCAATTCAATCTAAAATATGTGGGTTTTTTTCTTTTTTCTTTTTTTTTTTTTTTGAGACGGAGTCTCGCTCTGTCGCCCAGGCTGAAGTGCAGTGGTGCAATCTCAGCTCACTGCAACCTCCACCTCCTGGGTTCAAGCGGTTCTCCTACCTCAGCCTCCCGAGTAGCTGGGATTACAGGCGTGCCACCACACCCAGCTAATTTTTGTATTTTTAGTAGAGACGGGGTTTCACCATGTTGGCCAGGCTGGTCTCCAATTCCTGACCTTAGGTGATCCACCTGCGCTGGCCTCCCAAAGTGCTGGGATTACAGGCATGAGCCACCGTGCCCAACCTATTTTTCTTTATGTCTTCTGTAGCTCATGAAACTATTTGGACTTTCTCTCCCTACAATTAATAGGATTTTACTTCTATTTCATTTTCTAGGCATAAAAATGCTATTGATTTTGGTGAATCTACCAGATAGCAAGGAATTTTAGATCTTTTTTTTTTTTCCTTTTTTCGGAGATAGGGTCTCACTCTGTTGCCCAGGCTGGAGCGCAGTGGTGTTAACTCAGCTCACTGCAACCTCCATCTCCCAGCTTCAAGCAATTCTCAGCCTCCTGAGTAGCTGGGATTACAGGTGCCCGCCACCATACCTAGCTAGTTTTTGTATTTTTAGTAGAGACGGGGTTTCACTATGTTGGCCAGGCTAGTCTCAAACTCCTGAGCTCAGGCAATCCACCCACCTTGGCCTACCAAAGTGCTGGGATTACAGGCGTGAGCCACCACACCGGGCGTAGATCTTTTATGAAATTGGGAAGGTTTTTGGGTGAGCCCTTGGATAAGCTGGGTGTGCACTCATCTGTCAAGTGCAAGGGAGTTCCCGCAGAGGGCTTGGTGAGACAGGGCTGGACAAGGCTCTCCATACTTGGAAAAGGGTGAGCTGTGGCACAGGGTGGGGGCTTGGAGGTCACTGCCCACAGAGGACGAGGGCCTCAGCCCTTCCTGGACGCCCCTCGTGATCTGCAAAGCTGGAAGACTGTCCCTGGAAGGCCACTGTGAAGCAGTGAGCTCCCTCACCCAAAAGAGGTGGCCTTCTGCCTCCATTATTCACCAGCTGCTCAGTATTTGAGGCCACTGACTTGTGTCTCCTTAGCAAAGCTCCAAGGATACGCTAAAGAGAATGCTGGTAACATGCTGTCAACAGTGCTCTCCAGCTTCTCACTATTGTCATCAGAACATCACGTCACTATGTAGGCAGCGCTGTCCTGTGGGGTGCTTGGGGGGCACTGTATCATCTGACGGCAAAGTGCTCCCAACTACACTCTCTCATTGGGTTCTCCCCCCAGCCTTCTGACTCTGGGCCAGGATGATTAGTACTGGTTATTGGTGAAGAAACTGAGGCTCAGAGGGACTTAGCTGCCTGCCCAGGGTCACAAGGATTAGCAGCAGAGCTAGCTCCAAACCACACTGTCTCCTGCATGGGATAGTGACCTGGGTTAGGTCCCTGGGACAACTCCTCAGTGCCCTCCGGAGCTGCAGGGGTATATGGCAGGGCTCTTGTCTCTTTGCCCCTCCTGTGAGTGTAGCTGCTCCATTCTCAGGTCCATGGCCTCAGGCCACCTGCTGGTACCATCATCAGCCACTGTAGCCTGAAAGGTCAACCCCTGCCCCGGGCTCCAGCCTGGGCCTTACCCGGGCATCACTGAGAATAGCGTCTCCTTCCACTTGTACGCAGAGCTTCTTCGGTTCCGAGTCACCACCACGTGTTCAGGGGATGCGTGAACCCATACCAGGGGGTTCTTGAAGGTCACTTCGATCCATGAGAACCCAGCCTTCTCCCTCTCATACTGGCCAGTCACCTCAACCCCTGGGAGGACCAGACCAGAGAGGTCATAGCTGGGCCCCAGCCAGGTCTGACACCGACCTGCATGGGGAGTCCCCCCTGATCACACCCCCTGGAGTTCTGCAGCAGCTCCCTCCCTCATCAGGAGGGGTGCCCCTTTCTCAGCACTCCTTCACACTGGGGGCTGGCTCCCACAATCTCTCCACTTGTCCCTTGGTGTCTAAGGCTTTGGAGGGGCCCCTAAATCCTCGGCGACGGCCACCCTCAGTTGAGGCCTTTGAGAATTAACTTGTCTCCAGTCAATAAGCCTTCAGAACGCCCCATGGAGCGCCTGGCCCTGAGCTAGATGCCGCGGCCAAGGGTAAGATGGAGAATTGGTGCTCCCTGCCCTCAGGAAAGACATTCCTAGCCTGAGTGAGGAAGTGGGTGACACATGCATCTGAGGAATGAGAAAGCCATGGATGTCCCTTGGCTTTGAGCGGGGCTGGGCGGTGCGGGGGTGAGCACTGCTGAGTGGAGTGTGTCCCCATGTCTGGTCCAGGATTGAAGGGGCAGGGCCCAGCCAGCACCCCTGTCTCTTCCTGCCATTCCCCTCATCCACACCTTCTAGGTCTCATCTTTTGGGGCTCTGTACTCTGCAGGCACTAACTCCTCCATCATCTGGAACATCCTCATGCTGGTCTCTGTGCACCCGCCATGGCCCTGCCATCCCTGTGTGACCCCAGGCAGCTCCCCTGACCCTTGCCCCACCCTGGCTCCTCCTCTAGGCTCACCTCCACATGGCTGCCATGCTTATCTGTGCCTTGGCCACCCACACCTGCACACAAGGTGCCCAGTGGAAGGTCCCCGGGGTGTCTGTGTGAGTGTGTGCCCATGCCAGCACTGGGAGGCAGGACCATGCTATGATCTGGGAGGGGCCTGTGTGGGGCCAGCCTGCACGCGCTGTGTGTGTCTCTGTAGGCAGGTGGTGGGTGTGTGCCAGTGGTGTCTGGGTCTCTCTGGGTGTGCCTCTCTCACCTTGCTCAGGGTCTGAGAGCAGGTTCACTGGCCCCTGGCGGTGTCTGGGGTCCACACAGAGCCGCTCCACACTCTGCCCAGGCAGTGGCAGGATGGCAGAGGGAGCCTGTATGGGGGCTGGGACAGCCGGGGCACGGCTCCTGGAGCAGGAAGGGCAGGCTGGGGGCAAGGATGTGGAAAGGGGCCAAGGGGGCTGGGAACTTACCTGGGGTTTGGGTTGTCATGGTTGTTTCTAAAAGAAGAAAAAGTCTGGGTTTAGGCAGCCCCTTCCTGAGGAGTGGGAGGTTGAGGGAGGGAGCAGTGACTAGGTGTGGCTGGGTTCCCTCACTACTTCAACATCGAGACATGTGACAGGTCACTCCCCTCCCAGGATCCCCCTGTTAGGACAGGGCCTCTGGCCTTGGGGGCACCTTCGATTTTCATATTCATGACACGAGACACAGCTGGATCAGGATTTGAGGTGGCTGGTGGTGCTGAAGCAGGCACTAGGGCAGGAACATCCGGAAACAGAAAGGGAGCAGGAAGGCAGTCAGGAGGCGGGCAACCAGCAGCGCTGCCACCAAGCTCCAGCCCCCCATCCTGCCACACATACACTCCACCTAGAATGGCCTTTGTCACAGGAGATTTTCAAACAGAAGAGCATGCTGTCAGGGATAGGTCCAGCCTGGCTGTGCAGCTGCATTCGAGTGCAGATTTGGGGATCAGAAAACAGTTCAAGGGACCTCTGTTGGCTTTCTGAACGGAGGAAGCCCTCCCTTCCTAGAAGGTTTCCTCATGAGTCAGCCTCTAGAGTATAGTGGATCCTACTCAGTGAAAGTAAAGGACAGGTGAAGTCCTGCCTTGGGGAGGGGAGGCCTGATGTCCATACACTGGGTAGTGGGGAGAGGGGCCTTCAGAGAGAGGAAGCTGGCAAGGACTGCTCCAAAGAGCGCTGTGATGTGCATGCTTGGCCAGTCCGTGCCCCTCTTAGGGCCTAGGGTCCCCTCTGAACAAGGAGTGTGGGAGAGGCTGCTCTGTCATGGCCTGTGGTCTGACAACCTAGGGGCAGCTAAAGGACCCGGGTGAGCTCGCATCTGAGGAGATGAGACGCTAAGGATGGGGCAGGGGGCAGCTGCAAAGAGCTGGGAAGGCGAGGACAGCCTCCTTAGGAAATGCACTCCCACCCCAGCCCCAGTAAATGATCCCAGGTTGAACTGACCCACAATTACTTCACATCGTGCCCTCAGCAGCCGTCCCTGGCCTGGCCCTGTGGTGCGTGCTTTACCCCACCCCCCTCTATGGGGCAGGCTCAAGGACCACCGTGGGAAACCGAGGCCCTCGCAGGGCCGGAAGGCAGCTTACAGATGGCCAGACGGCGGAAGGGGTGGTAAGCAGCATGGTCAGGAACATCAGGAGGTCCTGGGAGTCCAAGTTGCCTGGAGCTGAGAACCCCAGGTCTGAAATTCATCCGGGAGCCAGCAGCTCCAGCTTTGGAGAAATCGACAGATGCAGTCTTCTCTCAGGTGGGGTGTGGGTCTTCACAGCCAGGGCTTGAGATCCACCCAGGAGTGGGTGCGGAGAGGGCAGCTATGTCCCCTCTCCCCACACCCGGCCAACTTGGGGAGCCTCTCCCCCAACAGCTGGGAGATGAACAATAATGGACCTCCCTCAAGCTCCCCCCCAGGGATGTCATGCCTCCCCCTGGCAGAAACCCTCAAACTACCTTGTCTATTCCATCCTCTTCTTGGAGAAAAGGAAGCCTCTGTGTGGTCAAGTCCTGATCAGATACAACTGAACTGAGGCCCGAGGGCTGTCACCAGCCAGAGGAGCTGGGCAAGGCACTACCCTCCACAGCCAGGACTGAGCCCAATCTGTCAATCTCCCCTCCCCCCACCTCCTACTTTGTCACCTGGTTTTGGTATTTTTGCTCCCTGGAGATAATATTTGAAGAAAGTGGAACCTGGAAATCAGTGGGACCTGGGTTTGCATCTTGCACCCACCTTCCTGTGGCCCCACTTGGATGGGGACTGTATTCTTAGTGCTGGGGACAGGGCCTGAGGCACAGCCAATATTTGAATGCACAGGCGACTAAATGCACCAGCATGCTGGGTCAGATTACACTGCCTCCTGGCAGCAGGGATGGGCTGGAGAGGCCTGGGTGGACCTGGGCCCTGGCCAGCAACCTCACAGGGCTGGTGCCCTGGACCCTGTGTTAGCAGACCACCACCCAGCACAGCCTTTGAGGATGTTCGCTGCTTACCTGAGTGGACATTCCTGTTTCTACTTTCTGGATAAAACAAAGAGAGAGAGAGAGACAGACAGACAGAGACACAGACAGACACCGTCAGGGTGGTTTTCATCAATTTGAAGCGCTTGTGTTTAATCTTGCTACCCAATCCTGGACTATATCGTAGGTGCAATGAATTTGGGGAGACAGGAGACCCGGCTTCACTTTCCTCATCAGTGAATAGGCTGAATCTCCCAGGGGGAGTCTGTTGGGGGCACGGTTGGGGTCTTGGTCAGGATGCAGGGAAGATCGGGGAGAACGCTGGGTCCAAACTCTGCTACCTGGGAGGCTGAGATCTCAACCCCACACCCACCGCCTTCCATGGGCTTCTCAGCAACTTGAGACTGCTCTTGGTCATCGGGTTTGGTGACTACCATAGATGTGAGAGGCGTGACAAAGCTGTAGGCAAGTGATAAATTCAGCGCTTGGTTCCGGAGGGCCTGCTGATCAGCATCGGATGCGGAGACACTGTAGGTGGAGCACATCAGAGCTCAGGAGATCCTTGAATTCGGGAACAGATTTTCCATCCAGCCCCTTCTGGGGAGGTCCCTCTGGGAGAATCTGGAGCTTGGACATGATGCCAAGACCCCCCTCTCTCCATGCTTAGGCGCTGTACCGTGCCACCTGTGCCTGCCCCCTAGCGACAGGCTTAGGGAGGTGCTGATGCACTCACGTTTGCTCCAGCAGCTGCTGGATAGTCAGGTATGCCCAGAGCCTCTCCATGAAGTTGTGGAAGATATACTTGGGGCTCTGGAACTCCGCCTCCTGCTCTGCCACACTGGACTCCGTTTGGAAAGTGATGTTCTGTGTAGGCTGGAAAGAGGGGCCCAGCCAGGGCAGGAGCAGTGAGGGCCGGACATCTGCATCTGCCTGGCACTTCTGAGCTCTTCCATGATTGGGGCTGGGGCAGGTCCCACACACTGACTGTGGGGACTGCATTTCCTTTGAGTGGGGGTAAGGAGGGGGCTTAGGGGTGCAAGGGGCTCAGTCACAGAGCATACAGGGATGAGAAGGAGGTGAAAAGGTAGCAAAGTAGCCCAGATACAATAAGGCAGGCACAGCGCCAGGACTCAGATCAGCCAAACCTCTGGAAGAAAGGGATGGGAACCCCAGGCCAGTGTAGAAACAGCAGCAGGAAGGATTTGCAAGTGCAGTGTGGAGCAGGAAGGGTCTAGCTACAGCCTGCCCTTACCCCCAAAGCTGAGGGAAAGGGACAGAGAGGGAAGGACCTTCCCAGGGGTCAGAGGCAGAGTTGAGAACACAACTCAGATGTCATGGCTCCGGGTTTGGGGCCCCATCCACCCCAACGGCTGTCCCTGTCCAAGCTGGCCCCTCTGCGGCTGGCCACCGTGGGACAATGACAGGGAAGCATGCACCCAAGCTCTGTGTGAACCTGCTCCCTCCTCCCTCAGGGAGGGGCCTGTGGTCTCAGACTGACCTAGCTCGCTGCCTGGGAAATGGGCTCCTAGGGCAGAGGAATCCCAGGCCTCTCCCACCAGAGCTCCCTGAGTGGCCAAGAGACCTTTTCACAGTGCGGATCAGATCTGCGGTCTGCTCCCACTGGAGCAGCCTGTCTCTCGCCCAGAGCCTGGCTGGCTTTCCAAAGCTTTGGCACACATAGGCTACCTGCATGAATTTTGCCCCATCCACACATACAGCTATTTAATTGATATTTTTCCTTAAATGAACTTTAAGTAAGCTAACAATTTTTACTTGGCTTTATGTCCATAAAATCTTAGATCTGGGCCAGGTGCGGTGGCTCACGCCTGTAATCCCAGCACTTTGGGAGGCCAAGGTGGGCAGATCACGAGGTCAGGAGACCGAGACCATCCTGGCTAACAAGGTGAAACTCCCTTTCTACTAAAAATACAAAAAATTAGCCGGGTGTGGTGGTGGATGCTGGTAGTCCCAGCTACTTGGGAGGCTGAGGCAGGAGAATGGTGTGAACCTGGGAGGTGGAGCTTGCAATGAGCCGAGATCCAACCACTGCACTCCAGCCTGGGAGACAGAGCGAGACTCCATCTCAAAAAATAAAAAAAAAAATCTTAGGTCTGAAGTTCAGGTCATATTTTTCAGAATACACATTAAAATAAGTAAATAACCACTAAAACAAGCCATGTCTGTCTGTGAACTCCCCTGAGTCACCTTGGGTTCTGTACTTTGGGAACCCACGGCCTCCAAGCTAAATCACCTGCTGACATGTATGGAGTGCTTATCACTGGACATCAATCACAGTGACTTTATGAGGGGGGCATGCGACTTATTCCCATGTTTACATAGGAGGAAACTGCAGTAGATGGAGGTTAAGTGACTTCTCCATGTCTCCTATCTGGGAGGTGGCAGAGCTGGGTTTGAAGCCAGGCAGGGTGGCCACGCAGACCGTACCAACAGTCATGACACTTGGGGACTTGTCCTGAAACAAGGCCATGGGCCCCCAACGCCCACTCCTATTCTCTTCACACACGCTGCCCTCATGCCACAGGGGCCTAACATATTCCTCCATTGCCCCATCTGGACTCTTCCCACCTCCTACTTATCCTTTTGTCTCTGCTGGGCCTCCTCCAGGAAGCCCTCCCTGATCCCCAGGCCAGGCTGGGGCTCCTGGTGCTGCTCTCCTGAGTCCAGGGTTAGATCCCAGCCTGTAGCTGGTTTGTGTGGTGATATGTCCTTGGGTTGTCTCTCCCATGAGGGCACGGAGGGGTCAGCCTCATTCACTGCTGCATCCCAGGGCCTGAAGAAGGCCCTGCCGCAGAGCTTGTGCTCAGTTTCTCTTTGTGGAAATGACAGGGGGTCCCTGGAAGGAGGCAGGGAAGGCTGGGCAAGGACAGGGTGCCACGTGGCAAGCTGGGCTCTTGGCCTGGTTGCAGTGGGGCCCGGGGAAAGCTGCCTGCCCTGCCTGGAGCTCAGTCTGCTCATTTGTGAAATAGGAGCAGCCCTCCCTGTCTGACTGCAACCTGAGAGGGTTGTGGTACCAGGACAGGAAGGGATGACAACTAGGGAGGAATCCCTGCCCTCACCTGTGCTTGCAGGTGCACAGACCGGCTGCCGAGAGCCTGTATGTGCTGGTCTCATGAGAATCACTCCATTGTCTCATTGAATCCCTGCCATGCCCCTGTGTCATCCACAGGCAGCAGAGGGGAAAGCTGGAGCTGGGCAGGTCTGGGATTTGAGTCCAGCCCCTCTGGCTGCAGAGGTGGAGGCTGCCATTCCCCTCCAGGGTGGCTTTGGCCACACTCACCAGCTTCCCACTGACTGTGGCTGTGAGCACATCAGGCCCCCGGTCCTGGAGCTTCCCAGCCACCACCATCTCTGAGCCCTTGAAGAGGAGCCGGAAGTTGTTCTGAGTGACCTCCTCCACGGCATTGCTTGGGTACTCGAAGGTCACTGCTGTCAGCAGTGGGTTGGCCACTTCCTGGTAGAAGTCCTGCAGGGTTGGGGGTGTCATAAAGGCTGGGCTTTATGACTGCCCACTTCTCTGTGCAGCCCACCTGGGGCACACTGGCACCTGGAGCTGCAGGGCAGAGTCTGAGTCCTCATGGATGCGCCGGGCCAGGCCGCCATTGTCCAGTGCCAGCTTCTCCAGGAAGGCATAGCTGACGTCGAAACCGAAGCCCAGGCAGAAGAGGCTGTACCGGCCACTTACAGCTTCCCGCACGTTATTCTGGATGCTCCTGGGGTTAGTCTCCCCTGGACCCAGGGGTTTGGGATGAGGGTGAGAAAATAGTGATTTGCTTGAAGAATATTTCTGGAACCTCAGAGCCGAGGGGCCTCAGTGACCCCCTCTCCCTGCCCAGATCCCACAGCAAGCCCAGGTGCAGCCCCAGCCGCCTCCCCTGTGCAGCACGTCCTGGAGTCACGGGCAGGGCCCTCACCCACAGTGGGGTCGCCATCGGTGAGCAGGATGATGAGTGAGACACTCCCTTCGGGCAGCCGCTCCTCCTGGTTGCTGCTGTCCAGCAACTGCACAGCCATCAGCATTGCATCATTGATGTTGGTCCCTGAGGAACACGCACTCTCAAGGTGGTCCCCAGCCAGGAGCCCTGGAAGCCCCCACCCTGCAGGGCCACAGAGACACTTACCTCCCAGGGCCTGGATGCCCGCAGCAAAGCTCCTGGCCTTGTTCACGTTCTCGGCTGAGGCTGGCACCAGTGATGGCCTCCACTGAGTTGCTTCTGTACTGAAGACGATGAGGTTGAACTGGTCTCTGGGGCTGAGGTCATCCAGGATCTTGATTAGGGCTTCCCGGGTCTGGTCAGGGAGAGGAAACATAGGTGCTTCAGAAGGGCTCCCTGAGGGCTCGTGTGCCCTAGGGCTGGCATCCTTGGACTCCTGTCTCAGGGGTGAGGTCATGGTATCTGCTCTAGGAACAGGGGCTGCCCTAGGCTCTGGCCAACCTTGGTTCCTGAGAGCCACCCGCCCCATGGTGCCGAAAGGTGAAGCAAGGGGGTCTGCCTGCCGGACCACAGCTGATAGCGTGAAGGGCCTGGGAGTTTTCAGGGCCCTGCCCTGGGCCACAGGACCTACCTGCTGGATTTTCCTGCCACTCATGGAGCCGCTCTTGTCAATGACAAAGACCACATTCTTGGGCATTGTGGTTAGGCCCTCGGGGGCAAAGTAGTGTACAAAGTAGCCGTTCTCGATCTGTGGCCAGAGTGAGACCCACCCAGGCCATCAGAGCTACAATTGGCCCTATCCCCATTCAGCCCCTTTACCCCAAATTCTGGGTTTCTGTGCTCTGTTCCAATCCCATTTCCATCCCACTGCTAACCTCCCCAAAACCTTGCCCTTTTTCAGGGCTCAGACCAGCCCCTTTCTTGCGGAAGCCTTCCCTGCTCATGCATAGCCCACCAGAACTCTCCCTGCAACTTTTCCTTCTATTTGTTTTAGTATTTCAGATGGTTTATACTAAAAAGTTCAGACATCATAAACCTGACAACCATCAAAAGAGGGAAGACTTCAAAAACATGGAGTAAAAGGGAAGTATAATAACAATGGCAGAAATGGCTGGGTGTGGTGAATCACGCCTGTAATTCCAGCACTTTGGGAGGCTTAGGTGGGAGGATCACTTGAGCCCAGGAATTCAAGACCAGCCTGGGCAACCTTGTCTCTACTGGAAAAAAAAAAAAAAAAATTAGCCAGGTGTGGTGGTGCACGCCTGTAGTCCCAGCTACTAGGGAGGCCGAGGCAGGAGTTTCTTTTGAACCTGGGAGTTTGACGGTGCAGTGAGCCATGATCATACCAAAATATAACAACAATAATAATGCCAGAAACTAGTGTGAAAGAAACTACTGCAAATCTGCATAAAACTGAGTTGTGAGCCTCCCAGCAGCAGAGGCAAAGAGGGAAACCCCACAGGGCAGCTCTTCTCAGAGACAAACCTTTTCTGCCTGGGAAAGGGAATAGTTTCAGGGACAACACAACTAAATCACGTGTTTTCTGTCTGTGCCGGTCCCTGGTGCACACTGCTAAGTAAGGGTGGTTCTTTTCCTGTTCTAAAATACCCAAGCTCAGGCCCTTGGGGGTGGACAGACTTCTAGGCTGCTCTGCTCTTGCCTGAAGTCCACCCACCTGAATGGAGCCCCCGGAGATGGCCCGGTCCACATCATAGCGGATAATGAGGTTGCCGTCCAGGACTGTTTCTTGCTGCTCTGGGGACTTTTGCTGCTGGGAAAGTGTTGGCTTGAACCGGATGTGAGCCTGGAGGAATAATCCGGGCTGAAGTTGGGAGGAACAGCAAAGCCAGGCCAACAACACCCTCTACCCCTGTCTGTATATTGGGAAATCAGAATTCCAGGATGCAGCCTTGGGTCCGTATTCCAGGGCACTTTCTTTCAGGCTGAGTTATTGATGGACCACTTTCACGTAGGGGAGGGGTGTGATGAGCTCCCTGTTCCTGGAGCTGCGCAAGCAGAGGCTATTCCAGGATGTGTGCCATCCAACCATCTCCTTCTCTCCACCTGGCCCCAGGACCCTCACATCAGTCTATTATCCAGCCCCTTCCCAGACAGATCTCAGGGCTCATACGAGGACGCCATGGTCCTTCTCTAGGCTTTGCCCTCCCCATCTGCCAAATGACAGCAAGGATGCAGAGATCTCAGGAGCCTCTCCAGGTCACAGCTCACAGGAGGGAGAGCCCATCCTGCTTTCCAGAAATCCGGGCTCATAGGGCTGGCCTGAAGGCAGGGCCCTTGGTACCCTCACCTGCTGACCACAACAGGCCCACCTTGGTCTTATTCTGCCAGGTGGTGAGGGCGTCTACCAGCTGGTTGGTCATGAAGGTGCTCTCTGTCTCCAGAAAGCTGATGCCCTGGGGCTCGAAGATGTGAATGTCCATCTGGAGGCAAGATGTGGGTCCCTGGGTCAGCCAGGAGCCTGGGCTGGGGCTCACAGGAGGCTCAGGGACAAAGAGGGGCCGCCCTCAGCAGGGCAAGGGTCATGCAGGAGGCCTCCCTGGAAGAGGTAGCAGCAGGTACCTGCAGGTGCTTGACCAGCTGCTGGGGCCGCACTTTCAGCAGCAGCTCGTACACCCCCAAACGCCGCTTGAGCAGCTCCTCATAGACCAGCTCAAAGGTGATCTTGGCATTGGGAGCCACACTGACCGACACCTGGAACTGCTCCATGTTTCTCCCGGTGGCCCTGGGGGAGAAGGGCATCAGGCCTGCTCCTCCAGGACAGGTGGGGTAAGGCTGGTAGAGGTGGGAGCAGGACTAAGGGCCAAAGGCAAGGTGGCCTTTGTCTAGACCCTCCCCACTGAAGCTGCCCCCCACCAGCTCACTTGACGAGGCCAGCGCTCTTTCCCTTGGCCACTGCTGCGCTGTACTGTGCCTGGGCTTCAGCCTTCTCCTTGATGATCCCTGGGTAGGTCATGCCATCGATGATCCTGGGGGCAGAAGGGTGGGAGTTGTTGAGAGCCTGGTGGCAGGGGCCCATTCCACTCCTGCCTCCTCCAGAGAGCCTTTCTGGACTCGGTGTGCCTCTTGACACAGTGACTCCCATCTTTGCCTGAGCCCAGTGCCATTTATTATGCACCTACCGCATACAGGACCCTGTGCAGGGCACTCTGCAAAGTGCTCCAGGCCTCTAGCTCCCGGAGGTGTGTACAGTAACAGTAAGCATTCATTTTATAGAAGGGACGAAGGGGAGGCTGCAGAGGGGCAGGGCCGGGCTAAATCCTGCCTTCTCTCCACCTGTCCAGTCTGGCCGAAGCTGGCCCACATTCCCACCTGCCCCTTCCATTTCACGGACTGTTCCAGGGGAACTAGTTCATCACCAGCAAGAGCTCTCTGAGTCACACTTGTTCCCAGCCCTGCGTGCAGCCGTGTGGGGCCAGGACTGAGGAGGAAGCAGACGTAGGGCTGGAGGCTCTGAGCACTTTCCCCCTACAGCAGTCTCCCCGCTCCCTCCCACAAGAGGCAGGCACCCTATAGGGAGGCTGGCATATCTGGAAGGAGGTTTTGGACAACTGGTGGACGGGACTCCTGGGTGTGTGGACACACTCCTAGCAGCCATCCTTTGGGGGCTGAGAAAGAATGGCCCAGGCCATTTCTCAGGGAGGAAAACGACTTTTTCAGAGCCTCCTTGTGGGGTGTGTAGGGATGTGCCTGGTCAACTTCATGTGGTAGTGTGTGGCAGTGGGCAGGAGGGGGAGCAGCCAGGATGTCAGGACTACGCGTCCCTCCTGCCTGACCTTCCTGGTTATAATTTAACTCTAGCCCGGGATGGGGCTGGTGAGTGGGCAGTGGCACTCCTCCCCCTGGGTAGGCAGTGCTTCATCTCTCCAGATGGCCAGCTGGGGCTCCTGGCCAGGTCAGGGAGCAGGGAACCTGCTCTCTGCTCCCCTAACTCATGCAGCAACAGGTTCTGGGTCTAGAGAAGGCAAGTGACAGTCTTGGGCTCTCAGCAGATGCCACGGGCCTGGACCTGGCAACTGCTGACCCTGGCACCCATGTCGAAGGCTGACACAGCCCGTGGGGCTTGCACTGCAAGCTGGGCAGCATAGGCCCGGGCTCTGGGTTAGGAAAAGTAGAGGCTGCGGTGGAGTGGGGGATGCTTGGCGCCTGAGGGAGGAGACTAGCCCCCACTGCAGTTTTCCAGAGGCCACAGTGTGGGACCCCACATGAGACACTCCCTCTCTGCCCCACCATCGCCCTGTTTCTGGGAAGAGTCTTGCCCTTGTCCTAAATCACAGCTTTTCCTGGCAGCAAGGGACAGGCGGCATCCTGGTGCATTTAGTAAACATTGGAAACTGAGTTGGGAAGGGTAGGGGAGGGTGGCAGAGGACAAAGTGAGGACCATCCTTGGCTCATAGAATTCAGAGAAACCTCAGGCATCTCTCACGCAGCCTGAGCAAAAATGTCCTCTGCAGGATCCCAGCTGGGGCAGACCTAGGAGAATCCTCCTCAAGCCACTCTCCACTGTGAGGAAGCCAAGGGTCTAGAAGGTTTTCTGTACTTTGAGCTGGAATGTGCATTTTGGTGACTCCCTCTTGCCTGGTCTGGCCTCAGGAGGCCTCAAGTCTGTGCTCCTCAAAGGCAAAGTCACAAAGATTCTGTGGTTCTCTGCCTAACACCTGGACAGCACTTAGGGATGATGAATGGCTGGATGGAGGGAAGGACGGGGGCATCTTTGAGAATAAGTCCTTTGGCAAGCCCCTGTTCCTGTGTGGCCCCAGGTGCAGGGTGTACTCCTGAAGATGTACACCCTGGCATGCCTTACTTCAAGAAGAGGGTTTGCTGGCACAGAGCGATGGAGTCATAGCACTGGGGGGTGTGGAGAGGGGAGGAGGGTGGGAAGGCACCTACATGGAGAAGTTGGTGATGAAGGCTTTCTTGGGCAGCTCCATCTGGAAGGTGGCCTCCTGCACAGTATTGGCCCTATTGACCACTCGGCTGGTGACGACCGTGTGGGCAAATCGGGATGAGACCCTGGAGTCCACGGTGAGGCTGTAGATGTCGATGCCATTCTGGACCAGCAAAGAAGAAGGGGGTTGCAGGGTTTCAATGCCACCTCAGCTCGGGGTGACGCTCTTCAAGAGTTGGCCCTGACTCTGGCTCTAGACCAAACCCTGGCTCCCAATCTGACTGAGCCACTGACCAGGCCTCAGGCTGAACCCAGTGAGGCATCTCATATGTGAACATTTGTCTCAGGTAAGAGATAGCAGTGTGCTTCATTCCCCACCCTACAGCACCACAGGGCAGGGGCCACGTCCTTCTTGATCTATAGGGGCCCAGAGCACCCCTTGGAGAAGAACAAGCATGCAGGGGGTGGAGCTGGTGAAGCCAGGGCCAGTGTCTGGGAGGGGCATCACACTCAGCCTTTGGGCAGGGGTGAGAGACCTGGTGGGGTCAGGGAGCTTTGCATGCTGGCTTAGCTTTGCCCAGAAAAAGGGCAGTGACCAGGTCCTTTGATTTCTGGAGACTTTGGCCTCTGTGGCAACAGGGAAGCTCCCACCAGTCTCCTAGAAGGAAGCCCTCAGAGCTGGGAGAATTCGGAGGTAGACTAGAGTCTGGTCTCTGAGAGTTGGGAATCTTCCTCTCTGCTCCGCAGTGGACCCTCCCCAACTCATCCCCACTTCCGCAGGGCACTCCCCTAGCAGGTGCCATTTGCCTTGAGGTCTGTGTCCCCCGAGGAGGGGCACACGGGCACCTCTTACCTGCTTGTGTGTGACATGCTCATGCGCACTGCACCAACTCTGCTCGGCTGCATGCGGCTGCCTGAATGCAGTTTGGCACAGAGGTGCCAAGTGGCTTGTTTATGTGCTTGGGTATTTGCTCTGCGACAAGCACTGTCCTAAGCACTTCATAGATACAATGGGTTTGGTTTTCACAACAAGCACTGTCCTAAGCACTTTATAGATACAATGGGTTTGGTTTTCACAACCGCCACCCTCTGAATAGGTTCTAGTATTACCCTGTTTTACAGATGAGGAAATTGAGACATAGTCAGCATAAATCATTCTCCTGAGGTCACTTACTAAAAGGCGGTAGAGCCAGGCTTGTAAAACTGTATTTCCTCATTTGGAAAATGGAAATGATTGGATCATCCCCTCTATTAGGTGGGAGAATACCAGTAAGGCCCTTGGGGTAGTGCCTGGCGGGAGGTCTGCACCATTTTTTTGCACACACAGGGATGCACACGCACTTGTGCTGACACGCTGGCACATGCGGAGGCTCTTCCCCACTTCCCAGGCGTTCTCTCATCCCCCAGCTCACGCCACACCCATGGACACTGGCTACCTTTTCGGCAGTAGTAGTCTGGTGGATGGCCAGCAGTGAAAGCAGGACGAGAACTTTGCTGCAGGTACGGACAGGCCTTGGGGGCTTCATCGTGGCTCCAGTGTCTGCCAGGAGGCTTCTGAACTCGACAGCAAGTGGGGAATGGATTAGTAACTTGTTTGCTGCCCCACCCACATGGGGGCAGGTTCTGGGAAATTGGGATCTACAAGCCAAAAACCACAGTGACCTCAGATAAGCAAATGACGAACGTCCCATGGACCTTGGCTGGGGGCAGGAATGTATACCAAAGAAAGGTAGGCTCAGTTTGGAGTGGGGGTACATGCCCCTTCTGAAAAGTGCGAAACCTTCACCAGGACCCTTCACACCAGGCATTCCACCAAGCTCCACAGGGCTGGGAGGGAATTGACAGTGAAGATGTCAGTCTGCTCTCCCTAAGTCCAGCCCGGGGAGAAACAGCGGGGGATGGTGGGGAAGACTAGGGCTACAGGGCTACCCTAGCGGCTTCCCGGAAGAAGGGGGCTTGGCCACCAGGTAAGTGTGTCTGGCTGATGGGAGGGCCCAAAGGCATGGAGTGACTCTGGGAGGTGTCTGTGTGGGGCAGATCTAGAGTCAGGATAGATACGCCGTATTTCTGAAGTGAGAGGTGCTGGGCACGGGGCGCCTCCTTCTCTCTCCTGGGGTCCCAGGTTGCTGTTTGGGTGCCATTAATCTAGCCAGGGCTTTAGGTTCAACCCCAGCAAGGCCCCCAAAACAAGAATGGCAATACAACTGAGTCATAAACCTGCCACATCCTGTGGCACAGAGGTCTCCATGCGGGGAGTTTATTGACAGAAGAGCATGGAACAGAAGACAGACCTGACAGTGCCAGCAGCTCCTGAGGGGTGACTGGGGAGTCATTTGGTGGAGCAGAGGGAGCCCAGGAATCGCTGGTTGAGAGAGGGCAGAATGCTGTTGTCATGAGCAGTGTGATGCTGCCACAGCCCAGACCCAGGGGAGCGCTGCCCAAAGGCCTGGGGTGGGTCCCGGCCTTGCTAAAGTTGAAGCGCTCTGCTCCTTGTAAAGTGGGATCGAGTGAGTACATATTATGCGCTCTGGGCACCGCTGGGGCTCGTGTTCCCTGGTGGCTCTGGGGAAGCCAGCTCCTGAGTCTGTGGCCACAGATGGGTAAAGATGAGTCATAAAAGTGTGGCCAGATGCCAAGTCCTGGATCAGGGAAGGACGGCGGCTCCGTGACACCAGCCCTGAGGGGGCCAGCTGCCTTGGGAACCTATCGGGGGCCTTGGGGCAGCCAGTGGCTTCCAGAGGCTGGGGAGGGTTTCTCCACCAGTCCTGTCTCCATTAGAGGTGGCGGCAGGCCTGGGGCAAAGGTGCCATAGACTGGAGCTATTTCTACAGCTGCAAGGAAGACGTTCCCCTTCCTTAGCATGACTGGCCAGAAGCCTCATCTCTGCGCACGTCTCCACTGCTCACCCTTTTGGCTCTGGATACGATTGGGATTACACAGGGGAACACGCTCCTTTCAGTGTCTGGGGGAAGAGTCTCCCCATGGAGTCCAGCAAGTAGGACTGGGCCCTTCCTCACAGCAGGGCTGCTCCCTTGGGGCAGAGAGCACAGGCCCAGCCCGGACTCAGGGCTATATAAGGTGGCCAGGCTGGCCGGGACTGTGGGAAACGTTCTGGGCAGCCAGAACCTCCTGGGACAGGAAGGCATCCCCAGCAGGCATCAGCCCCGAGCCAGGCACCACAAGCCCAGGCTCTGCCAGTCCAGCTCCGAAAAGAGCCACTGTCAGCCTGTCCATGGTCATGGTCTTGCCATCACAACGGGACAGGCCTCTATGGGTCTTTTGAACCTGGCACTTCCAGGCACACAGGGGACAGAGGACTGGAGAGAGAAGGGTCATGCAGGCTGAGAATCTGGTGTTCCATGCCCCAGACAGCATGGTTGGAGCAGAATGTGGGAGTCTTACCCCTGCTGTTTGGAAGAGACGGTAGCTCAGGAAACTGACTGCCAGAGAGGAATCTCAATCTGGCTCTGACTTGGAGGGGACAAAAGCCGGGAGGAGGCAGTGTGAACAAAAGTGTAGGGAGGGAGAGGGGTTTTGAGGTCCCTAGTGCAGTGCAGGGAGAGGGGTTTTGAGGTCCCTAGTGCAGTGCAGGGAGAGGGGTTTTGAGGTCCCTAGTGCAGTGCAGGGAGAGGGGTTTTTGAGGTCCCTAGGTGCTGCAGAGCCTGCAGGTCCTCAGAGGCTTCTCAGCAGCTTCTGTGGAAGGCAGGAGGAGAGGTGGTCCCTGAGACCCCACCCACTTCACTCTGAGCAGTGTCATCATGGCCTGCTTTATGGAATAGACTCCAGCTCAACTCCCCTGTAGTATAAAAGGGGAAACTGAGGCTCAGAAAAGTCTGAAGTCACAGGTCAGCACTGAGTCTCCATGTCCAAGGCAGCATGTGGCAGTGCCCATAATAGCACCTGTGCTATCCCCTGGGATCCTCTTAAACGGACATGTTCCATGTTCCCACCCTGTCCTCCCTCTCAATAGTGGCCATAGCCAGGGACCAACCAACACCTTCTGATTGCTGGGGCCACGTGGGCATCCTCTTTATTGGTGCTTCCAAGGTGCTGGTGCAGAGCCCTTGGCTGAAGGGCCTGGACTGTGGGGGAGGGTGGCAGCCCCAGAGACAGCAGGGGAGAGGAAGCGTTCTGGCATAAAAAAGAGTTCCTGGGAAAGGCTCCTGTTTCCGAGCATTCGGGCAGCAAGGGGAGTGGCGCACACTTCTCAGCCGAAGACACTCTTGGTGGGTCCGGCTTTGGGCTTCTCAAAGACAGTCTCGGTACCTGTGCGGGTGCGGCTGAACACCGACGGGGCGGCCGAGCCAGCTTGCTCTGTGGGAGGAGGTAAAGTCAGGGGCCAGCCTAGCTTCCTGGGAGGGAAGATCCCTTACGATGGGAGCACCTTTCTTGAACCCAGGAATACTGGATTCTCAGAAAAGGATCCTTGACCACCTCCCCCCACCACTGACACACACCTGCACCCCCATCCCCAGCCCCAGATGGCATGAGGACACTCACCACACTCTCGCATGACCTGGTAGGTCTTGGACTTGATTTCCTGGTTCTTGGTCAGGTTTCCTCGGGCCCCCTTCAGGTCCTCGTCCTTCACAGGGGGGCGCTTCTTCTTGATAGGGGCTTCCTGAGCACCAGCCTTGGAGATCCAAGAGCCTCATCTTACTACCTGAAGCCTCGGTAGAAAGGCACACCTACCTCTGTGCCTTGGCCAAGACCCCTCTTCTCTGCTCATTAAACCCAAGCCTATTCAAGGCTCTACTCCTCTTCCAGAGAAAGCCTTCCCAACTATACTCCACCTGCTGCAGGTCTCCCAGCTGTCTTGGTCTGACTTGCCCATGTGCCTTTCCCCTATAGCCTGGGAGCTCTTGGGAGCAGTGGCTGCTGCAGCCTCACACTGGCGTGTCTGGCTACCTGGTCAAGCTCAGGACTGGGCACAGTGGGGAACAGCGAAGGGGACTAGCTCTGAGGTTGGGCAATACTAGGGAATTTGGTTAGTTCCAAAACCTGTTCACTGGGTGGCAAGCGGTTCCTCAAGGATTGCCCCCTTCCAGAAAAGCGCCACTATTTACTTTGTGTCTTTGGGGCTGGAAATGGGGTAGAAGGGCCAGATGCCCACAGAATTACAGTCCAAAATGGCCACCCACCCACAGAGCAGGCAGCAAGGACAGTCCTCTCTCTTGGCAGGCTGGTCTGTCCCTCCAGGGTGGGGGACACCCAGGCTCGGTGTTTACCCTACCCCTCAACCCCAGGCGCCTGTGAGTCTGAGACCTGCCTGTGCTTGGGTGCAGGTGCAGGTATTTCCTCGCTCAGCCTGGGCCAGGCTCCTCAGAGCAACACACTATACCCCTGTACAGCGATGCATCCAGCTGTGTCCCTCCAGCCTCATGTGCACACACATACAGCTTCATGCATATACCATACACAGAGACAGACAGACCTATGTGTGTGGCCACACACAGAGTGCATGGCTGCCGGGCCCATAGCTACAAATGCACAAAGCTCTACACACTGAGCTATATCGGCAGCACACACACAGATGCGCACACACACACACACACACACAGGCACATGCAAAGATCTATCTAGGCCCCCCCCACCCCCAACATTTCTCTCCACTCCTCCTAACAAACCGTGGAATACCACCAAAGCCACATAGAAGAGGGGTTCTTCAGGGGGTCCTCCCTGAGCCCCCATCTCCCAAGGGCTGCAGAGCCTCCAGTTCATGCTTGGGGCTCAGATCAAGACACAGCTGCCAGAGCCGAAAGTGTCCAGGACTCCACCTCCACTCCCTCTGGCATCAACACAGCCCTTGCTGGGTCCTCCTACCTGGGACATGGTGGGTATTGTGTAAGCGCTGGGTCTCTGAAGGCGCCTCTCTGGCAGGCAGCAGCTGCTGGAAAAGATCTGAGTGGAGCCCAGCCTTCTGAAACTTATATAGCCTGCTTGCTTGTCCCGCAGAGTCACTGCCCCTCCTCTGACAGGCTCCCTGATGATTCAGGTCCGCAGGGTCGCTGGCTTCAGAGTTTATTCTCGGAGATGAGAGGGGCTCCCAGTACTGCTGCCTGGGGGCTGCAGCCCTGATGAAAGCAGATGGCTGCAGAGACCCTTTGCCCTCTGGGACAGCTGCTTGATTCGCCGGGGGGAGGTGCTGGCACTGACGGACATGCTTTGTGTTTACGGATTTGGGTCCTGGAATGTGTGACCATCTGAATTGTTCCTCTGCAAGGGTTCATCCCAGTGTGTGGGGTGGGTGTGGGGTGTCCCTGAGGGAATGGAGGGCCCTAGCTGGGTTGGACTGCTCCAAGCTTGTTTTTCTTCCTCTTCCATCCCTTCCCCTGGATTCCAGTGGACAGATTTTCCATCCCTGCATGGTGGCAGAGCAGGAGCTTCCCGTGTCTGCTGCGTCTGATTATGGCAAGCTCACTGGGCCCTTGCAGCAAACTCAGAGAGGGGCTACCACAGGTTCACAGGTGGAGAAAGTGAGGTAAAGGGAGCCTGGGGAGTTGCTCATGTTTTTGCTGATGTCCTTGTCCTCTATCCTATTCCAACTGCAAGTTCAGAGAGGGGGGAGTAAGGGGTCTGGAAAGGACCAGGGAGGAAACCATGCTCGATGGTGACAGCACTGATGAGACAGAGGTGTGAAACAGGCTCAGGCTCAGGCCTGAGCCTACTCACCTCCGAGTAGGTGAGGCCACCGCAGGGGGGCTGGCCTGCAGGACAGTTTCAGTTGCTCAAAGAGGGTGGGGGAGAGTGAAGCCCACTCCAGATACTGAGCTGCAGAGACAAGAACAGGCCCAAGGGCTCCCCGGAAGGTCACTTAGCTCTCCTTTGCTAGAAGCTCCTAACACACCCCTCCTTGCAAGGGGAAGATCCCCCAGGGCACAGGCCAGGAGCCTACGCCTGGGGTGGGTATGGGGAATAGGTGTGCATAGGTCGCAGCCCTCCCAGTAACACACATATCTAAGTCCTTTTCAGTTTATGATGGAGATTATTTTTATCCTCGAAGGCTCCAGGCAGATGGAACTCAACCAGGCACTGACATTTGGTTATCCCAAATGCCACTCCATTGCTGTCATACTTTGAACCCCACCCCAATCCCCCTCCTGACACCCTGGCTCCAGGAGGCCAATGAGAGGACTGCCAGGCTTGATCTGAGACAAGTGCTGACATGAGGAATGCCCAGGATGTGGCACATGGGCCAAGAGGCAGCTGAGGGCAGGCCAGGCCTTGTGGGGGCCTTCCACTAGTTCCAGGGGTGCCCCTGCAGATGGCACCTGATGCTGCGGCTCTGCCCAGGGACCTCCTTCCAGCCCCGCAGCCTCAGGGACAAGGATGTGGGCTACTCACTGCTTATACTCTACCTCCCCAACACGATGTCCTCCTCAGAGACGGACTTGCTTTAATTCTCACTAGCGAAGAAGTGGAGATGGACATGGCAAGAGCATGTTTGGCTTTTCACTGGGCAGTTGCTGGCTCCCACTCCTGCCATGAGGCTTCGTAAGGTTCCTTCTCACTCTGGTCCCTGGGGAGAACCTTCTAATTCACAGGGGAATCTTTTTTGACCCTGCCAAGCTGTTTCAACTCCAGAGAACCCACAACCACAACCACAAATGTGATGGTTTCTTTTTAAAAAAAACTGTAATAAGATGCCAAACTTTATTGTAAACCATTTTACAATGTAAGTACATCATCTTCTCTTTCATTTCAAAAAAACGTTTCCATGAATCCTACCACCACCGATTAAGCACCCCCACTGGATGGCTGCTGAAGTGGGCCATGGTTTTCCTTGCATAGGTCTGACTTCTAACAAACTTCAGGAAAAGAAAAATCAAATTTAAAACAACCCAACCAACCAACCACCAACCAACCCAGGAGCTCAAGGTGCTTGTGGCAAGTCAGACCATAAGTCCCTTACCAAAAGCCAAGCCCCTCAGAGCTGCTAATGTTTCACGAAGTAAAACAGAGAGCTCTGCACTCTTAGCTGCAAGCGTGTGAAACTTCTAAAAGCCAGCCCCACATTCTACAAGGCAGCTGCTCTGGCCAGTGGGAAGCTCCTTGCACTGCCTATCTTAGCCTGGCTGCGAAAAGGCCAGTGAACTGCAAGGGCAGAGTGAGCTGCCAGCTGGGCGCTGCTCCCTCCAGGGTTCTGAGGCAGCCTTTGGACATAAACTTGGGGCTGCACCCTACAGGCTTACACTGTCTAAGGGAAGTCACAGCTTGGATTTGAGCCTTTTAATATTTTCCCTGAAGAAAGAGGCATGACAGGTGACATTAACCCATGACTCCCTGTTGCCAGGGAGGGCACAAGTTAAAGCTTGAGGAAGGAGGCCACCAGCACGGCTGAGGGGCCACAGACCCTCCTCTTGCATGTGTGCAAGCTGAGTGGACCAAGAAGCCACCACCACCTGGATCTCACTAACATCCCCCCTTGCCATTGTCAACAACCCTCTGACAGCAAAAGGAAGTAACAGTACCAACCACCTCTTCCATTTGGATATGACAGTTCTACCTCATTAGTTTATTTCCAATAGTTACAAGAAATTTGTTCATGACCTTGACTTGCAAGGTTCCACCACAGGTGGCTTGGCTGAGGTCCAGATTTGGACAAATCAGATTCATAGCACACAATATCCAGCCAACGTCCCACCATTTCTCAACACGGTGATGGATGCCATGTGGCCAGGTGAAGAGCTGCACCTCGTAAGGCACCTTGGAGCAGGTGGAGAGGAAACTCATCCCAGGGAGGGAGGGCAGCTCGGGAGGAAGTCCTGACCACAGCCCTCTGATCTGCTCTCATGGGATGGTGCACCACGGAAGAGCCCCCAGTGACTGCAGGAGGCACTCCTGGGGATACAGATTTGTGTGTGTACATGTGTGTGCACGTGCACGTGCACACACACACACAAACACACAAGAAAGGGAAGGCCAAACACGAGAGGTGTCCTATGGTCAGACACCCTATTAGACCCCCGTCCCCTGGTCAGCCAGCCAGCTACTAGCCACAGCTCAGAGACTAAAGCCCTTTCTGAAAATCAGGATACAGGGAAAAACCACCACTCTTCAGCTACCTCTTTGTTCCCCAAACCCTCTGCTCACTGGGAAGTGGGCAAAGCCTTCAGATGAGACCATCTGAGATCTATATAACCCAGGGTTTGTTTCACAGCTTTCATAGATTATGGCTCTCCTATCCCCTGCCCTGTCTGGAAACATTAGGAGCTCAAGACTGAACATGAAGCTCCAATTGTGAGCTCCAGGAAGGTGGAAGAAACAGCTGCAGGCACAGGTTGTTCAAACCAAAATGAAACAGGAGGGGAGGAATTAGAACTGAGTCAGTGATGCCATGAGGGAATGACCGTCCTGTCAGGAACATGAGTCTTGGTCTTCCTAAATTCGACTGAGAATGGCCTGGTTCTAGCCACTCTTCCCCACTAGAGAGCTGCTGGGGAAATACTGGCTACCATAGCTGTGGATGGGAGGGAGCACAAAGTCAATCCGAGCAGGAATGACACCAGCAAAGTTGCCTCCTACTGTAGTTACAGTCCCTGCTCCTCTCAGCACCCTGGCTCTGCACTCCTGGTGGAAGATGGGCTGAGAAGGCCTGCCTGATGCTCGCCTTCAAGTCCAGGACAGGTAGGGCTCTGAGAGGCAGAGGGCAGTCCCAGGGTACCTGGTTTAACAGCTGGGTTCATGCGCCCAATTCGGACCCAATGTGCTTAAGTGAAACACGTGCTCATGCAGGTCTAAAAGGAAGGTCCTAAGTGGAGTGGCCTCCTCTGCACTTGTCTCACTTGAAGTCCAGGATGTCTCCCTTCTAGCTCATCACACCTTAGCAGTGTGGCTTCCTGTTCCTAACCATCCGTGGCTGCCTCTGAGCTTGACAAACCACCAAGCAGTGCCCCTACCTTGCTGTTTCCACAGCAGGGAAACGGCTGGGGTCAGCCCATTCCACAGTCACTCAGCAAACTCCCAAAACCACAGGGGCCTGTGGCCATGCTGAGGAGTAGTGACCATTCCCCAGGGAGGGGACACGGCCTAGAAGCACCTTGCCCTGCCTGTGGTTTAGAGAGTGAGCTCTCTCACCCCTGCCTCCCTTAGCCACCTCAGCTTTGGAGGGTGAGAAAAACAGGATCACTTTGTGAGGCACATGTTCTCCAGAATGCTGTGCAAAACAAATAGGTGACACTAGGATGACAGGTACCAGGGCAGCAGGAGAGGAGGCTCCTGGCGCTGAGTCCAGAGGCTGGCTCTGAAGGCTGCAGCAGTGGGGGCTGGGAGGCCAAGACCACTTTAAACCGTGATTGGAGGCTCTGCAGACAGGCAGACTGCACAGGAGTCTGGTAGTCTTGGGTCCTCTGGAAACAAAGACCTCTTAGCTAAGCTCCTTTCTTGGTCAAATTTAACTAAGATCTCTAATCTGCCAGCAGGAATGCTAGAGCTCATGGGCCCTGGGCAGAGCCTTTCCTGTTCCACACTCTGCAGCTCCTGGATCTGCATCCAGACCAGCTGCTCCAAGCTTGGGTCTGACCTTCACAGAACCATTGGGTTTGCTGATTCTAGAGAAGGGCCATCCTCCTTCCCTCCCCATCATTTGTCTCATCTTATCATAGGGCATCATCTAATAATATTCCAAATAAAAAACTCCCGATTTTTCCTCCTGCCAGCCCACACCCCATGAAAGGCAAATAAACCCATTTCTTTGGGGACTAAAAAGAGTTTTTAAATACAATAGTATGAAAATATAACTTAAAAATATAAAAGTCAAACAGCATACGGAAGACTTAAAAATCTCTGTTTTGCCCATTAGTCCCGTAAGTACTTTGTAGGAAATAAACACATACCCCCAACCTGGTAACACTGTCACAACTCATAAAACCAGCTTCAGAAATCAATAGTTACAAAAGCCATTTTGAGTAAGAAAGCATTCCGGTTCCAACTTGGTCAACGAGTCACTTTTAGCCCGAGGGTGTTATGTGTTCGCACTGCCCACAGCCACGGTGAGGAGACCCACCCACGGTCTGTGTGCCTGTGCTTCCTTCCACCTTGCCACTCGGTGGTCGGACACGGGGCAGGGCCTCAGGTCCCTCACAACACTGTCTGGGACGACAACAAACAAACACAGCTCCTTCCTTGCATATTTGGTCAGTGTTTGTAGTGCAACTGAATGGGGACCTCCAGCCGCCAGTGGCCCCCTCGGGCGCTGGCTCCTCTTCCCTCTTTTTAAGTCACAGTAGTCTGGGGGCAGGCGAGAGCGGGCAGAGACAGCAAGAGGAGCAGAGGTAGAAAGGAAGGGCAGAGAGAGGGTAAGGAACGATGCTGCGGGATGACCTCTGCACACCAGCGGCTGGCGGGGCCCTCCCGTCACCCCCAGCATGGGAATGTGTCATACGGGTAGCCCAAAGCGGTGCTTCTTTTTCTTCACAGGCTTGAGGGGGGTCAGTCTGCGGAGGTCCTCCTCCACGTCGGACTCCTCCATCTCATCATCCGCTGAGATCAGGATCTGAGGCAGTAGAGAGGCAGGGCCTGAGTCACCCCCAGCAGGGCCTTCTTCATTTGCCCTCCCTGGACCCTGGGCCCTTCAAGTCTCATGTTTTTTTTTTTTTTTTTTGGACAGAGTCTCACCCTGTCACCCAGGCTAGAGTGCAATGGCACGATCTCGCCTCACTGCAACCTCTGCCTCCTGGGTTCGAGTGATTCTCCTGCCTCAGTCTCCTGAGTAGCTGATTACAGGTGCGTGGCACCATGCCTGGTTCGTTGTTTTTTTTTGCTACTTTTAGTAGACATGAGGTTTCACCATGTTGGCCAGGCTTGTCTCAAACTGCTGACCTCAAGTAATCCACCTGCTTCGGACTCCCAAAGTGCTGGGATTACAGGCGTGAGCCACCATGCCTTGCCAAGTCTTAATGTTTCTTTACAAGAGAGTGAGGGGAAGCTCCCTGTACTCAATGAGACGTGCTAGCCTCCACAGGCCATGTTCACTCCAAGGACACTCATGGGCTACTGAAGCCAGCACTGAGTCGACAGACCCCCTTCCTCTGCTAATGCTCCCCACTTCTCAGTCCACCTCCAGGGGAACCGACCTCCATCAGGACAAACTCAGCAGGGATCTGCAGCCTAAGGTCACCCTGGCTAAAAAAAGCTCAACCATGACACATGCAGTTGTTGAAGCTGCCTTAAATACTGCAGAGGCAGACTGAAAAGCCCCTTTCAAAAGGAAGAGAAAGCATCTGTGGGCAGGGGGAGTTCAGCGTGGCTGCTCTGAGCCAACTCTGTAACTGCTGAAGACAAACAGCGGCACTTTGCTGTTCTAAGGCCCTGGAATGACTCAGCCATGCAGCTGGGGCAAACACACTCATCCGCTGCCCGCCTGCCTGGCTCCTTAGACCTCTGAATACCAGGGAAAGGTTGGAACCACCTAGGTTGGGATCAGGAGGTCCAAAGCCCACCTATGCAGGGAAACACGAACTCCTATTCTAGGGCAGGGCAGGCAGTCTCACCTCCTCTTCCCTGCACTGTTCCCTTGCGGGGCTTCCTGCCTCTAGTCTCGGTCCCGACCACCACACTCCCACTGCTCCTCACCGCCTGTACGAGCACATCCCAATGCCTCAGCCTGGATCACAGGGCATTGCCGATCTAGCTCAGCCTGTGCCTCACTTCTTGTCCTTCTGTCCTATGCTCCAGAATACAAGCCACAGTGCATTTCACACTATGGCCCAGACACCAAACCATGTGACTGTGAATGCTCATGAGCTGCTGCTTCTGCCCATAACACTGTTTGCCACTCACCTAATGTTCACCAAGCTCTCATATGACAGGTGCTGGCCAGATTCTAGAGACAAGCACCTAGAGAAGACACGGCTTCCCCTCTGTCCTACTATCTATTCGTCTTCTGAAACTCCCTCCAGGCTGTCCCAGGGCCCTCGTTGGGTTCTGCCTATGCCTCAATCTTAGAACATATTACGGTGTCATGACGAAATACTTATGTGTCCACCTGCACCTCACCCACGTGTCTGACAGCCTCTCCGGGGAAGACGTTTGTCTCAGCTTTTCTGCAGCTCCCACCTGCACACTTCCTAGGCCTCCCATGCCTCCCACGAGCTGGCCCTGCACGCAGATGTGGGGTGAGTGCTGCGGGGCCGCCAGAACACATATCCTGGCCTCAGGGCTGCTATTCATGGCCACCGTTCTTCCCTGAGGTCCAAACCCTTGAACTCAGAAGACCAGAAAATAAGGGGGGGATGAGTTTCCTCCTGCAAGGTCTGGCTACCCCTATATTTTAGAAGTTTCCAGCTGTCTGAGCCAACACTTCCCTTGCTCTTTAGTGTTGGGCAGAGATTCAAATATCCTAATGCTTGAAGATCAACCATTAGGCCCATGACGGTCCTTGCCAGCTCACCAAACAAGGCAGAACTTCCCTCTCCTGTCTGTCATCTCCACTGACAGAGGAACTGTCGCAGGCAAGCCACTCCCATCTGCTCTGCCCTCCTGCCCTAGGCAGGCCCAAGGGACAGTGGGAATGGGTCCTGGCTGGACAGAGCTGTCTGCCCCTCGCTCATCTCTGGCTCAGCCTCTTCTCCTGCCCTCTGGCTCGCACTGTGACTCTGCACTCAAGGGAAGAACATACACAGACATGAGACCAGAGACCCCCTTGGGCCAGCGATACGACGGCTTGGGCCCTTGGAGAGTCAGGGAGGCCCTACCTCAGACTCAGACTCCTCGTGGGATGCGGCCCTCCGGTAGCGGACCTTGCTCCCATTCCTCGAGTCCTGGTTGGCTCCCCTTTCTTCTAGCTTAGCTTTCGTCTTCCCCTTTCTCATGAGGAAATTGTCCACTACCCAAAACATCAAAGCCTGTGGGAAGGAAAAGTGCAGGTTACTTTGGGATAAACCATTTTTCAAAGCAAAGCCGAACAGCCCCCATCCGCCCACTCCCATTCCAGGTTATAAGATCCAGAGCTATGGAAAGAAAAACCCAATCCAATCACCCTGCTCTCTCCCAAAGCTTAGAAAGAGATTCCCAGTCTCCACATCCTCGGGTTCAGTTTTCTGATCAGAGTGTGCAAGGAACGTGCCCTGACGGGTTTTTGTTGTGGTAACTAGGGGGAACAGCCTGTTTGGGGCCTGGAAGCAAGGTCTCTGGACACGCGTTCCAGGCCCCTCCCCACAGACTCCATGTGGGTGGCCGGCACACCCTGCTGTCATCTGTTTGTCCCAGCTTCCCTCACCACTTCTGTTTCTTAACTTCGAGCCATTGTGCTCGGGAGTTTCTCAAGATCCGTGGTCAGGAATGAACGATGGGTACGTTTGGAACAATCCTGAACTAGAGGCTGGCGCTACACATGGGTGGGGCTTCTTGGTGGGAGGCCCCTCGGCAGGGAGGACAAGACAAAGCTCCCAGGCCCCTCCATCCTGGACGGGAGCCCTGGTATGGGGCCCTGCCTTTTGAGGGGGTAATCCTGCCATTTCCAGGTCTGGGGGTGGGAGAGGTGGCAAATGGTCACGCAAAAAGACCTGAGGGCTACAGGTGAGCTTTCTGTCAGACTCAGAACTTTGGACAGGAACCCTGCCAGACAGGGAGCAAATCGGGATAAAAATGCAACATGGCACTGACGTTGACAAAGAAGGGGACGATCAGCATGACGATGGCCAGCTTCAAGTCTGGGTTTTCAATGGGATTCAACAGGGCCACCTGTAAAGAGAAGCAGACTCAGTGAGGTAGGGAGAGGCCACCGAGAGTGTGCCTGGGGTGGGTGGGTGGTACCCATAGGCCCTGAGGGAGCCTTAGCTTAAGACGCTTCCTCCAAAGCCCAATGGGAGCAGCACCTCATGCCTAGGGTTCCCAGATGAGACTGTCCACAAGGAACCCTTGGAGACCACATTAAGCATCTGGTGCTTTGGCAGCTTTCCCCTCAGTGTGGACTTGCAAAGTGCAGTGGGCTTACAGCCACCAAGCCAGGGCAAGGCAAGCAGTGCCCACCGGGAGAGTGGAGTGTGGGCTTCAGGGGGCTGGAGGGGTGAACACAGTGGATGCTCATTATAGACACCAGCAATGAGGCCCCAGACCACTTTCTAACAGAAATCCCACACCTCAACCACCCCTAAAAGACAACAGCACTGAAAAGCCTTGGCTTATTTTCTTAAATAAAATCCAAACACAAATAAAACCCAAAGGAGGCCAAGCTGAGCCACTTGTTCTCAAAGCTTCTGGCTGGTCTCATGTGGGCATTCGGGGATGAGGAGTGGGGGTTTATCTACACAGAACTGGGGTCAGAGGGCGGAAGCCACGGTTGGGGAGCCCGTGGGCTGGCCAGGGCATCGGCACACTGAAGGTCACAGACTGTGGAAGCTGCCCGTGGCACCACATGGCTCAGTTAAACTACCAGCCAAGAGAGGTGTGTGACAGGATGTTTGCCGATGTAGAAACATGTATTGTCGCAAGGCCTAAAAACCACCATCAGATGGTAGCAAGCCGAGGGCAGGGACTGTATTTCATTAGTTTTATACATCCCAAGGCTTCATCTAGAACAGACATTTAAAGTGGATGGATGCTAAGAATTGACAAGCTCTTTGGAGTAGTTGCCACATCAGACCAAATGCAGGACACATTCATAGAGTTAAAACAAGTTTGGTTTTCCTAGAGTTGGCGTATGTGGGTGATGGGGAGGAAGTGCTGCTTGCTCAGCGTGGCAAGGAGCTGCTCATGCAGGGACGAAGCAAACCTTTTTCCACTGAAGTATTAGGAGGACGATGAAGACGACAGACTTTTCAAAAATCATGATCACGATGTAAAGAGCGCACTGCCCGACCCAGGCTCCACACTGCAGAGGGTCTCCTGCAGGGACAGGCGGGTGCTTAGTCACATGGGGCCCAGGCATCTGAGTGAGATGATGTCCCCACCCCACTCCCCCACACGCACCCCAGAACACTGGCTCTAAAGCTCTAAAGGTACTTAATGAGCCCCCCCAAAAGTCCAAAGGATTACCTCATCCTTAACAGACAAATGCAGTATTTTAAATAAAATCAGAGAATTCCTTATTTGAAGATACTAAAATGGCCTTTCTTTTAAGAGATTCTAAGATAGGATTAAAAAGCACTAAAGTTAGGAAGTGCTCATTGCTGGAGCTCAGAAAAGCTGTTCTTTCTGCCGGCTGGCAGCAGAAGCTGTATGAAGCAAGACTGCTATTCTTATCCGTTGTTGATTTTTCCAGTGACAGCGGGGCTGCCCCTCCCTTCTCTGTCCATGAGTGGACTGATGTTTGTGGATGATGAAGCAGGACCCAGTCGCTTTGTTTGTCTCCCACCTCCCCACCTCCCATCCCTTACCCAACTCCCCGGGCCATCCCTGATACCTCAGCCTCTTGAGAGCAGAAACGTGACTCTGGAGGAATTTGGACTCTACCTGTCCAGCATGGGTCACCCCAAACACCTTGGCCAGGGACAAGGAAGTGAAGAGAGAAGTCCTTGGGGCAAGGAGGTGGGAGGGATGGGCCGGGGCCCAGGGCTGTGACAAAGGTCCATCTGGGACCCCTTCAGTCACCATGCTTGAGAAACCGAGGGACCTAGTAGTACAAGCTGGAGGATGTGCAGGCCTTGGAATGCCTCCAGGACATTTTGAACGGAGAGAAGACCAGCCCCTCCAGGGAATGATCCTGTGATATGAAGAACCCTAGGGTGGCTCCTGGGAGCCACATAGGCCTCCCCAAAGTGGGAGACCCAGGGGAGAGTGGGATGTGGGAAGGTTGCCTGGGGCTCACCCTGGAAGTTCTGCCAGAGCTGCCTTACCACAGCTGGCCAGAAGAGGGGGTACAGGGTAGCATTTTGGGGGTGGCGGGGGGGCGGGAGGCTGGGGGGTAAAGGCCGTAATCCAGGCTATGAGAAGATAATTTGGTCCAAAGAGATATCTCCAGCTTCTCACTTGGCTTTATTGTTTCTGCAGCAATCCCTGTTTGGGCACCCATGCTGGAGGCCCATGCCCTGCCCAAGCCTGTCAGCTGTACACAAGGGAATGACTTTATGCAGCTGCAATGGACAAAACACCAGGCCATTCCCTTTTCTGGAAAACCCTGGGAGAAGTGTGGCAGAAACACATCAGTCGCCTCTTCTGAGGTCTTCCTTTCTACTTTCACTTAAGGGATAGGAGACATTTGAGCCAAAAAACCCATTTCATAAGCATAATCCCTCCTTGCTAGGTTGTTAATGAGTTTTGCAATCCTTTTCCTTTCGGTAAGTCACCTAACCTTATCGAGAACAGTTCTCAAAACAACAGATGAACTTATTTGTGAGAAACCATTAAGTAATTAAGTAGGTTTGAGGACAGTTGGACAGAAAGCGCCACTAGGAAATCTCTCTGTGAGGACTGGAGTGTTTGGGAGCCAGCGGAGCGCGCGGCACCGCTTATTTACTATGGAAGGATGTCCGCTCGCTCAGTGTGCTCACTCCATCTGCTCTTCAGTTTTAAGTGACTGACAAGGAGGAAAATGCTTTTCCTCCCATACGCCTCACATTGCCCCAGTGTTCTAGGTTTCTGCTACACAACTTAGCTACAGCTGCCTCTTTAGATGCTAAAATAAGAAAGTTCAGAAACGTGAGAAAAGAGAAAAAGCACCTGTGACCCCGTCTGGCACACCATTTCCTCTGGGAACCCAGATCTCACGCAGCCACCGTTGGGAGAAGCACACGTGGCTGCTGTGTTTCCTGATTCCTGTTTCACTTGCGAGTCTTTCAGATGTCCCCCACAGTCTCCTCTTTAAAGGACAGACATGCCAGGCAGTGTTGCATGTCCTGCTTTGTCATTGCTGTTATTGTTTTCTTAGAGATGGGGTCTCACTCTGTCATTCAGACTAGAGTGCAGGGGCATGAACACGGCTTATTGTATCCTCAAACTCCTAGGCTTGAGTGATCCTCCTGCCTCAGCCTCCCAAGTACCTGGGACTAAGAATGCATGTCATGTGCCTGGCTAATTAAAAAAAATTTTTTTTTTTGTAGAGACGGGATCTTGCTTTGTTTCCAAGGCTGGTCTTAAGCTCCTGGGCTCAAGCGATCCTCCCCGCTTAAGCCTCCCAAAGTGCTGGGAATGACAGGTGTGAGCCACTGCACCTGGACCTTGTGTGTCTTGCTTTTTACTGCAATGAACAACCTCAGGCATGTGGGTGTTTTGTTTGGGTTTAATTATTTCCTCAGTAGAAGTCACAGCAATAGGGGCCAAAAGGAGGGAACACATCTGTGGCGAGAGGCTTTCAAAAGGGAGAGTTTGGCCAGGGATGGGCAGCAAGACCCATGAAGCACCGTGACCCAGATGTCAGGGCTTCCACATGGGAAAGAGTGGCCTGGTAATCAGAGTGCAGACACCATGCGTCACCTGGATCTGGTCTCAACCGCCGGGGCTGTGTGGCTTATTTCCCTGAGTCCCGCATTCTCATCAGCAAACTCTTGGCCTTCTCTTCTAGGAACAAAAGACACATCCTAGAAAAATAAGCCCCTCTTCTTCATTTACATGAGAAGAGAGCTGTGGTACCTCTTCCTCAAATGGATGGGCAGGATAACAGGTGTGGGAGGTGGAATAACAGCCCCACACAGTTGCCTACATCCAAATCCCTGGAACCTGTGAGTGTGTAGCATCACATAGCAAAGGGGAATTGAGGCTGCAAATGGAATTAAGGCTGCTAGTCAGCTGACTTTAAGACAGGGAGAGTGTTCTGAGTGTCCAGGTGGGGCCAATGTAATCACAAGGACACTTTAAAGTAGAAGGCTGCAGGAAGTCAGGGCAACTCGATGTGGGATAAACCCAGCGACTCTTGTTGGCTTGGACGACGGAAGGAGGGGCCGCGAGCCAAGGCTTACAGGCAGACTCTAGAGGCTGGAAAGGGCGAGAAAACAATCTTCCCAGAGGCTCCAGAAGCCAGCCCCATTGACACTGGGACTTTAGCCCAGTGAGACCCATGACAGACTTCTGAACAAAAAAAGATAATCAACTTGTGTTGTTTCAATTTGTGCCATGAAGTTTGTGGAAATCTGTTACAGTAGCAATAGAAAACAACAGAAATTGATGGAAATAGAAAACAACAGGTAACTGAGCAGACAAGCTATCCTTCCTCAGCCTGGGGAAGACTCAGGATGGTCCCCACAGCTTTATTTGGAGACATTCTGGCTTGAAGACTCTGGCTCCCAAAGGCAGTGGTGGGATGACCCAGGGGCAGGGGCTGAGGCAGGCCAAGAGATTGAGAAAGAGGCTGAAACAATATCACTGCCTTCTTCCTTTCCATCCACCCTTGGGGATGAAGACAAAATGTGAGGGAACAGCTGGTAGCGTTAATGCTTGATGTATCCGAACCAGACCTGATCTTCACTCCCAGGTCACTGAGTGGCACCTGACAGACTAGTGGTGACCAGTGGATTCACCTTAGCACTGGTCAGCTATAGTAGAGCTGGGAGCCACACCTTCTAGAAGGGATCTCAACTGCAAAGTAGTTGTGAGCACTGTTTGTGGGGGTGGTGGGAGGGTTTAGGTATCCTGGTGCAGCAGGCCCAGGCTCCCATAGCCATGCACTGGCTGGGTGAGCTTTGCGCGTCACTTAACTCCTTTGGGTGCCCATTCTATAAATGACGATGATGCTGTGCTGGTCCCCCGACTGTGGTCCATTTCTGTTCTGCAGCTGAGGACTCAATGACTCGCAGCTTCTCAGAAGCCTTCCCTGGAGCCATAGGAGGCACAAGCTGTGTGTTGGACACTATCTTAAGTCAGTGACTCATCAGGCATCAAGTACGGGGCTAAGAAAAGCCCTGCCCTGAGCTCATCTCCCCTCAACGGAGACAAACAATTACTTAACATTTCTGGAAATATCCAAGGTACTCATAGCCAGCTCCATGAATTGGCTCCCCTTTTAAACTGTCAGTGCCTTGTGAATCTTCAGCCATCTAGAAGTGAGTGGCCCTTGAGCCCACAGCCATGAGCTCTTTGGGAGGCATGACCAGGACAGGAGAGTGGGGATCCCGAATTCCATCCGCTCTCCCTCCCTCTTGTCCTCTGTGGCCCTCTCAAGGCAAAGGCTCCACTGATACTGATCCACCTGGAAGAGGAGCTTCTGTCTGCAGACACCTGGGGCCAGCTGTGAGGGTGGGAGAGAGCTGATGTTACCCCTAACTCTGTCCTGAAACCTCAGAGGGCAGTGAGGGCCTGAGGAAGGTGCCCTCCAGTACCAGCCGTGTGGAATGGCCTAGCAACAGGACAAGCACAGATGTGCAGCAGAAAGAGGGGCAGGGCTTGCCACCTCGTTATTGAACACCTTCGAAAAATGAGAGCTGCCCCATCTCTTTAACCTGGTAGGCAGGTGATGTGAGCTCTACAGGAAGCTTGGCAGAACGAAGAGTCCCTGCGGGCCTGTGTGTGGGACTGCTGGTGTCTTCCATTAGAAGGAGCAGACATTCAGCCCTCTCTCTGTGTCTAGTGTCTCCTGCCTCCTGCCACCTTCCCTGCCATAAGGTGAGGGCCTTGGTGGTAAAGCAGGCACCCACACCCACAGGAGGGTGTGCTCAAACCCAGAACAGCCCCCTCTACCACACAGAGAAGACAATGGCAGCTCCCCAGCCATTTCTGGATCTGTTTGCCTGGTGGGCCGCATGGGGCAAGGAGCAGAGACCTCCAGCAGTTCCCTCACGCCCTGTCCGGCATCCACAGCATATTACCATATTCGCCGAAGCGCAGGGACTCCCACTGCTGCCACTCTACCAGGACGCTGACGGCGCGCACCCCCACGTAGATGAGCAGCATGCCCACAGTGGCGTCCAGGAGGAAGTTGATGAGGTACCTGTGAGGACAGGGCACATGCATGGTCACGGCAGAAGCCACGGGGCCAGAGGTCATGGCTGATGCAGGGTGGCCTGAGGGAAGCGGATGGACCCAGCATTTGTTTGGGCCCATTCTGGGGGCTGGGAGCCCTCATGTGCCAGTGTAGCTGTCACTACCATGTGCTGAAGCTCATCAGGAGTGCGACCACCTGAGGGAGGTGAGTGAGGGACAAAGACACTTTAAAACTGCCAGTGCTGGCTGCGCGCGGTGGCTCACGCCTCTAATCCCAGCACTTTGGGAGGCCGAGGCGGGTGGATCACGAGGTCAGGAGATAGACACCACCCTGGCTAACACGGTGAAACCTGTCTCTACTGAAAATACAAAAAAATTAGCTGGGCGTGGTGGCGCGCACCTGTAGTCCCAGCTACTCGGGGGGCTGAGGCAGGGGAATCACTTGAACCCGGGAGGTGGAGGTTGCAGTGAGCTGAGATTGCACCACTGCACTCCAGCGTGGTGACACAGCAAGACTCTGTCTCAAAAAAACAAAACAAAACAAAAACCTGCCAGTGCTTCTGCCAGGCGAAGGTTCAATGGAAGACAGAGTACCTGGAAGCAGCCAGGGAAATCAACAGGAAACAGAACTTAACTGATGACAGAAACACCTAGGCAATGATTCTGCTCACTCCCTGACAGTCCAGCCCAGGAGGCCCAGAACAGTGCTGCTGCACCAGAGAGGTTCAGGAAAACAGCCTCTCGGGTTTCGCAGACAAAGAGGACAGGGCAACATGGCCTTCGCCCATCCCCATCTGCAGTCAAGCATAAGTAATATTTTTACACTGTTTTTTTCTTTTTTTGAGATGGAGTCTCCCTCTATTGCCCATGCTGGAGTGCAGCGGTGCAATCAGCTCACTGCAGCTTCCGCCTCCTGGGTTCAAGTGATTCTCCTGCCTCAGCCTCCCAAGTAGCTGGGATTACAGGCACCCACCACCACACACAGCTAATTTTTGTATTTTTAGTAGAGACAGGGTTTCATCATGTTGGCCAGGCTGATCTTGAACTCCCGGCCTCAAGGGATATGCCCACCCTGGCCTCCCAAAGTGTTGGGATTACAGGCCTGAGCCACCGTGCCCGGCCTACACTTTAAAGAGCGAGCTTTACTCCCCATGGGAAAAGGCAAGATAACTGGGGGAGTGAGAGGAGGAGGCTCTGAAGGGCATACCACATGAACTGTGTTCTTGTACGGTCTGTTTCCATCCGACACAAAATTTTTTCTCTCACCAAAGAAAGGCCCTTTTCCACTCACCCTCTCTTGAGGGCCTTGTACCCAGATCCAGCTGAGCACTGCTGACCACAAGCTCCAGCTCTCCATGGTAGACAGAGTGGGAGACAAGGGCACTGGGTCCAGTACTGACCCTCTACGATACCATGTGGCTCTGAAATCCTTGCAGGTAAGCTGCAGGACACCACACACTCCAGGTGTGGTGAGCTTTCCAGTTGCTGAGGCTTGAGACATTTTGTGTAGTCTCACAGCCTCCTATCCTGGGCTGGAGCTTTGGTGATGTGCACACAGCACTCTGATGCCAGAGGGCGCAGCCTGTGCTAGGGTAGGTCAGCAGGAAAACCAGTGAAAAGAGGGAGGGGGCATTTCTCCTGCCTGCCCTTCCTCTGTAAAATCACAAGGGGTCACTCTTAGACCAGAGATGGCAGGAGCAGCAACTGCTTCCAAGGCAATTTCCCTCTGGCCTGAGGCTATGCTGCTCTCAGATACTTTGTGTCCAAAGCATCTCACGCCTGCGAGAACAAGGACATGTGATGTACATACAGACCTTACTTTCATTCATTCACTTAGCAAACATTTACAAGCCTACTGTGTGCCATGCCTTGGGAATAAAGAGAGAAAGTTCTATGTTCCATCCTCAACACAGATGATTCTGACAGACAGCAAAGCATCATGTGGGCCCTGGAAGCCAGACTGGCTGGGCTCCATGACTCCTGAGCGGTGTGAACTTACAGTATATATAACCTCTCTGTGCCTCAGTTCCACCACTGTAAAATGGGGATGATCAAAGTCTCCATTAATATATGGCAGGCTGCTATGAGGACAAAGGGAGGCAGAAGATGGGGCCAGGATGAGGTAGGCAAGCCTCCTCTGCCACTCCACCTGCTAAGAGAAGCACTATGTGGGTGCCATCAGCAAGGAGGACAGAATATCATGGCCGGATTGAGGTCACAGATGGATTGCTCTGGGGGCTGCATGGAAGGCACATTGCAATGATAAGGTGGAAGAGGTCAATGAGGGTCAACAACAGTTTTGACCCTGAATGGCTGACGCCACAGAGAAGCCCTGGTGTGTCCTGGTTCCAGAGCAGAGACACTCCTGTAGGGCATTATCCTTCCTTGCCAGGGGCGGCTTGGAAACTGGGAGACATAAGGACACTAGAAAATCAAAGGACAGAACTTGGATTGATGAACAGAAAGCCAGTGCATGGGGAAAGTGTCAACACGCAAAGCCCTACAAGCCAACTGATAGCTGTGTAAGTGAGCTCCAGGACAGCATGTACAGGATGGTCTCTCAGAGGAGCACAGAGGAAAAGGGGAGCACCCTCTCCCCAAGCCAGAGGGAGCAGGACCAGCAGCAGAAAGCAAGGCCAGCCTATATTTTCAATGGAGGGGCAGCTGATGTTTGCACTCAAATAGGGAACACTTACAGTGAACAAGGGTCCTCTTCAGTGAGATCTGCTAGGTATACATTTGCAAAGTGGATGAACAGCATTCCTATGGCTTGTTTGGAAGTGTCTAAAAACCTGTACAAAATAAACCAGCACTGGTTATTAGCCTGACAGGAGCGCAATATCCAATTTGAGGAAAACGAGAAGACTGAAACAGGAAGAAAGCCACCCCAACCTTCCAATCACTGGTTATCTCTTCCTGGGGCCTTGAGCACTAACTCAGGCTTGGCATCTCAGCCACCTTTCAAAGCCTTCAATAACACTGCCTTTGAAAACCCTAAAAGGTCAAGGATTGATATTTAAAATACGTTTTAAATTTTTTTCTTACTTCAAAATAAAATGCTCAATCGCTGCTTTGTGATGAAGCCCAAGGTGCCTCTATTTTAAAGAGCTCCCATTCAACTTCACTCACAATGAGCTAAATTATGTGTGAAATTAACAAGACGTGCACAAATCCAGTACTGCAGCTGGATCCCTAAAGAAATTTCAGCTGCTGCCATTTAAACAATGGGCTAGATCAGGGTAGGCAAATTTTTTCTGTAAAGGACCAAAGAATAAATATTTGAGGTTTTGTGCGCCATATGATCTCTGTCTCAATTCCTCAGCCCTGCCGCTAGAGAATGATGCAGTCATAGACACAGCTATTCCAATCATACACACCGGGCCTGAGGGCTGTAGTGTGCCAGCCCCTGGACTAGATGGTAAGCATTTCAAAAAAGAAAAAACAAGGGTGTTAATCTCTGAGAGGAGCTAACCCCGACCCATGTGACAGGAGCATGGTGGAGACAGCGTGTGCCTTCAGTATGTCCTCCACCACCAGCACCAGGTAGCCATTCTCCTCTGTGGTCGAGGCACCTCTTGGTCATGGCTGTCTCTCACAGCCGCCCAGCTGGGCAGGGTCTCAGGACTGCAGAGATTATCCAGACCAACCCAGCGACGGTGGCTGGAAAATCATTCCCTAGACTCACTGCAAAGGAGGAGTTACCAAAGGACAACGTATGTAAGACTCAAGAGAGCCCCAAAGCTAGGTCTCCCACCAGGTCCTGCCCCAGCCCTGAGGTGGGAGTCACACATTCTAAAGTTAACAGGGTTTGAGAAAAATCAACGGGGGGAAAATAAAAAGAATTATCAAATTCGCCAGCAACACGTTTAAGAACAAGTACACGCTTAATAATTTTATCACAGTGATTACTGACGTTTCCTCTGAAGGATAAAATGGCTATTTTGTTAGGAAATGTAGAAGCCCAAGGCAGCCTAAAACAGGCAGCTTCTTGTGGACACAGTGCTGTCTTGAAGAGCTGACTGTATCCTTCCAAGTGATGTATTATTTTGGAGTTTTGTCTTTAGAACCTACTTCTGAAGCTTTACCACCATTTCACGAAGGAAAAATTGTGACTGCAGGATCATAATCTGTGAAATAAATATATGCTTGATGTATATATCAAAGTCTATTTAAGAAATATATGTATTTGGTCTCTGTCCTGGTTTCTGACACAGAGCTCCTAAAACACTTGTAATCTCCTGAGTAACACAGGTGCTAAGAGGAGTTTTTGTTCTAGTATTTGGTCTCTGGCCTTGGTCCTGATACGAGCACCTAAACCTCATGGAATTTCCCGGAAGACAGGAGCCTTTTGCTCTAATGAAGGAAGTCTTAGTGGGCTCCTAGATAGCTTCAGGATGGGGCTAGTCACCAAAAGGACCAAGTCATGATCAGAAACTTAGAACTTTCAGCCCTAATCCCCCACCCTCCAGGGAGAAGGGAGGGGCTGGAGACTGAGTTAACAATCAATCATGCCTACATGATGAACCCTCCATAAAAATCCCTAAACAATGGGATTTGGAGCGCTTCCGGGCTGGTGAACACATCCATGTGCTGGGAAGGGGGCACACCCCAACTCCTGTGCTCAGGACACTTCTGGACCTCGCCCTATGCACCTCTTCATCTAGCGTTCATCTGTGTCCTTTATAATAAATCAGTAAATGTAAGTAAATGTTTCCCTGAGTTTTATGAGCCGTTCTAGCAAATTACTGAACCTTAGCGGGGAAGTGGGGGTTGTGGGAACCCCTGACTTTATAGCAAAGTTGGACAGAAATGTGGATACCCTGAGGACCCCACTACTTGCAACTGGCATGAAGAAGGGGGCAGTTTGTGGGACTGAGCCCTTAACCTGTGGATTCTGTTCTAACTCCAGGTAGTTAAGTGTCAGAAGTGAATTAAATTATGGGACACCCAAGTGGTATTTGCAGAGTTGGAAAGCTGGTTGATGCTGGGGGAAGAAAACCCTCATATATTTGGTGTCAGAAGTATTTTGAGTAGAGAAATAGTTTTCCTTTATGCTAGGACCAAGAAAGACTCGTTTGGAGAGAGGAGCGTTTATATGCTATGTTTGATCTCCAAATTTAGGCTAGTTTTTGCTTGCACATACAGAACACAGAATCCAGGAATTTAAACCAAATCTAACAACAGGTAGACATAGATGAAGGAGCCAGCATCGGGGACTGATGTATTTGTGTATCTTCCATCTTCTAGAAGTGGAAGCAGAGTGATTCTAAAATAAAGGTAGGATCAAAAGTTACCTGGAGAAACAAAAATGCTTTCATAATATACACAGTTCCTAATGAATTTAATTCAGGGATTCCACATACATTATATTATGTATCATTTCTCACATTCCATGCCCTCCCCACTCCAACACCATACCCCACCCCCAGCCCCAAGACCCCCAACATAGTCAAAAGCACTCCAGAATGAACTAATACCTAAACACATACCATATCCTCCACGGACGTCTTTCATGCTTTGGTTCTCTGAAGCGTTTGACTGAAAGAAAAGACAGACATCAGTAGTTTTCCAAAGAAGTTACATAAAGCAAGATGCACATAACAAGCTGGGTTATCAGTCTACTCACTGTGTGTATAACCAAGGTAATACACACACTCTTTTAACATGTAACAACATACAGTAAGCCCTGCGAAGGTCACTGAGGTCCTGTGTTGCCGATGATTGGTATGGACTCTTTAGAACTGGACACTTAGGGAGAAGGACTCCTCATAGCATGTGGAAAACTGTATTTTTCCCTTTGTGACACACAAGGCTCACTCAGATAAGGATTGGTAATGACAAAGCGGAACGCAGCTGCTTCTAACTTCAGGATGTGCTCTATCCAAGGACAAATCCATCATCAACTCAAACGTTTACTGAGTGCCTACTCCAACCCAGGCACTAAGGATACAAAGGTAAAACCAGTTGTCTTGCAACCAGGGGGCTAGACACGTACATATCACATACGGTGTGACACGTGCTAGAGAAGAGTGAAGTCTGTCGCAGAACGATGGCACAAGGGAAGGATGGCCAACCCCACAGTGGGGACCGAAGTGTTTGTGTATCTTCCATCTTCCAGTGAAGAAGAGACTTTACTGATGGGGGACGGTCAAGCCAAGCCCTGAAGGCTGGGTAAGAATTTGGCAAATGGATCAGGGAGGGGAGAAAAGATACATTCTGGGAAATATCACAAGCCAACAGGTACAGGGACAAAGCATGGCAGAGTGTGTCTGGCCTCATTTAATTTGGCTTTAACACAATAGGTAACAAGAGAACCTCCTGGAGGAGCGGCAGGTAGCAGGGTGACAAATTGAGCAGGGGCCAAATGAGGGAGGGTCTTGAATGCTGGGCCAAGGAAACTAGAATGAATCCTGCAGGAAACGAAAAGCCAGGGAAGAGTTCTAAGCAAAGTCAAAGACATGTTGGGACTAAGTTTTAGAAAGGCAGCTCTATGGCCGGGTGTGGTGGCTCATGCCTGTAATCCCAGCACTTTGCAAAGCTGAGGCGTGAGGATTGCTTGAGCCCGGGAGTTCGAGACCAGCCTGGGTAACAGAGTGAGACCACGTCTCTACAAAATATTTTTTAAAAAGTAGCTGTGTGTGGTGGCGCACACCTCTGGTTCTAGCTACTCTGGAAGCTGAGGTGGGAGGGTCACTTGAGCCCAGGAGGTTGAGGCTGCAGTGAGCCAAGACTGCACCATTGCACTCCTGTCTGGGCAACAGAGCGAGACTCTACCTCAAAAAAAAGAAAAGAAAAGAAAAGAAAAGCTCTGTTAATTGAGCAGACAGTGGATGTCTGGGCACTCATTCAGCAACAACCTGATTGGTCTTGGATAGCAAAGAACTTGCCCGATTTACGTCTGAACCTTGGGTCTGTAGACACGATGGCCTGAACAAGAGGAAATGAAAAGTTTTGAAGCTACGTATCCTCCACTGAGGTGCTAGGCAAGTACTTCCACAATGATTCTATCTACTAAAACAAACACTGAAAGTGCTGCCTGTGTGATACTTTCCCACAGAAAAGTACCAAGGAAGAAACAGATGCTGTTGCAAGCCCACAGAAGATGCCTTGTTACTCCTGGTGGTGGGCAAGAACCAACTTCTGGCAGAGTCCTGAGCTGCCAGCGAGGGTGCAGGAGGAGAAGGGAGACAGGGAAGGAGAAAATGGTAGCCAAGACAGTAAACCCTACTCTCTGAACAAACAAAGGCAGTCTGCATTTGCCAGGCAAGGACTGCCTATACAAAGAATTGCAGTTACAAGTCTGTTTAGAGAGACATGTTGAGAGAGAGAGATCAACGAGCAGGTGAAGTTGTGAGGAGGTCTGTCATCTCTTTGACACATCACAGATCCCAAACCTCAACAACGCCAGAGAATATGGAGTTGAGGCCAAGAGGTTCTGCTTGCCTGAACAGCTCTTGGAAGCAGGAGGCCCCTTCCCTTAAGCATGCCAGGTCTCACTTGGGGGCTGGAACTCAGGAAGGAGACATGAGAAAACTAGGCCAGGACAAAACTGTTTGGAGGGAACGCCCCCAGTCAGGGCCAGAGCCACTGCATGCTCATTTCTCCTTCTGCTTCAGGGGAATCTGTCCCCATCACTGTAAAATAAAGGACATCAAATATATCTTGAGGGGCATGTCCTTGTTCCTAGGCGATGCATGCTGAAGTAACAGAGTGGCTGCAATTTACTTCTGAGTGGTTTGGGGGAATATATTATACATTATAATTATGTATAATAAATGTATTACATTATAAATGGTTTTATAATTATAAGTAATACAACAAATTATATAATAAATCTTATAATTATATTATTATTATATATAGAGAGAGAGAGAGAAAGAGAAGCAAATGTGGTGTTATAGGCTGAATTGTGCCCCCACCTCCAAAGTCATCTGTTGAAGTCCAAACCCACAGCACCTCAGAGCGAGACTATTTGGAGACCAGGCCTTTGAAGGGGTAATTAAGGTTTAATGAGAGCTTTTTGGCGGGCCCTAATCCAATGACTGGAATCCTTATAAGAGGAGGAGATTAGGACACAGATGTGTGAGTGCAGCAAGAAAAGACCATGCAAGAACACTGAGAAGAGCGTCATCTGCAAGCCAAGGAGAGAGGCCTTGGAGGAAATCCAACCTGCTGACACCTTCATTGCGGTCTTCCAGCTTCCAGAAACTGTGAGAAAATAAGTGTCTATTGTTTAAGCCACCCAGTCTGTGATATTTGGTTATGGCAGCCTGAGCAAACGAAAACATGTAGCATGACAATACTGGTGAACCTAGATGAAAGATATTTGGCTATTCATTACACTATTATTTAGGCTTTTCTGTAAGTTTAATATTTTTTGAAATAAAAAGTTTGAGGAAAAACATCCCAGAAGAATGAACTAGTGTAACCATTCAAAGGTCAACATGGGCTGGGTGCAGTGGCTCACACCTGTAATCCAAACTTAAGGAGTGGATTGCTTGAGCCCAGGAGTTTGAGACCAGCCCGGGCAACACCGTGAGACTCCATCCTTACAAAAAACAAACAAAATAAGCTAAGTGTCTTGACGCATGGCTGTGGTCCTAGCTACTCGGGGAGGCTGAGTTGGGAGGATTGGTTGAGCCCAGGAGGTTGAGGCTGCAGTGAGCTATCGCATCACTGCATTCCAGCCTGGGAAAGACTGTCTCAAAAAAATTTAAAGAAACAAAAAACAAAGGTCAACTTGGCAATATCTATCAAAATTTTAAATGCCCATACTCCTTTAATCTGCAATGAATGCACTGCCAGATACATGCTATACAAGTATTATTGCAGGTGTGTCAGGATGTATAGGAATATTCACTGCAATACTGTCGTAACTGAAACTGATGCCTGTCGGTATGGGGTTAGGTCCATATGACACAGTACATACGTTCAATACAATACTAAGCAGTTGCTAAAAACGACAAGGTAGGCCAGGCGTGGTGGCTCACACCTGTAATCCCAGCACTTAGGGAGGCCGAGGTGGGCAGATCACCTGAGGTCAGGAGTTCAAGACCAGCCTGGTCAACAAGGCAAAACCCCATCTCTACTAAAAATACAAAAAAACTTAGCTGGGTGTGGTGGCGCGTGCCTGTAATCCCAGCTATTTGGGAGGCAGAGGCAGGAGAATCACTTGAACCTGGGAGGTGGAGGTTGCAGTGAGCCAAGATTGCACCACTGCACTCCAGCCTGGGCGACAAGAGCGAGACTCCATCTCAAAAAAAATAAAATAAATAAAATAAAATAAAATAAAATAAAAAACAATGAGGTAGATCTATATGGGCTAATATAGAAGATTTTCAAATTATATTAATAAATTCTAGAATAATATGCCTACCATGATTCTGTTCATGTCCACTTTGAATGGATATACATTTATGCTGGTATTATGTATTATTTTTTCCTAGAAGAATACATAAGTGACTATTAACAAAGGCTATGCTGGGTGTGATGGCTCAAACCTGTAATCCCAGCACTTTGGGAGGCCAAGGCATGAAGATCGCCTGAGGCCAGGAGTTTGAGACCAGCCTGAGCAACAAAGCAAGACCCATTTCTCCAAAAAAAAAAAAAAAAAAAAAAAAAAAAATTTTTTTTTTTTTTTTTTTTTTGCTGGGCATGATGGTATGTACCCGTAGTCCCAGCTACTTGGGAGACTGAGGCGGGAAGGGATTATTTAAGTTTAAGAGTGCCACTGTACTCTACCCTGGGGAACAAAGTGAAACCCTGATTCAAAAAAAAAAGAGAGAAAAAAAGAAAAAAATCCAAGGGCTACTTTTGATTAAAGGAATTATGGATCAAGGAATTCACATTGCTTTTATTTCAGAATTTACGAAAGAAAAGACAAACCTATCTCAGAGATTTGAGCCAATGTAGCAAAGTGGGATGTGGGAGAATCAGCGTGACCTACAGCTGGGCTTCAGACAAGGAATGGAGGAGAATGGTGTGCCCGTGCCTGTGGGTGCCCTGAGACAGCCACATATAGGAGCACCTTTGATCAAGTTCAGAATGGAATCAAATTCTTCTGAATCAGAGCAGAAGTGTGGGGCTGTGGGGCTCCTGCCTCCTTCCTCTCCACCTCCTATCCCCTTTCCCTAGAACAGTCCAGATTCTTTTTTTTTTTTTTTTTAAAGGAAGAGGAAATACTAAGAGAGCTTCTCCCAGTCAAATTTGGTAAAGGGGGTAAAAAAAAAAAAACAGAAAAATTCATTCATCTACCATCATATGTTATTGAGGGGCCTGCTGTGTGACAAGCCCCATTCAGCAGGAGATGAAATGCACAAAACCCTTGCCTTCATCACACCCTAGTAGGGAGAGGAATAACATATGGAGCATGGCAGACAGTGCCAAGCATGGAGGTAAACACAGAGGCAGGTGAAGAGAGAAGAGGGCTGGCACGTGGGGTCTGAACTGTCAATGAGGAGGTATGAAGGAGAGCCCACGCCCGAGGAAGGTGCAGGCCAAGTCACGAGGGTCTCGGGAAGAGCCGTCCAGGCAGAGGGCTGGAGGACAGCAGGCAGAACAGCAGGGCGTGCGGGAGAGGCAGCTGGACCTCCACCGAGAACCCAGGCTAAGAGCTCCACGTGGGCCTGTGTGTGGTGGCCAGGCAGCTGTAGCCACAGCCCAGCAGGCTCCCTCCAGCTGCTGTGCTGAGAGCAGCCCACAGGGATGGTATGGCAGCAGGGAGCCCACTAGAGACAACCACCCACTCCCATTCACCCCCCGCAGTAACTAGGACCACATGCTGGCACTGACCGGGGCAATAGGAGAGGGGAGAAGAGGTCAGATTCCGGTTGGGTCTTAAATGTTGAGCTGAAGGCTCTGCTGACAGTGGACGTGGGGTGTGGAAGAAAGGATGGCTGGGGCTGACTCGGGAGGTGGGAGTTTACACTGTTCCACGTGGTGGCGGGGGTACTTATCTCCAGGCAACAAACAAGGAGGGGTCTCTGTGTACCTCACAGACAGTAAGCCAGGCACCCTGTCCCACGGAAACAGTTGTGCCCTGCGTGGGCCTGGCAGCTGCTCCTGCAGAAGCCACACCATGCTCAGAGTGGCTCAGGCAGGGTCCTAGGACCACAGACCTTTCTTCATTAGTGGTGCTTTGCAGGATGGAGGGGACTTGCTCAGATGGAGCCAGAGCCAGGAAAGCATAAGCCACCCTTTCTAACACATCCTCATCCCCACACACCCCTGAGGCGGAGGCTGATGGAGGGTAGCAGCCACACCTCAAGTGCAGGTCAGGTTCCCGAACACAGAGCTGGAAGCCAAGGCTGATGGAGTGATTCCTGCAAGAGCCCTACTGAACAGAGAGAGGGGAGAAGGGGAAGGTGGAGACTGAGGCCTGCAGCACTCAGCGGCACTGCCTCTGCACACAGGTCCCATTCCATTGCTTCTGTGATGAGATGCACCAATTGTCCCCAAGCCACAGCAGGCTCCTAAGCAGACTCGCGGCCTTTTGTGTACAGGTGTCCTGAAGACAGGCATGGGTCTCATCAGCCCTGAAAAGGAGGAGTGGTCAACAGCCTGGGCACAGTCAGACAGATGTGGCTTTGAATCCTGTCTCTGCTACTATCTAGCTATGTGACTTTTGTATATCACAAAAAAGAGGAAGGTGGGGGGCTGCTATGACCGGCTAGGCACGTTGTCTCCAGGATTAAATGAGAAGACAGATGGAAATGTCAGTGATGAACATGTGCTCAGGAGAGCATGCCTCACTGTGGAGTCCCCACCCTGCACCCTGTCTTCCCTTTCCTCTGTGTGTCCGTTTTCCCCACTCCCGGGGCTGAGCCATCCCTGTCCTGGTTTCTGTGAAGCGTGAGACCTTGGGTCTGCCAGCTGCAACCCTCCATACCAATCCCTCCTTTGGCCATCCAGGCAGCAAAGGGGCCCAATCCTAGGAGGCTTCTATGATTCTCCAATCCTGCTCACCTCCCTGCCATCCTCTCAATGCTCTGAATGTTCTCCTCTATCTCCCGTGGTTCTGTCCTCCCTACACAGCCTCCCCTTCTTCCTCTTGACTCCTGGGGAGAAGTTCCCCTCTCAGGGCTCCTATGCCGAGGGCTTGCCAGCCTCTCCCTCCAGCCCTGGCCTCCCAGTGATGCTCCAACTGCAGGCTGGCCCAGTCTGCTGGGTCCCTCATAGCCAAGTTGTCTCCTGCCCACTCTGCTAGTCCTGCCCAGCTCTGCCATTTCTGCATAGAATGGAAGTGTCCTCACCCTGGGGCTCCTTACTCTCCTCCTTCCTTCCCACTCAGCTGTCAATCTCCCCTGCCAAGTTGTAACTGAAAAGTCTTCTGCATATGCCCCTTTCCCCATTTCTACTGGCAAGCTAACCCAGCCCCTCAGGACTGCTTTCCTGTGCTGATGAGACTGCCTCCTAACAGGCTTCCCTGCTCCGATCTCTTCAACTGCCTTTCCTATCCACCCACCCATCCACTCCACCAGCACTGAGCACTTACTCTGTGCTGGGGATACAGTAATGGACAATACAGACATGGTCCTTGCCCTCAAGGGGCTTTCAGTCTAGTTATGCTGTGTACCATCTAACTTGCCTAAAAACTTGCCTCATCTTAGAATCAAAGTACATCTTTTGGAAAAGGTGAATATATGGAGAGTATATAAAATTCAAAGAGTATATTATTTTAGTAGTGTTGTATGGTATTTTTTTCAATCTCTCTTCTTTCAATTTTATATTTAAGTGTAAGAAGCATATAGGTGAGTTTTCCCCTCAAAATCTAGTTGGCAATGATAATGGCTGAATGGTGGTGTCCTACGTGGTATGTCCCACAACCCCTGATACCTGCAAATGCAGCCTTATTTGGAGAAAAGGTCTTGGCAGATGTAATTAAAGATCATGAGATGAGATCATTCTGGACTAATCTGGTGGGCTCTAAATCCCATTACAAGTATCCTTATGAGAGATGGAGGAGAGATGGAGGAATAGAGACAGAAGGGGAAGAGAAGAAGGACCTGTGAAGATGGAAGCAGAGAATGGAGTTATGCAGCCACATGCCAAGGAATCCTGGAGCCACCAGAAGCTGAAAGAGGCAAAAAAGGGTCCTCTCCCAGAGCTGCTGGAGGGAGTGTGGCCGCTGCCCACACCTTGACTCTGGACTTGGGGCCTCAGAACAGTGAGAAAACATTTCTGCTGTTTTAGGCCAAGAAGTTTGTGATTATTTGTTATGGCATCTCTAGCAAACTAATAAAGATTCTTTTCTCTTTTTCTTTCAATGAAATTCAGAGTACATGTATTAGTCCGCTGCTGATAAAGACATACCCGAGACTGGGAAGAAAAAGAGGTTTAATTGGACTTACAGTTCCACATGGCTGGGGAGGCCTCAGAATCATGGCGGGAGGCAAAAGGCACTTCTTACATGGTGGTGGCAAGAGAAAATGAGGAAGATGAAAAAATGGAAACCTCTGATAAAATCATCAGATCTTGTGAGACTTATTCACTACCACAGGAACAGTATGGGGGAAACCACCCCCATGATTCAAATTATCTCCCACCAGGTCCCTCCCGCAACATGTGGGAATTATGGGAGTACAATTCAAGGTGAGATTTGGGTGGGGACACAGAGCCAAACCACATCATTCTGCCACTGGCCCTTCAAATCTCATGTCCTCACATTTCAAAATCAATTATGCCATCTTAACAGTCCCCCAAAAGTCTTAACTCATTTCAACATTAACCTAAAAGTCGACAGTCCAAAGTCTCATCTGAGACAAGGCAAGTTGCTTCCACCTATGAGCCTGTAAAATCAAAAGCAAGCTAGTTACTTCCTAGATACAACAGGAGTACAGGTATTGGGTAAATACAGCCACTCCAAATGGGAGAAATTGGCCAAAACAAAGTGGTTACAGGGCCCATGCAAGTCCGAAATCCAGCTGGGCAGTCAAATTTTAAAGCTCCAAAATGATCTCCTTTGATTCTAGGTCTCACATCCAGGTCATGCTGATTCAAGAGGTAGGTTCCCACAGTCTTGGGCAGCTCCACCCCTGTGGCTTTGCAGGGTACAGCCTCCCTCCCGGCTGCTTTGATGCGCTGGCGTTGAGTGTCTGCAGGTTTTCCAGGCTAACAGCGCAAGCTGTTGGTGGATCTACCATTCTGGGGTCTAGAGGACAGTGGCCCTCTTCTCACAGCTCCACTAGGCGGTACCCCAGTGGGGACTCCGTGTGGGGGCTCCGACCTCACATCTCCCTTCCACATTGCCCTAGCAGAGATTCTCCATGAGAGCCCCACCCCTGCAGCAAACTTCTGCCTGGGCATCCAGATATTTCCATACATGTTCTGAAATCTAGGCGGAGGTTCCCAAACTCCAATTCTTGACTTCTGTGCACTCGCAGGCTCAACATTATGTGGAAGCTGCCACAGTTTGGAGCCTGCACCCTCTGAAGCCACAGCCTGAGCTCTACATTGACCCCTTTCAGCCATGGCTGGAGCGGCTGGGATGCACGGCACCAAGTTCCTAGGCTGCATATAGCACAGGGACCTGACCCACGAAACCATTTTCTCCTAGGCCTGTGATGGGAGGTGCTGCTGTGAAGACCTCTGACATGCCCTGGAGACATTTTCCCCATGATCTTGGGGATTAAATTTGGCTCCTTGTTACTTATGCAAATTTCTGCAGCCAGCTTTTATTTCTCAGAAAATGGGTTTTTCTTTTCTATCACACTGTCAGGCTGCAAATTTTCCAAACTTTGATTATGCTCTGCTTCCCTTACAAGACTGAATGCCTTTAACAGCACCCAAGTCACCTCTTGAATGCCTTGCTGCTTAGAAATTTCTTCCTCCAGATACCCTAAATCATGTCTCTCAAGTTCAAAGTTCCACAGATCTCTAGGGCAGGGGCAAAGTGCCACCAGTCTCTTTGCTAAAACATAACAAGAATCACCTTTGCTCCAGTTCCCAACAAGTTCCTCATCTCCATCTGAGACCACCTCAGCCTGGACCTTGTCTACATCACTATCAGCATTTTGGGCAAAGGCACTCAACAAGTCTCTCTCTTTTCTTTTTTTTTTTTGAGATGGAGTCTTGCTCTGTCACCTAGGCTGGAGTGTAGTGGCGTGATCTCGGCTCACTGCAACCTCTGCCTCCCGGGTTCAAGCAATTCTCTTGCCTCAGCCTCCTGAGTAGCTGGGACTACAGGCGCCTGCCACCATGCCCAGCTAATTTTTGTATTTTTAGTAGAGATGGGGTTTCACTATCTTGGCCAGGCTGGTCTTGAACTCCTGACCTTGTGATCCACCCGCCTTGGCCTCCCAAAGTGCTGGGATTACAAGCGTGAGCCACGGTGCCCGACTGCCATTCAACAAGTCTCTAGAGAGTTCCAAACTTTCCCACATTTTCCTTTCTTCTGCACCCTCCAAACTGTTCCAACTTCTGCCTGATACCCAGTTTCAAAGTTGCTTCCACATTTTTGGGTATCTTTTCAGCAATGCCCCACTCTACTGGTACCAATTTACAGTATGATAAAGATGCATCCAAGACTGGGAAGAAAAAGATTTAATTGGACTTATAGTTCCACATGGCTGGGGAGGCCTCAGAATCATGGTGGGAGGCAAAAGGCACTTTTTATATGGCGGCGGCAAGAAAACATGAGGAAAATGCAAAAGCAGAAACCCCTGATAAACCCATCAGATCTCATGAGACTTATTCACTACCACAAGAACAATGTGGGGGAAACTGCCCCCATGATTCAAATTGTCTCCTATCAGGTCCCCCCACCCCAACGTGGGAATTATGGGAGTACAATTCAAGGTGAGATTTGGGTGGGGACACAGAGCCAAACCATTATCAGTACAAAATATATTCAGTGAAAAGTCTCCCTTCTGGCTGACATCCCAGTCCCTCTGTTTCCCTTCTCAGGGCCAACTACTGTCCCCAAGACCTTACATATCCTTTCAAAGACATGCTGGACAACCACACAGATGCACAGATCTGTGTGTGTGTGTGTAGGGGCGGTGGGGGGACACAAACCGTCACATGCTTTACACGTTGTCTAACCTTCCTGCTCTCACCTACTGTACACATGGCTCCATTTTCTTTCATTAGAGGCTACATGGCATCCCACAGTGTGGCTGTGCCATCTCATTTACTCTATGAGCTGCTGCCGCGAATGTCCCTGCCATGTGCTACCTCTGCCTGTGTGGGCCCATATCTGAGGGGCAGATTCCTAGAGGCACACTTGCTACATCAAAAGCTATGTGCGGCTTATTCTGTGGCGCCGCTCTCCACAGAGGCTGTGCCAACTCACACTCCCACTAATAGCACGAGTACCCATTCCCACATTCTTGCCAGCATGGTGTACTAGCAAACCTTCTCACTCTGACAATTTGATCGCTGAAGAGGCTGTCTCAGCACGGCTGCGGCGTGCACCCATCAGGCCACTTGGGTGCCAGGGCACCTGCGGGGCTTGCCACCGTCTACCGCCTTGAGGGGCCTGGCAGGGCTCCCAGTCCCACCCCATCTCACCTGCTCTCTCCTCTCGGACATGAGCCCAGAGCCCCTCCTTTTCCCCATGCTCACGCCCTCCCCTGAGGATACCAGGGTGTGGTGGTGCTCACTCTCCCAGAAGTTTGGGCAGTGCTACTGGTGCCACACAATAGGACAGCAATTATGGATGACTCAACTCTACCTGTCGACTTCACACAGCACCCAGGTCACCGACTGCTCACTTAACGCTATGTTGTTTGGTTTTCCACACGCCACTCTCACTTGGCATGTGGAGGGCGGGGACCAGGCACCCAGCTCGACTGTCCTCCTCAGAGCCCGATCTGGGCTGGCGCTCCACGTGGACCCACTGACTAGCAGAAGGAAGTTGGAATTTTACACTTGATGTCACAGAGTGGTAGAGTAACAAGTCAAAAAACACAGGCGTTGGAAGGGATATAATTTCCAGGTAGCAGCTGCAGCCCTATTTAGAAACTGAGTCAAAAAGCACAACTGTCTTGAGATTAAACACTCAATTTAAGGGAGGTGCAGCCCAAGAGATGCAGGGATAGGGGGAATGTGGTGGGCTCCTGTCAGGTGCAGGGAAAGGCGTGTGGCTGCATAAAGACAGGGAAGCCGGGGTCTCCCGGCTGCAGCCCTGGCTACCAGGTGGTACAGTCCCTTGCATCCCTCTTACCAGATGGCATTTTTCAGACCAGCAAAACATGGGTGGAAAATCACCCCCTGCTGAGGATACAGAACAGGAAGAGGCTCATGAACCTGGCAGGGCTCTTGGCACAAAGCTGCTCTTTGCCATGAAAATCCACCGAGGCAATTCAGTTAAATATTTGTATTGTTACATCTACAGTGTAACCTTAAAGCAGGAGGATCATCACAGGCCTCCCAGTGGCCATTTTAGCTTATGACTTTCCAAAAGTAGAAATGTAAGATGCTTTGGATCACTCTCCCTCACAGACAGCAGGAAGTCCTGGGACACAAAACCGCTGGTCCTTGTGTGAGACGTTGGACCTCAGTGCATGAGCAGGTTTCCCAACTCTCAGGAATGGGGTGCTCTGGAAGCCATGAGCTCATACGCCATAAGCCTGTATGCTTTCTTGTTCATCCCTGGGGAAAAATACTCCCACCTTCCAATGACCCGGAGGCAGAAACACACCCATAGTTTTGGAGCCCTCTGCCCCATGGCATGTTGCTGAACAGGACCACTCCCTGATGGCCTCATTTCTCAAGCTGTCTCACGGGCCAGTGCCTCCTGCAACACAGGCGAGTGCTGAGGCAGCGGACTCTTCCCCTGGGCAAGTGGCAAGCAGCGCCACCTCCAGCTGAATATCAGCTCATAAACTACGCAGTGTGGCTCCCATTCAGAGCCAGAAGGGTCCTTGAGTGTCCAACCCCCTCCAGGGTAGGGTGTGGAAAATGGTAGGGGAATTGACTTGTCCAGAATCACCCCAGCAGTTAGTAGAGGAGCCGCAAAGAAAGCCAAGTCACCCGGGCCAAGCCTTTCTCTAACCAGCACTGGTCAGGCCAGTGACCTCAAGCCATGCCTGGCTGGTCCTATGGAGCCCAGGCCCCCTCTCCACAATTCTTGACCAGGTCTCCAGTGCTCCAAATGGCAGAAACTGTCCTGAGGGGTGAGCAAATCTATCTGCTGGAGGGAACCAGCAGTCAAGGAAAAACCCAGAAGTGTTTCTGCACCTTCCCTAAGTGATAAACGAACATCCCAACAACCAGGCCCCACTCAAACCTCCTCAATGCCCTGTAGTAGGGCTAAAAACCCAGAGACGCCCAGGGAAAAAGTCCCCAGAAGTCACTGAGGTAGCCTGCTGGCTGCTTCCCAAATCCATTCTCTCATTCTTCCTTGCTAAGAGAAGCCCCTTGGTCAGGCAACTTAAAGACTATATTTCCCAGCCTCCCCTGCTGCTGGTGTGGCCATGTGACTCAGTTCTACCCTAGCAGAACTCTAAATCCAGGTCAGGCCACTTTTTAAGGAGAAATGGAGGTCCAGGTGATTCTTATGGCAGGGAACTAAGGGCAGTCAAGTCAGGAACAGCTTGAAATCTAGTTCCAGCTTTATCCAAAATTTTATGATTTTAAGCCAGTCACTTAACTTTTCAGAGTCTGTTTCTTCAGTTGTCCACTTCATGGGTTCACTGTGGGGAGAAGAGCAGCTGCCGTTATGGCTGTCATGCTGTCACCACCTATTGAGTACTCACGTCAGGAACTTGATTATTTTATTATTTTATTTTTTGAGACAGTGTTTTGCTCTTGTCGCTCAGGCTGGAGTGCAGTGGCGAGATCTCAGCTCACTGAAACCTCCGCCTCCTGGGTTCACGTGATTCTCCTGCCTCAGCCTCCTGAGTAGCTGGGATTACAGGCACGCGCCACCATGCCTGGCTAATTCTGTATTTTTGGTAGACAAGGTTTTACCGTGTTGTCTAGGATGGTCTCGAATTCCTGACCATAAGTGATCCGCCTGCCTTGGCCTCCCAAAGTGCTGAGATTACAGGTGTGAGCCAATGCACCTGGCCACACCTCAGGAACGTTATATCATTGCTTCTAATCTTTCTGACAACCCGGCAAAGTATCATCTCTATTTTACAGATAAGGTCATGGGGTTTGCCATTGCCAAAATGGCACCACCAAGAGTTGCATCTAAGTCTACCTGAATCCAAAGCCCACATTTCCCCTGCCATCTTGAGGGGAATACAAAACTGACTATAATCATCCAGTGAGAAAATCATCCAACTGATCCCTCAAGTTGGGAGAAAAGGCGCTGGTCTGGTGCTCAAAAAACTCCCAGAATCAAGGCCATCCCTTTGCCTTAGCAAGTCCTCCTGACTCCAGTCCTCTCGCCTGAATCCACCCCGACACTGGACCAGAGTGAACTGAGCACGCTGCTCCTGGCCTAAAACCCTCCAGTGCCAGCCCCACATCCCCAACATCAGAGGACATAATACAGGCTTTGTAAGTTGGCAAAAAAGGGCCCTGATGGCCTGGCATCTCCCACCTTAGTGCTGTCACTCATACTGTCCCCTTGGCGTGGGAGGGGCCCTCCATTTCTTCTCTTGGATAGTTCTTAGGCATTCTTCCAGATTGTTCCCACTGCTCTAAGACATCTTGCTTAGCTCCCTGCAATTGAACCAAGTGCCCTCCCTTCTCCTGGGTCCCCAAAGTCTCTTATGCACATCTTTGGACAACACTTCATATGCAATACTAAGCATCTGCCTGTCTCCCACTAGACAATTAGTTAAGGAGGGATACAGAGACCTTATCTTATTCATATTTATACCCTTGGCACCCAGGCCAGTACCTGGAATGAAGTAGGCACTTAACTACTAAACTGAACAAACAGAGCAGAACATACTGGTGTCCCATCACAAGTCAAAGGTGGCAGAGCTTAGTGTTTGCGAGTATGAGCTCTGGGTTCAAAACCTGGCTTTAGAGCCGACTGTGGGACCAGGGAGACTTGCTTAACATCTCTGGGCTTCAACTGGACTCTATAAGATGGAAGAAATTATAGTATACAGCTCACAGGAGTATTAATAAAACAATATACTTAAGAGTATTACAGCCATGCTTTGTACTTGGCAAGCACCATGCACATGCTAGCAAGAAGCAGCAGCTAGAGGAACTGCTGGAGGAAGAGTAAATCTTTAAGCACGAAGTCCACCTGCAGGAAACAAGAAAGCACACATCTGGCTTCAGCCTCCGGAGTAGCTGGGATTACATCATGCCCGGTTAATTTTTGTAGAGACGGGGTTTCACCATGTTGGCCAGGCTGGTCCTGAACTCCTGACCTCAGGTGATCCACCTGCCTTGGCCTCCCAAAGTGCTGGGATTACAGGTGTGGGCCACCACACCTGGCCTCTTTTTTTCTTTTAAATTATAAATCATTGCAGTAAGTTTGGAAACCAGGGAAAGAGAAAAATCATCTAAAATGTCACCATCTGAAAACAACCACGATCACTGGTGGTTGTATCACCACGGTTGTGGTTCCAAATCTGGCCTGCGCTTCCCACGTGGGAACGGACCCAAGAGATATCAAGCTACCCCAGGCTGGTCGGCCTCTGTCAGCCCAAAGGCTGAATGCTGGTGCTGGGAGGTGAGCACACGAGAGTGGCAACAGGGACAACCTGGGCCCACAGGAGAGAAACACGAAGCCATCAAGACTCTCAAGTTCTAGGCCTGCCATCCTCTGCCCAGGGTGAGGGCACTAGTGACTCCACGCGAAGTGAATGCATGGTGTCCTGCTGCGCGGGCAGGGTGGCCCCATGGGAGGCAGAGTGGCAGGTGCTCCTCAGGCTGGTCAAGCGAGTCTTCTTCTCCCGCCTCACCAGCAGCAGGGCAGGCGCCTGGGAGGTGCCCAGGAAACACGGCAGGATTGACAGGGAGCAGGACTCAGGACACCTCATGCTTTTAGCTGATGATGGGAGACCACCTCAGCAGAGTGCTGAGGTCAGGGGTCACTAAGGTGCTCCAAGTAATTGTGTCCCCTCTCACTGGAAGGTCTGGGGGAAGGCGGGTGGTGCCTGAGGAGCCTCCAGCACCTTCTCGACACTCCCACAACCACTCCCAAGGCTTCCCACTCAGGACCTGAGTGCCGCAGGTCCTGAATCTTGCCCAATTCCCCAGCAACCTTCACACTTGCCTACCCCACATCCTGCTCCCTTCATCGTTGCATTAGGAGGCAATTCAATCAAGTACCGCCACCTCCTGTCATATGGGATAGTGACTCGTGATAGTTTCATATGCTCAAAACCAAGATATTTTCATGCTGGAATTTCAGGTACCAAACAAAGGGTGACAGAAAAGCTATCTCTGAAGGGGGACCTTTTTAAACAACCCTCAAGGATCACACCATGTGGACGAACATCCACAGGCCTGTCCCGTCAAGAAGGCCACAGGACTCACACCCTGGGCAGAGAGGATGCTGGGGGCTCGGTGCAGCGGGGGAGCAGAACCCAGGCCGGACTGCTCACGACAGTCAGCAAGCACCTCATCTGTGTGGGAGCACCTGCGGCAGAACCCTGGCATCTCCCATCTTAGTGGGAGTTAGCCAGCACACGACCCTGGATTCCAAACCCACTCCTCCTGCCCCACCATCTAGCCTCCCCCTGTGGCAGGGACAGCTTCCAATGCCACCTTCTGTCACTCTTTTCCACAAAAGAGGCTCAGAGCAGAAGCCTCAGAGCCTCACTATGTTTCATTAAATAAGATGGGATTATTATTCACTCACTCACTCACTCATTCATTCATCCATCCACCAACCCATCCACCCATCCTCCACACAGCTGTCAGTGGGGTCTTTGTAAAGTATAAATAAAATTATGTCACCCTCCACTCAAAACTTCCATGACACAAATCTGTCAAAAGTCCAACTTCACATTTAAGATCTGTGCAATTTACTTCATGTAAACAATACCTCCATAAAATTGAAACACACAAACACAACCCCCCCATGCCTTTCCACGGCAGATAGAAGAAACGGCAGGCTCCTTCTCTGGCCAACGTCCCATGTGACTTAGGCTCCACATATTCACATGGGGCTTCTCTTGATGCGGCACCCACAAGTTCCACCCTGCCCCTGCCCCTCTGGCTCATGCGGCACCTTCCGTCTGGAACACTCTTCTCCCGGGTCACCAAGTGGCTGGCTTCTTTTTGTTCCTGTCTCAGCGCTCAGGAAGCCTCCTCTGACTGCCTCAACCACGGGTGTGCTTGTCCCACCTTGTCCCATCCCTCAGTCTCATTTCCCTGCTTGGTTTTCTTCATAGCATTAATCTCAGAAATTCTTACATTTTCTTACTACTGTCTTCTCCCTACTAGAAAGTAAGCTCTGTAAGACCAGGACCTTCTGCTCTGTTTACCTCTGTATTCCTAGCACTTAGAGGGAGCCTGGCTCCAAACAGGTAGCTAAACAGTATTTGTTGAACAAAGGAATTCATTCAGTCTGTCACTTTTAAGCCATATTTACTGAGTCCTGTCCAGGTGTTTACTGTCAATTCAACAAGTTTCATGAATTTCTGTGATGGGTTCTCCCAGAAGCAGTTTGCAAGTTATTAGTCCTACAACAGGAAGGACTAAACTGCTTTGGTTATGGATGATGTAAGCTGTACGCAAGACTGTCAGAGGCCAACTACTCCAAAACTTTCTTCCTCGTAAATAACTGGAAGTCAGGATGAACTGGCTCGGCAAAGACTCCCTCACCATATCTGACCTGATTTTTAATTATCTATTTTTTTAATTTTATTTTTTGAGACGGAGTCTCGCTCTGTCGCCCAGGCTGGAGTGCAATGGCACAATCTCGGCTCATTGCAACCTCCGCCTCCCGGGTTCAAGTGATTCTCCTACCTCAGCCTCCTGAGTAGCTGGGATTACAGGCATGCACCACCACACCCAGCTAATTTTTGTATTTTTAGTAGAGATGGGGTTTCACCATGTTGGCCAGGCTGGTCTCAAACTCCTGACCTCCAGTGATCCACCCACCTTGGCCTCCCAAAGTGTTGGGACTACAGGTGTGAGCCACCACGCCCGGCAACCATATCTGACCTTAAAAACAAGAAGCTGATAATCTGGTCTAAGTGCTCATGAACATTTTTTGGTAAAGACTTAATTTCTTCTGAACCAGATGAAGCCCAGGTTCTAAGTTTAGCCAGCTTTAATCCTGCTCCATGGAGGTTTGGCCGAAGGCTGAGAAATAAATAACAAAAACAAAAAGCAACAACCTCCCCCCACCACCCTAAATTGTCTAGCAAATAAATATGCTAAATTCTCTGAACACAGGCCTCCTTGAAACCACTGCTTCCCCCAGGAGCAGGGCTGTGGTGTCATCTGCTAAGATAATGATGGCAGTAGGAGCGAGGGGGCATTATCACTGTATGTGTGTTCCATGGGGGATTCTGTTTGATGGAAAGAAATACAAATTGCTGATAAACACATATGCAACCTTAATAACAGCAATTTTGAAGATGCAAATTAGTATTGATTTTTGCCCAGATTAGCAAAGGTTAAAACATTTGGTGAGGATATTAGGAAACAGGTACTCTTAAAACACTGGTAGAAAAGCGAGTTGTACAACCACTTGGTAAGTGTGGGGAAGTGGATTTGCAATTCTCGGCTCCAGAACCACCCAGGTTAAAGAAGTCATTAAACTGGTACCAAGGGTAGCCTCAGTGAACTAACTGAGCCTTCTGGGAACCAGACACTAGAGGCAGAGATATCAGAGTTGCTGCTCCAAGAGCCCTAGGGGTGGGGTGGGAGGTGCAGGGATGAGGCTTCCAGGATGCAGAATTTGACCTAAGAGCCAAGAGGCGCTGGGGACCTGTAAGTACTTGCTAATGAGGGCTTGTTAGTGTACGTTCTTCCTGAATACTGATGGAAGCCCCAAGAATAATGGGGCTGTCCTGGAAGGACCCTACCCTGTGAGCCAGTATCCTGGGCAGCTGGGGAACTCACAGAGAAATGCTGCATCTGCTCCTGCCATGCATCACCACTACACTGCTAACTCCAATTCCCTGGACAAATAAATTCAGGAATTTCATTCAATCTCATAGCGGGCAACGATATGTGTGTGTGTGTTTTCCACCAGTCCACAAAACACATGAAAAGTTGCGTCAGGTTATTTTGGCATATCTATCACGATTTTAAATGTTTATAAACTGTGACTCAGCTTTTCCTCTATAGTTACACCTCCACAAATGCCCACAAGTCTGTGTAGAAGAGCACTCACTGCAGCATTGTCTTTAAGAGTGGAAGATTTAGAAACCAGCTAAATGTCCATCGATAGGGAAGGGGTTGATCATATGTGATTATGCAATGGATGTCAACTGTGAAGTATACTTACAATGCGTGAGTTTTATGGTACATAAATTATACCTCAATAAAACTATTTAAAAAGTGAGGTAGATCTATCTGCATTGAAATGGAAAAAACCCTCATGCTAAATGGGGGGAAAAAAGCAAATCATTAAAACGGTCAATGTGTAATGTGAACCTATTTTTATACATCAACAAAAGATACACACACACACAGAAATTCAGAGGCATATACAATAAACTATTAACCATGGTTAGCTCTCTAGAGGATGGACTTACAGTGAACTGAACTTTCACTTTCTATGCTATGTCTTTTCATAATGTTTTAGTTGCTTACAGTGAGAATGTATTACTTTTGTAGTAACAACAAAAAAGAGGCTGGTCATGGTAGCTCACACCTGTAATCTCAGCACTTTGGGAGGCTGAGCCGGGCGGATCACTTGAGGTCAGGAGTTTGAGACCAGCCTGGCCAACATGGGGAAACCCAGTCTCTACTGAAAATAAAAAAATTAGCTGGGCGTGGTGGCTACTCGTGAGGCTGAGACACCAGAATCGCTTGAACCTGGGAGGTGGAGGTTGCAGTGAGCCAAAATCTTGCCACTGCACTCCAGCCTGGGCGACAGAGGGAGATTCTGTCTCAAAAAATAATAATAGATAAATAAAATAAAGGTCTCTGCTGCTAAAAACAATAAATTAAAAATGACTAAATTACAATTTTGCACATTAGATAATTAAAAACCTTCCTCAAACCCAACTCATTTAGAAAATCTCCTTCTAAGAGAAAAGCTTCCAGCAGGCAGAACTCACGAGAGACGGAAAATGCGCCACTTTAGTCTGCAACTGAACCCACATCAAGGAGGTCTAGGATCACTGCTGCGCTGTTATCTATGGTAGATGGGAGGTCCCTGTGCTCCTGTATGCTAACAGGCATAAGCTGGAATAAAATGTTCATTGTGTATGTTTCTACTTTTTTGTATTCCCCAGTTTCACTACCTCTTAAAAATTAACAAATAGTTCTAATTTGTGTTGGATAAGAGGACCTTGACTATAAAAAGTTTTCTTTACCCAAAGAACTGACCTTCACTGCAACCTTGTGGTTAGTCAAATTCTTAGAAGAAGGCATGGCCGTGGAGTCTGCATTTCTCAGAGGTAACACGTGTAGCCCCTGGCCAGCCCCACCACAGAAGCTCATCCTCAGCTCAAGCAGCACAGACATTAATCTCTCTGCCTCCTAGTCAGAGGAGACACCTGCTGGCCCCCTCACACAGTGGCCCCATCACACAGCAAATCGCAGGTTAGATTTCTGTCCCCGTAACCCAAGGCTCCCACACCATTCTAGCTGCTTAGAGTGGTCCCAACTTGGCAGAGAACAGAATGAATAACGGGTATGGAGAGGGGTACTTTTGATGTTGTTTTCACTCTTTGAATCTGGAAGGAAAGGGTGGGAGTCTTGAGGTCCACCTGTCAAGAGTTAAGTCCAGAAGCCAAAGGACATCAAAGTTGCCAATTCACTTAACTGGGTCACTCAACTTACTAGGATAAACCCCCAGTGCAGTAGGTTTCATTCATAAAGATGATTACACCTGCCCTCTTGACATCTGTAGGTCAAATACTTTAAATGCCATTCCCCAGCAGGGGTGGAGGGGCCACTCAGCCGGCCCCCTCCCTCATCCAGAAGCCCTTGTGAGCACTGAGAGGTACCCATGAGCAGCCAGCTCACCTGGAGAAGCAGTGTGAGGGTGGCTGGCAAGGACAGGCTCACCTGACATGATCCCCAACAGCACCCTGCTTTACCATCAAAGACAGCCTCCTCTACTCCCTAAAGCCAGTATGCATTCAACTGAGTTCCCATGAGGAGATCTGAGAAAGTCTCATCACATAAGGTGTTATCAACATCAGCAATACTGGTGGCCCTAGACACTTAAGCTAAATTAATTCCATCATTCCTCACTCAACCCTAGGAAGTGGATAGAATCATCCTAATTTTCAGATGGCAAAACTGATGCTCAGAGCAGTTAAGGAACTTGCTGAAGTCCAACAGGCAGCAAGCACTAGGGTCAGGACCAGAACCCAGGCCACTGCTGACCCTCACCTACCACTGAACAGCAAGGCACCAGCATCAGGACTGATGGAGCCTGGTCCCTTGATACAAAACGCAAAGCTTATCAAACTTGGGCCTTTATGTGCAACCCAGACAGCATTATCGAAAAACAAGAATGGCTTCTAAAAGAGAATTAGCTTAGAACACTTAAATCTACAGTTGGCCCTTGAAGAACATGAGTTTGAACTGCATGGGTCCACTTATACACGGATTTTCTCCCATCTCTGCCACCCGACACGGCAAGACCAACCCTGAATCCTCCTCCTCCTCGGCTTTCAATTTGAAGATCAAGAGGATGAAAACCATTACGAACACAAGTTTTCATGATAATCCACTTCCATTTAATGAATAGCAGATACATTTTCTCTTCCTTATGATTTTTCTTACTAACATTTCTTAATAACATTTTTTCTCATTTTATTGTAAGAATACCATATATAATACATATATAAAATATGTGTTAATTGGCTGTTTATGTTATTGGGTCAGGCTTCTAGTCAACACTAGGCTATTAGCAGTTAAGTTTTTGGGGAGTCAGAAGTTATATGCGGGTTTTCAACTGTGTGGAGTGTTGACTGCTCTAACCCCCACGCTGTTCAAGGATCAACTGTGGGTGGAAAAACAATTCAAGAATGTTATTCTACACTGAAGGTAGGTGGCTAGTGTCTACATTTATAATATATACATAGTCCAAAATTTCAAGGCTTGTGATAAAAAGTCAACTCAAGTCTTAATGCAGGTTAAAACTGAGAATGGCCATTGAAGTTCACTGGCACAGGCCACACTGGCTGAGTCCATAACAGGTCTCCTCTGACACACCCTGCCTGTGGCTGCTTCTGCCATCACTCTTTAACACAGCTCACGCTTTTGGGCAACCCAGTGCCTGCCTCTGCCAGACCAGCCTGAAGCTGGGAGAGGGAAGGAAGAAAGCCCATGTTTACCAAGAGTGTGCAACATCCCTCCACCTTCACATGCCTCAGCCACCTGCCACTGGCTGCGGCTCCAGGCTTGTGCTCTTGGGCTGTCATGACCAAGTGGCACAATGTTAGGAAGGTCAGTTCGTAGGTGGGAAGAGTTCCCTTTCTCATGCCATAGTCTAGAACAAACTCCCTGGACAAACCAATGAGCATAAGTAAATGTGTGCCATGGCAGGGGGCACAGAAACAGCAGTAAGAGTAGGCATTGGAGGGGAAAGGGCAGAGGCCTAGGACAGAGGAATTCTGGGTTCTAGTCCTGGCTCAGCCTCTGACCTGCTGGAAAGTCTCCGGTGAGCCATTCAATCCCTCCAGTTCGACCTGTACATGAAGTCTTGGATTAAGCTGTATTTTCCCAATTCTAATAACTGATGACATGGTGTGAACTGTCCTACCTCCCCAGGGTTGTGTGACGTGGCGGCCAGTCAGCCATGGTGGGCCTCAGTGAGCTAACACTCAGCACCCACCCTGCACCCGGCAGTGCCAAGCACTGTATCTCACTTAATTCTCATAACCCATTAAGATAGGTAATCACTGGCCGGGTGTGGTGGCTCACGCCTGTAATCCCAGCACTTTGAGAGGCTAAGGCGGGCAGATCACGAGGTCAGGAGATCGAGACCATCCTGGGTAACACAGTGAAACCCTGTCTCTACTAAAAATACAAAAAATTAGCCAGTGTGGTGGCACATGCCTGTAGTCCCAGCTACTCGGGAGGCAGAGGCAGGAGAATAGCATGAACCCGGGAGGTGGAGCTTGCAGTGAGCTGAGATCGCGCCACTGCACTCCAGCCTGGGCGACAGAGCAAGACTCCGTCTTAAAAAAAAAAAAAAAAAAAGACAGGTAATCACCTCCCCTATCTTGAGAAGAAGAAACAGTCTCAGACAGATAAAGTCAGACAGCACTGGAAAAACTACCATAATGTGGCCTGGTGGTCATGAGAGGCAAGGGACCAAATTTACGCAGTCTGATGCTAGACACCACGCATGTGACCAACAGGCTGTACCATCTCTGTTCCCTGGTCTAGGAACCCTATGGTCCAGGCTATACCACCTCATGCCCTGGTCTAGAAGTCTGATGGTCCTGGCTGTACCACCTCTGCTCCCGGGCCTAGGAACCCTATGGTCCAGGCTGTATCACCTCTTTGCCTGGTTTAGGAATCCTATGGTCCTGGCTGTATCACCTCATTCCCTGGTCTAGGAACCCTGTGGTCCCGGCTGTACCACCTCTGCTCCCTGGTCTAGGAACCCTATGGTCCTGGATGTATTAGTTTTGTTTCCTTGTGTAGAAACCCTACATTCCTGGCTACACTATCTCTGTTCCCTGGTCCCTTTGGATGACAAAGACTTTTCTCCCTGATTGTCTCGTGAGCCTACCTAAATGCATTTTTATTCTGATAGCATCGAACAGAAACATCTCCACTGGTTTTCCAAGGGCACACACCTACAACCAAGAGAAGCTGGCTGGTTATGAAGCTACATAAAGAAGTCAAGGACAAGTCCAAGTTCAGAGGACCAGCTCCCCAGGGTTCCAGAAGGCCATATCTAACCTTCTCAACAGATAAGAGCCGATAGGACACTGCCTTCAGGAGTGGGTGGGACTGCCAATAGCATGGCAGATGAGCAGTCTACTGAGAGGCTCCAACGGCAGTGCAAGTGCACGGATGTTGCGATAGCATCCACTGACTTTGTGAGGGTGTTACACCTTTACTCAAGCAAAAAAACTCTTCTTCTGGGAACACTGGGCTTTACCTTAGAATTTTATTGATGGAAGAGAATTAATAAGCATGCTAGGCAGAACAATTAAAGGAAGACCAGTTCTTCTCATGATACTAGAATTATTAAATTACACATAAGACCTTTGCCCTAGCTCCTCAGCCCAATGAAGTTGGCACCCAGAGTCTTCTCCTTTCAAACCATACAAGTTGTGTAACTAGGCAGATCTGAGAAGAGAAACAACAGAGCTCATGTCCTCAGTCCCCAGGCCTACGAGTCAGGTGGCCAGAGACAGGGCAGCAGACAGCAGCCAAGGCAGCCTTTGACCACCAGGAGGCTTGGGACCTTAACAAATCATCACCCGCTATGAGCTAAAATACCTGTAGCCCTACTTGGCCGGCAGTGGGAATCCCTTCCAGAGTAGTCTGATGGATACTTCAGGAGCCTTGAGGTTCTTCTCACAGCTACTGACGCCTCTCCTCCACTTAGGAAGAACAGGAGGACCAGGAGGGAAGAACAAGTGATACACGAGAAGCATGTACACCAGTACAGGGGGATATACAATGTAAATAAACCAAGACTCTGAGAACTGGGAACACCGGCTGCGTGAGGAAAGGGAGAGTCTCAGTCAGAATAGGATTCCTCAACTCCCAATGCTCACTTTGTTCATCTCTCTACTTAGATCTCTCAAATTTTCCTTCCACAAAGGAGCTGGAAAAACCACCATCACATGGCATGGAAGTCATAAAAGGCACCATGAAATTAAGTTTTTCTGCCCCTCTTGTCCTATCATGCAGAGTGCATGGTAAGCACCCCAAGGCATGAGGCTGGCAGAGAGCTTGCTTAAAGAACACGTGGAAAAGGAGCTCTGCCTCCTAGCCAGCCTCCTTCCCTGAGGGCTCTGAACCCTAGCTACATGAAGTGAGGGGAAGCCACCAGAGCCTCTGGAATTCTGGAGACGGGCTTGCTGGGTGATGTTTCTGGGGTTGTATCACAATGATGTCTTCTTTGATTCCTGCCTTCCTAAAATTCTAGAAAGAACATAAATCAACCCCAGAGAATCAGCATGCTCTGGCCCTGCTATTTCTCATTTGAAACAGGTTTGCTATGCCAGCTCCCACTCAGAAAGGCCAAGCATAGTTCATGAGATCCTAGATAAAAGGAGGCTTAGGGCCCGGGTGGGGCCCTCCAACCTGTCCTCAGACTCTCCAACCAGGCAACGGTGTGCATCAAGAGAGTCCCAATCAGCACGCATCCTTCTGACGTGCTCTTCACCAAGCCACCTGCAGGAGACTTAGCTTCGCACACCTGATGCTATACAAGAGGGACCAGATGTGGGTGGGGCAAGCACAGAACCAGAGAAAGCAGAGTTAAAACACTGTCAAGAGTGGACCAAACAACAAATATGTACAATTATTACATATTCATTATAAGTAAAAAGAAAAAAAGACCAAATCATCTGCTATAAGAACCAGGAGAGTGGTGACTGAGTCTCAGCACATTCTAGGGACAGGAGAAAAGCAGGTGGCTGGGGAAAAACCCAGTGGGAGTGCTCACAGCAGAGAACGAAGACTCAGCCAAGCTCCATTCGCACTTCCTTTCCCGTAGCATTGGAGACAGAGCTCCTGGGGCTGCTGGTACCTTTGAAAGGGCTCATAGGAAAAGGGAGATCCATCAACTGCCTCCTTACAAAGGAGGTACTGAAACAAAGCCACACAACTGAGAAGACCAAAAATGTGTAGAAAGTCACTATGCATGGAATGAGCTGGCTGTTTCAATATTAGCTTCTGTTTGACTCCCACATGCAATTCAAAGGCTCACTATATAACAAAAATAGTCTGAAATTCATCTTTGTTCACCAATCCATTGTGGACTATAGAAACTCAGATTTCCTACCAGTTAAAATGTAAGCAGTAAAGCCAGGTGCGGTGGCTCATGCCTGTAATCCCAGCACTTTGGGAGGCCAAGGCAGGTGGATCACTTGAGGTCAGGAGTTTGAGACCAGCCTGACCAACATGGTGAAACCCTGTCTGTACTAAAAATACAAAATTAGCCAGATGTGGTGGGCATGCCTGTAATCCCAGCTACTCGGGAGGCTGAGGCAGGAGAATCACTTGAACCCAGGAGGCAGAGATTGCAGTGAGCCAAAGGTTGCAGTGAGCCGAGATGGTGCCACCGTACTCCAGCCTGGGCAAGAAGAGAGAAACTCTTGTCTCAAAAAAAAAAAAAAAATGTAAACGGTGACAATCAGGTAGGCTTGCTAAGGGTAAGGCACATATGCAATTAAACATAATAGAAAATGTGGAAAAAAAAAGAATATGACAAACCGCCTCTCTGAAATCCTTAAGACTGAAAAAGTAGCTAACTCCTACTCTGGATGACAGGTTTGCTGGTATCTGAGCCTGTTTAAACTATCTTCAAGAACTCAGGAGGGCTGGGCGCGGTGGCTTGACGCCTGTAATCCCAGCACTTTCGGAGGCCAAGGCGGGCGGATCATGAGGTCAGGAGATCGAGACCATCCTGGCTAACAAGGTGAAACCCCGTCTCTACTAAAAATACAGAAATTAGCTGGGCGTGGTGGTGGGTGCCTGTATCCCAGCTACTTGGGAGGCTGAGGCAGGAGAATGGCGTGAACCCAGGAGGCAGAGCTTGCAGTGAGCTGAGATTGCACCACTGCACTCCAGCCCGGGCGACAGAGTGAGACTCCGTCTCTAAATAAATAAATAAGAAAGAACTCAGGAGGAATAGCAATGCTACAAACCACTCTGGGATTCCGACAGCCCTGCTCACTGATGAAATCCAATTGATAAGCCCAATAGATAAATATACCTGAATCAGTCTTTGCTCACTTTGCATACAAGCCTAGAATAGTTACTTGTTCAAGTGGTCTACCTTCCTAAGCAGGCTATGGACTCTTAGAGAACAGGAATCAAGTTTCCTAACTTCTCTCACAGCTTTGCTATGTTAGTTTTGTACCACTGTGTCACAAATTACTACAAAACTTAATGGCCTAAAGAAGTAAACATTTACTATTGGCTGCGTAGTTCTGGCTCATGTTCTCTTGTAAGGCTGCAGCCAATCTGTCAGCCAGGGCTGCATCACCGGAAGTCTTGACTGGGGCTGGAGGATGTGCTTCTCAGAAGGCTCACACAGGGCTGGGGGCTGGGGTCCTTAGCTCCTCACCACGTGGGTCTCTTCACAGGACTGCCTGAAAGTCCTCAAGACATGACGGCTGGCTCTCCCCAGAGCAAGGGACCCAGCAGGGAGGAAGCAAGCAAGTACCCTTAAGATGGAAGCTGCAGTCTTCATAATAACCTGATCTCGGAAGCCATGTGGCTTCACTTCTAGCACATTCTACTGGTCTCGTAAACTAACCTTGAGGAAAGGGACTATACAAGGGTGTGAACATCATGAGTGGGGATGGCTGGGGTCCATCATGGAGGTGACCTGCCACATTTGTCATTCTAAGTTCTCAGGACGTTTTTACTGGATGTGGCATGGATGCATCTTTCAAGGGGGAACTTGAAGCTGCTGCTTTGCTTTCAAATTCAGTCTTGGCTGACACGCTCATGCTCTCTGTTGACCTACTTGGCTAACAGCTCTTCAAGGTAGGAAAAAAGAACAAGGCACTAGAAGTAGTCACCACAGTGTTTCTGTCCACCCCGAAAGGAAATTTCCTTTCCCCTATTCTACTTCAACAACCAAAAAAGGTATTTGAAGCTAAATTTGGTTTCTCATTCCCCCAAACAAGGGGTATCCTATCGGTGCAATGAGGAGTCTGCTAACAAGGGCAGTTTGGACAAAAATGATGCCACGGAGGGGTATGAAGAAGGGCTTAGGACCTGGCAATTAAGAGTCGGCCACAGCAGTGCATGGGAGGATGGAGAAAGGCATCATAAACAGGGGACGCCGAGAGCACTTGATTTCCCAGCATGGCTTCTAGGAGCCTAAAACCACATCCCTGCACTGCTTCTCACTGTAGCGGTGGCAAGTAGTTTTTAACTAAAGAAAGCAACTCAATTTCTTCCAAACGTCTGTAACTTGTTACTATCACACTTAACTCATGACATGGTAACTAAAGATGTCAAAACTTACAAAGGGGCCAAGGAGCTGAGTTGGAATGGTCATTACCAGGTTTGGAGCCACCTACTTTGAGGAAGGATCAAAGCGCTTTCATCCAGTTTTTAAATCTGCTTTCATTTATAAAAGGTATTTCTCACCGGCTATAGAATCCTAGATTGACAGGCTTTTACTTTCAGGACTTTAAAGATGTTGTTCCATTGTCTTCAGGCTTGAATAGCTTGACAAAAAATCCAAATTAGTTCTTATGTTGATTTCTCTGTATATAATGTCTTCTTTTCCTCTGATTGCTTTTACAATTTTCTTTTTATCATCTGTTTTGCAACAGTCTGATTATGATATGGATTAGTGTGATTTTCTTTGTGTTTATCTTGCCTGGGGTTCATCAAGCTTCTTAGATCTATGAGTTTATAATTTTCATCAACTTTGGAAAATGTTCAGTCATTATTTCTTCTAACATTTTTCTGCCTTTTCCTCCCCTGCCTCTAGGAAATCCAATTACACGTTAGACCTTTGATATTTTCCCATGGGTCACTAAGGCTCTGTTCTTTTGTTTTGTTTTTTAAGACTTTCTTCTTTCTGCACTTTAATTTATAAAGCTCTGTTGCTATGTTTTCACGTATGCTATTCTTTCATAGTTTAATTTTTGGTTTATAAGTTCATGAATTTTTCAGAAATTGTATTTTCAGTTCTAGAAGTTCCATTTGCTTTGCTTTTCTATTTTCCATTGTGCTTATTATTTTTCTTTAAAACTTTAGCATATTTATAACTGTTTTTCAATCCTTTCTTGGTGATTCTAAAATCTCTGTAATTTCTTGGTCTATTAATATTAGCTGATTCTTCTTCTGACTGTAGGCCACAATTTCCTGCTTCTTTACCTAACCTGTCTAGAAATTGTTGATTGGGGCTATACATCATGATTGTTAGTTACATTGTTAAGTGTTTAAATTTTGTCTGCCTTTAGTGAGCACTTATTTGGGCAAGCAGTGAACTCTGTAGAGCAGCTTGATCATTTCAAGGCTTTTTTCCCCTTTCTCTTCTAAAACAATTCTGAGGTAAAACTTACATAACAAAAATGCACTTATATTATGCATACAGTTCAGTGAGTTTTGGGAAATGTGTATGCTGATGTAACCCTACTACAATCAAGATACAGTAATTTCCATCACCCAAAAAGTTTTTTTTTTTTTTTTTGAGACAGAGTCTCACTCTGTCGCCCATGCTGGAGGGCAGTGGCAAAATCTTGGTTCACTGCAACCTCCGCTTCCCGGGTTCAAGCGATTCTCCTGCCTCAGCCTCCCGAGTACCTGGGACAACAGGCGCCCGCCACCACGCCCGGCTAATTTTTATACTTTTAGTAGGGACAGGGTTTCACCATGTTGGCCAGGCTGGTCTCAAACTTCTGACCTCAAGTGATCCACCCGCCACGGCCTCCCAAAGTGCTGGGATTACAGGCGTGACCTACCGCGCCCGCCCAAAAAGTCCTTTTGCAGTCAGTCCCATTCCTACTACCTCAAGGAAACCACTAATCTGCTTTCTGTCACTATAGATTAGAATTCCCTTTTCTAGAATTTCATATAAATGGAGTCATTCAGTATGTATTCCTTTTATCTGGCTTCTTTTGCTCAGCATACTCAACCATGAGATTCAATCATGTTGTTGCATGTATCAATAGTTTGTTCCTTTTAGCTGCTGACATTTATTCCACTATGTGGACATACTACAATTTGTTTATCCATTCATGTGTTGTTGAACATTTGAACTGTTCCTAGTTTGGGGCAATTACAAATGAAGGTGCTATAAATATTCATGCACACGTCCTTCTATGGCCATGTGTTTTCTGTTCTCTTGGGTAAATCTCGAGGGGTGAAACTGCTGAGTTGTATGGTACATTTCATTTTCTTTATAAGAAACTTTCAAACAATTTTCCAAAGTGGTTGTACCATTTTGCATTTTTACCAGCAATGCATAGGAGTTCCAGAGTTCATATTCTCTTCTAATCTTGGTATTGTTCATCAATTTTAATTTTAGCCATTCTTGTCTTGTGGGTATATATTGGTATCTCATCACTATTTTAATTTGCATTTTCCTGATGAGTAATGATATTGAGCATCTTTTCATGTGCTCATTGGCCATTTGTATATCTTTTCTGGAGAAATGTCTTCAGATCCTTTGCCAATTTTTAAATTGCATTTTTTTTTCTGAGTTCTAAGAATTCTTTACATATTCTGGTTATAAATACCTGGTCAGATAGTCATATTTGCAAGTATTTTCTCCCAGTCTGTGACCTATTTCCACTTAATTTTTGTATATGGCTTCAAGGCTTGTTTTTAAACTTTGTACTCTTTTCTCTAGAGCTAGTTGAAACCTAATATTAAGGCATGATGACTCTTTTGAGGGGTCTATGGATGTCCCAGGTGTTCAACAACGTCTCTCTGCTCTATCTGGAAAGAACTCAAATGTCTCTCCGTCCTGGACGTAGTTCCACTTACAGTTCTCCAGCAGCGGTTCTTCAATTTGCTTCTTGAGTTTCACCCTACACAAGAGATCTGTTCATAAAAAGTCTCGAGGAGACCCCTAAGCTAAGGTGGAGAGCTTTCCTTCTGCATAGCTCTTTTTCCTCTGTACTGTCCCCTGCAAATTCCAACTGCATTGGCCTCCTCAGATGTGTCTTCTCAATGCAGCGAGACTGCTGGGCTTCGCTTGGGTTCCTCCTTGCTGCTCTGAGATCTGGAAAGTGCCTCCAGCAGAATGTTGGTGGGAAGACCACAGGGCTCACCTCATTACTTCTTTTCCCTTAGGCTCACTGTCTTGATGCCTGCTGTCTGATATTTGCAAAGTTGCTTTATATATTTTGGCCTGTTTTCTGGTTGCTTACAGAAGATGGGCAAGTTCTATATCTGTTACTCCTTCATGGGCAAAAGCCTCCTCATCCTTTAGCACAGGCTCAAATGTTAAATTTATCCACACAGGAAAGATTCCTCTGGCTTCCAGGACAAGGCCCATGGACTCCAATCTCAAAATGAAAAGCCTTTGGCTTCTTCCCAGTCTGTCTATCATGCCTAGAAAAAACATTTCAGTGAGGCTCTCAGTCAAAAAAACCAAGCAGGTCAGGGACAGTGGGGACCAAATGGTGTTTAAGACCTCCACATGCAGAGGACAGGAACGTGCAGAGGTCAGCGAAGCAGCATTGTGTGTCAAGCAGCACATGTGTATGCTGCACATGGCAGCAGGCAAGCAGAATGGCAGGGGGTGCAAGGCCCCAGTCCTGCAGTGAGGCCCACTGGGTTTGAATTCCAGTTCTGCCACACAGTGATTGTCACATCCTTAGACAGGGGCCTTAACCTCTCAGTGCCTGTTTTCCCAGGTGTAAAGTAAGATGATATGAGTACTCATCTCATAGGGATAATATGAAAAGTAAATGAGTTGACATACGTGAAGCACTTACAAGACTTGACACGTAATGAGTACTCTACACATGTGACTCAGTTTCGTCACCAGAGAGTTACCAGATCAAAAACTGGCTGGAGGACCTTCACTCTGTATTTGTGGCTCCCTTCCAAATGGGGGAGGCTTTCCAAGAAAGACTGAAAACAGATCTTATATTTACATTGTTTCAAAATATCTCCCTGTAAATCAGTTATTAATTACAAAGGGAAAAATTGTAACTTCACAGTGAGAGAGCTGGAGGAGCAACCCTACCCCAGTTATCAATGAAACCTTCACCAACACTAGAATCAACTGACACCAGGCACCTCAGGTTATGATGCACTGAGTAGGCCATGGCATCACGTATGCAGGCAGCAGCCTGCCAAAAACATGTAACCTGAATGTAATCATGAGAAAATATCAGACAAACCCAATCTGGGACATTTTACAGAATCACTGGCCTATACTTCTCAAAAGTGTCAAGGCTAGGAAGGACAAAGAAAGGCCAAAGAACAATTCCAGACTAAAGGAGACTAAAGCAATGTGGCAATTAAATGTCAAGTGTGCCTCTGGACCAGGAGAAAAAAAAGCGATGACAGTATTCAGGCAATTGATGAAATGTGAACATGGACTGTGGATTGTTAATAACATATTAATGTTAAATTTCCTGAGTTTTGATCATTATACTGTGGTTACATAAAAGAACACCTGTGTCCTTAGAAAATGCATGCTGAAGTATTTAGTAGTTAGAAACGAAAATAATCCCAGCCTCCTTCCACCTCCCAAGATCTCACTGCTCAGCAGCAAACTTGGACTGGAGGAGCATTTCGCCATAGCATCTTCAGGTGGCACTGTGTGCCAGCACAGCCTGGCTGGTGGACCGGACCCAGGCACAGGCAGAGGCCTATTCTGTACCACACAGACTGGATGTTTGCGGCACAGGAAAAGCTGGCAAAAGGAAGATGGGGGCAGTAGGCTCAGGAGCCTGGCTGTCCTGCAAGACACAAGGATGCTGCCTTAGACCTACACTAAGAAGGACCACACATGGCACCACAGCAGCTACAGCCAATGAGAACAAGCACCAAGCAGCTTCCTGGTAGGGCTCAGCAGTTCACAAATGCTTTGAGACAGTGCCTCTCCTACCCACGACCTGCCTCCATGCCCTTATGCCTCATATCACCCCACACCAAACTTCATCCGTCACCACATCCACACTAGCCTGGCCTGAGGACCTCCGTGACTGGGAGAATGAGATTTCACTATAAAATGGCTGCATCCAGGATAAGGTCCTGTCCATAGCAGCAACATTCCAACCCAGCTCATGGTGACACTATGGCATGTGTGCTGGACATTTTCCTGAAGGTTTTTACCTATTTAGAATATTAGTAAATGATTTATTTAAACACACTGGGAAAAAATTCAATATGTAATCTGCTAAATGGATTAATAGGCAATTTAGCATCCCTGTTTGCTCTAACTTCATATAACAGAATCAGTTTTTTTTTTTTTTTTTTTTTTTTTTTGCCAGTAATTGATGGGGTTTCTCAAAGAAATCTGAAGGCAGAATAAAGCCAGGGCTCTTGACAGAAAAAAAACACTTGAATCTCCCTACACTATGTCTTTAGGACCGTAACACATGTCCCTCATCTCCAGCCTCTCACGTGCTTCTGAACCCCTTTTTTGCTCCAGGGCTTGGACTGAGGGTCAGGGCATAATGGAAGAGCAGACTTGTAACATACAACGGGCTGCCTCAGACACCCCCAAGGCAAAGCCCTGGCAAGTGAAGGGTAGCCAGGTCAGTAACATGCTTGCTTAAATGCGCTCTGAGCAAGCCTCCCCGACATAGTCCACTGCTCCCCATGCGAAGACTGGATGCACATAAACTGAGTGCAGAGAGCCCTGCTCGATGTAACCACCTGCAGATATTTTTGCCCAAAACTCTGTACCCAAATAGAAAGCTGCTCTAATGATCCGATGGTGCACACTGCACAGGGCTCTGGGTAAAAGGATGCGGCATGCACCGTGTGGCTGTGTTTCAACTATTCCTATAGGACAGTGTCTTATGCTCACGTCATTTAAATGCACTGTTACTACCTCATGCCTCTACGTCATTTCATACTATTAAATGAAGATGTCTTATAACAAAATGGAAAAGCCCACGAAGAACACAGATGAGCTGAAGAGGCCTGGAAAAGCCCATGGACTAGACAAAAGCTTGGCAGAGGAAGCATTTTAAGTAAGATGAATGTGTGAAAAAGCAGAGTTGGCCCTGTATGTGTCCTGACTTATTCTGCATACAAGAAATAAAGAAAAAGCATGAAAGTTGTTGATGCCCATCAATGGTTGGTGACTGGAAAAACCATGAATACACAACATCACGTCTTTAAAAGAAGTTTTAAAGCCAAGAAAAACACTGGTTGGGTATCCCCAGCCTCTCCCTCCTTCCTCGTGCCACCCCACCCAATGTCCACACCATGAAACCTGCCCTCAGTGGGCTGAGCTCACCAGCCTCTGCCTCCTCCTCCCCAAAATGGCTTGAGTGGAACCTGCTTATGGCACAAAATGGCCCTTAGAATGAAGAGGGCACACTAAACAAGATGCGGCAGGAGGGCATGTGATGCTCAGATGGGGCTGCAGTAAGTCAGCGGAGAAGGCTTCTCACAGGCACTAAGGCGACTTCGATGCATGACTATCCTGCCGTAGTAGGTACAGAATTTTTAGAATGTACCAACAACTGAACTTCTGTCAGAGATGTTCTATAGCAAAGCCCAACCCCTCCAAAGCCTGCAACCATGCTCAGTGGGCGACGGTGGTTCCCAGGGCTTGCCTAAGCTGGCGATCTGTGCCCACACCTCGAGAGCTGCATACAATCCAGGCTGAAAGTATCTCTACCTTCTCCACATCTGTGTGGACTATGGCAGACAATCCATAAAAGCTAGTTAACAATAAGGAGCGGCTTTGTTACTATCCAAATGGAAGGTCTGCACAACCACACTGCCTAGCTCTACCACTTACTGGCTGTGTGACTTTGAGTGGGTTACTTAATCTCTCTGCGACTCAATCTCCTCATCTATAAGACGGAGATACTATCAGTCCCTACTTCTCAGGCTGTGTGAGGACTAAATGCCCAAGCCTGGGTGAGCACGGCACGTCTGTCCACATCACTGTCTAGCTCAGAAGGCACTACCAAGAGGATGGGGGCCAGGCAGATACTGGGTCCCTGTTTCTTCTTCTGTAGTCCCAAAGATAAACAGTGTATGTTTCTCAGGGGCTGCCACATGAGATGTAAAACTGCTTTAAAAGAAAGGTTCTCAAGGAAATAATACAAATGGAGCATGCAGTACAGCAGACCCTGACTTGACACCCAATAATTTAACGCATCCTCTTTAAATGCACCCGTAAAAGAGGCCTGAAATGGAATAAGGAAGGCTCTCTGGAAAGCCTCTGAATACACTGCCTCTTTGTTCTGAGACCCTCTGCCTCTACCCTCTCCAGCGCTGGTCTCTTCTACGTGAACCTTTGCTCTTACCACCCCCTCCATGTCGAGAGCCCTTAGCCTGGTGCTCAGGTGGAGCTTCCTCAGGGACACTTCCTCGAGTCCCCAGGCGGAACCCCTCATTCCCCCTCTCCAGTGTGTTCAGGCTTCTACAATCCTCTTCACGCTATACTGGAATTGCCTGCCTGCCTTCCTACAGCCTGTTCCAGCTGTGAGCCCCTCAAGGACTGGGGACCAGTCTCAGCTCTTCGTCAAGGAAACATCCAATAGCGGGCTTGGCACCAAAGTACTTAAGAGATCCTGATAGTCCACTGTTCTTATACTTTGGAAACAACACACTGACCTTCTAATCTGTTCTTCTAGAGCAAATATGAGTTTGCTGAGAAATTCACAAACTGAACCGATGCAGTGGTTCTTAAATAGGGGCGATTTGGCCCCCCAGGGGGCAGTTGGCAATGTCGGGAGACATTTTTGGTTGTCACAATGAGAGATTCTACTGGCATTTAGTGGGTAGAGGCAGGCTGGGGATGCTGTTAAATGCCTTGCAATGCACAGGAGAGCCTCCCACAAGAAAGAATTATCTCATCCAAAGTACCAACAGTGCCAGGCTGAAAAACTCTGGATTCAATGGATAGCTTTCCTAGCAGTGGAGTAATCTAAAAGAGACTCACCAACTGCTTCTATGCATACACAAGGAAAAGGATAATTCTTCTGGGTAAACCTCAAGATTATTAATGACCTTCCTTATAGTCATATGGCAACCAACAGGGAAATGAACTCTGTGAAACTCAGCAGGTAACCTGAAGCCACCCAGAGCCCTGCAGACCCTTCCTCACCAGCGAGTAAAGGGACTCCGTGCTGCCTGCTTCTGCTGCTCTGGGGTAGGGCGGGGGTGCCTTCGCCTCAGATGCTAGACCTCAGCCTTGGGGTAGAATCACCACCCTCTGCCCAGGCAAGGAAAATCTTCACAAAGGCCCAGAAAAGCAGACCTAGCGTGTGACTCATGTAGGCATGAAATGATTGATGAGTCATTTCAAATTTATATTTTTAATGTTATCAACAGTCAAAAAACAATAATGCTTTAAATAAAATTAAATAAAAATAATTATCAAGAAAGAAAATCAGAATTGTTCAGATAGAAAAAAAATGAGGTGAAGTAGCCACAGATACGGAGTAATCAGAAAGTGAACCTGTGTGGAAAGAGGGGTGGAAAAAGCCGGCAGGCACAGAGGAAGTGGCTCAGGGTGTCTGGGGTCCCAGGGACCCGGCTTACATTTCAGTTCTGCACTTACTAACCAGGAGCCCTTGTACAAGGCACTTCACCTGCTCACCGACCGCTTCTGTACAGGGTTCCTGTGAGGGGGGTTGGCATGCTGGGAACTCAGTGAAGAGTAGGCTGCAGAAAAGAGGCCGGCTCCAGGGGCCAGCGCCACCACCTACTACCATGGGCCCTGGGCAAAGAAAAGCCAGCGACTTGAAGCAGGTTCATCACCTGGAAGTGGGGCAGCCCCAGGCACCCACTGCCCTCTCTCTCAGAGCCCACATGAGGGCCCTGCCGGTAAAAACACAAGAAAGATTAGGTCAAGGAAGATTATTTTGGCCACGAAAGCCACCTTGTTTTGGCGCATGCTAATCTGGATTCACACTCACTGTGCTGGCTGGGCTAAAGGTGCTTTTCTTTCTTTCTTTTTTTTTTCACTGCCATGCACTCTGTGAAGAGGGCTAAAGGTAAAGACATTGTACAAACAAGAAAGAAAGGGGAATGTTTAACCTAATTCAGAAAATAAGTTACTTAAGCACTTGTGAAACATTTTTCAGCCCAACTCATGAATACAATGTAATAACAAGGATGAAGACACACCCCCAAGGAGGGCCTAACATGTGCCTGACACCAACCCAGCTTCCTCAAACACATTCTTTCTCATCTCCATAGCCCCAGAAAAGACAGATTATTACCACATGTTACTGGGGAGAAAACTGAAGCTTTGAGAAATGCAGAAGTTGCTCAGGGGCACCACATGGCAGAGCGAAGCAGACATGGATGCTGGGTCAGGCTGGATCCAGAGCCAGGGATCCTGTTATTTTTAACCACTTGTAAAACCCCTTCAACAAATCTTCATGTTTGTGCAAATATACTAACTGCAAAAGACTTTAAACAGATATTAAAGCAGCAGAAGCATGAGAGGCCCCAACAGGGCAACATGTGGCCAACAGAGGTATTCAAAAGTTTAAAAAAAATGCATTTGGTAAGTTATTCTACAACTCAGATTGTCCCCTAATTCAGACAACTTCCTGTTGTCCTGATTTTATTCGAAATTAATGAAGTTACATGATAAATCAAGCAGCAGATTGCCATTATGGATAAATGCTACCAAATAAATAAACATTTAGAAAACCTGAAAACTTTCTAAAAATGAAAGCTCTGAGCCAGCCAGTATGCTAACATTGGCCACAACACCAGCTTGGCATGAAAAAAGGGGCGTTCTTCCTTTGCCCATGCTGGCACTCCAGAAGGAGGAAAGGACAGCGACACTGATTGAGTTTGTGCTGGGTTCCAGACCCAAAGACAGGCGCCTTCACTCGTGAGCTCCAGCTCCAATTCAGCTGTCACTGTATTCTGTTATTTTACCAGGAGGAGGTGATCACTGGGTGAAAGGCTACTGGGAAACAGAGTATTCACATGATCTCAAAGTATTATCACTGCAGAGATCCCTTATTAATTGCCCAGGGGAAGATGTACCTTTACGAGGGAGAGACTGAGAGGTCTTCCATCCACCATCACCAAGTCATCAACCTTATTAACACTAATAGTGGGGCAGCGTGATGTCACATGCCTCCTGGTGGAATGTACATGAAACATACAGCGCCGCTTATGGCGTGTTCTTGCCATAAAACTGGGTATCTGAATCTAATAACTGCTCCAGACCAAACTCAGGAAAACAGGGGCCAGTGAAACAATTCAAACACCACAAGGAAACACCCAGACAACTCCAGAATGTGGGGCACTCCACACAACAAGCAGCCAGAACTCTTCAAAAAGCCAGAAACATTGAAAAAAAAAAAAAAGTGTGCATGTATGTGTAGGAGGAGGTTCTTCTAGAAACGAAAGTGACTGAAAACGTAACCAGACACAACGTGTGGACCTTGATTGGATCTTAGCTTTTAAAAACTCCAGCTATAAAAGACTTGTGACATTTGGGGAAATGTGACTATGGACTGGATATGAGATGATATCATGGAGTTATTATTAATTCTCTTAAGTATGATGATGAAATTGTGGTTATGTGGGAGATTGTCCTTATTTTGGGGAGACTTAGCTGAAGTATTTAGCAGTAAAGTGTGATGCTGGTCACAATTTACCTTCAAATGGCTCAGCCAAAAAAAAAAAAGCATAAAGAGGTAAAGCAAATGTGACAAAATGTGAACAACTGCTAAATCTAGGTAGAGGGCAGACAGATGTTCAGTGTATTATTTTTCATGTTTTCTACGTTTGACATTTTTAGAGATAAAAACCAGGATGGGGTGGGGAGAGGTGATCGTAGGGAAGGTTGTGCCAACACAAGCCTGTTCACACAGAGCACACAGGGAGGCCGGTTTACCACGGAGAAAACCCCAGAAACTCTCATTTAAGATATCAAAGCTGAGTGGACTGGTTTGTGATTTTTACTTTGGATTGCAGGAAAAAAGTTATCACTTCTCAATGTTAGCAGTGTTTTTGTAAAACATGGACACATTTCTCCCAGCTGGCTAGGCCCCATGTCTATAACAAAAATAGGCAGGCAGATTTATCCAAGCTCTCAAAATGCTTGTTTTATTAAAAACCAATTCTGTCTACACTTCAGCCCAGAACCCTGACTGTGCACGGTGAGGGAGGCTTGAGTTTGCTTTGCATTCACATGTCCTGAGAGCAAACACCCCCAAATGCCAACACACACACTGGCCAACACGACCTTTGGCTGACAGCTGGTTGGCTACCCTGCACTGGAACAGTTTGCTGAGCTCTAGGACTGCTTAGCTCTGTTCTGCTGAGACCCTAGCTGAGCAACTTTGTCAAGTCACAGACTATAGACAAAACCACCAAAACGAGGAATTGCTTAAAACCACCAAAACGAGGAATTGCTTGGCAAAGCCCCCTCGTTTAAAGCGTTTCTTTCTATGCAGATACCTAGCAGACACTTCAGAAAACTCTAAGTGGAAAGTATCTTCATAAGCTTGTCTCTGAGTATGTTCATCTTTCCTTGCGTACACAGGGTACCTTAGCTGGAGCCTCTAGGAAGCCCGCCAACTCAACAAGGCAGTGCTGACACTGGGACATGTGTGTGGGTGGTGCCTGTAACAGTCTGCATGTTTATGCAGCTTGAATAATGGGCTACCATGTATGACCTGGCATATACATTCTCAACTGCCTGGACCAAGAGGGTCTATAAACCCTACATAGTAAGGCAAGAAGTCTATCAAAGCACCAGAATGAGAAATTCTTGCAGAACCAGAATCCTCCCCAGAGACATTAATATATATAAGTAATCTTCCTTCAGGACAAACCTCTCCAGATTAAAAACAAAGAAACAAACAAACAAAAACAAGGCAACGTGTAAGTGGAGAAAAAAGTGATTTTTCTGGATAGAAAAAGGAACATAAAGACAGTGGTCTGAGGGGTCACTGAAATCAGGGAGGTGAAGTAAGGAAAACTACCTCACAGCTTGTCTGCAGAGAAATGGGTTCATTCTACAGTCAGAGCTGGTCCAACAGGAAACAATAGTGTTGGCCATCAGGACTGGGGAAGCGTTCCAGAAGACAGGCAGTGAGCCCATTGCCTCGAGGGCCACGGGTACTCAGAAGGGAAAAGACTGTGATCTCAAAAACAGCCCCTCAAAGGACAACGGCTGTTTAAACTGCTCAGAACAGACTGGTTGGTATTTAAAATGTTTGAAGATAACAGAACTGAGGAAGGATGGAGTGGCCTCACCTTAACACACACTAAGACTTCCCTCCCTCAGGGCTGCGAGGGGGACCCTCGTCAGGGGAGCCTGGCCTTCAACAGATGCCCCTCCTGGCAGCTCCGCCAGACTGAGAAGGACGGAGGACTAATAGCCCAGGACAAAGCCAAATGGCTCGCAGATGTACTTCCTTAAGGCTACCTTGATCTCGTTCCTCTTCCACCTTAGAGATTTCTTCCTCTTCCCAGTAGTTCAAGAAGGAAAAGCCTCGCAGTTCTATTTCAACAGGACCAAGAAATCTGAGAGATAAGAAGGGCCCCACCCTGACTGCATCCCAGTCAGTGGGCTTCTTCTTGTCCAGCTCCCAGAGTACCATTGCCCTGGCCTGCTCTGTCTGCTTCTAGGTAGGGGGAGGAGGCTCTTGCTCTCACCTCCATTTCTGTGTCAGGGCAGACATAGCTCTAGCCTTTCCAGCTCTTCTCCCCATCACTCCTACCCACATCACCCCAGGACCCACCAGCCATTTCCACAAGCTCCGTCCACGTCAAGCCTCACAGTGAACAAGAGACTGCTTTCTAGTTCAATCTCTGCACACAGAAAGTACCAACCACAGTGGGATTTGCACATGTGCTCACGCTGAAGATTAAGTAAAGAAGTGAATATGTCCCTGAAGACTCCACTCAGAACACATTCAACCCGATACACTTCTCAGCTGTGAGCAACTCTGCCCTGTCATCATCACATTTCCTTCTCTGAATCACAAGTGTCAAACCCTAGGGGACAAGCCGGGCCATCAGCATCAATCAAACCTATGGAAACAGCCAGAGCTAGGCTAAGAAACCTCAGGTTAGGGAGCAAAAGAAAAATTTAACCTACACTTCCTTCAGAGAGAAAGGAAGGCTGTCTGGAGGACAGAGAAGTAGGAGGGGTATGAAGATCCACTCACCATGTCTTGAAAACACACACGTACAGTACATGCGCCCAAGTCAGCAGCGGATTTTGGCTAAGTTGTCACAAATTATTACTGTGGGAACAAGTGGGTATTTGTTTAGCAGAGAAAAAGCAAGGCAAGTTGGGACTAAAAAGGAAAGAAAAAGTGGCAAACATAGACAGTTGGGCACTTATAAGACTTATCAAGGACAGGCCACCAGAAGAACGCGGTATCCATGATCAGAGCCTCTTCAGGGTTACTTAAAGCCTGAGAGAATTCACTCAAAGAAACCCCAAGTTATAAACAAGCAAGGTGGCCACTCCAGCAACTGGACCCCACAAGACAAAGGCACACAGCTGCAAGATCCCTCCTGAGTACCCCAAAGCATACTTTCTGCAGGAACTCTCCACTCTGTCCACACAAGCACAGTGGGGAAGTTTTGAGAACAAGTCATTTTTGGAATTAATGACTCTGCACAGATAGTTATAACCTTTCCTTCCCCCTAAAACGCAGTCACAAGGGCACTCCTAGGCTTACATGTCGAGCAAAACTTCTTGTTACTTTAATAAGGGAAGGATGCACACGATGAAAAACAGAAGCCCCCCCCCACCCCCCATCAGCACACATGAGAACAGGGTGGGGGCTTCCTTCTCTATTCAGCCACTAAGGTGCCCAAGTTTAATGGAAAAGGAAACTTAAAATATAAAGAATAAAAGTGGAAAGGGAACAGCCAGGGGAAGCTATAGATGCGGCTTATTAGGAAAGCTTGGGACAGAGATGGAACAGGTGGGCCTGTTCCGGAAGAAACGAGAGGAAGGGGATCTGGGGAAGAAGGCAGACTGGGTGGGTCCTACCCTGACAAAAGGGAAACTAAAGCTGAGGAAGAAGGGCCACGGAGAGGGAGGCGGGTACTGGGAAACGGAAGGCATGGCCCTAACACTCCAGGTGTTGAGAGGGATGCAAAGTAGCAGGATTTAAATGTGAACGGAGAAGGCAGATCCTTGAAGAGTGAAGGGGCAGAAAAGAGCTCAGCATCGCACTGGGGATTGAGGGATGTGGGTTCTAAGCACGAAGAGCCCCTGAGAAGGGGCGGACAAGGGGATGTCACCCTTGGGGGTCATGATTCCAGGCTGGGAAGTGGGGTAACAATTCGAGATGGTAAGGTGGGAGGTAGGCGAGTTTTAGACTGGCGTCTCAAAAGACAGACGTTTAAGGTGGAAAGGGGAAGGGTCACTCCTGTCTGGAGGCCACAGCGAGTAGGTGAGGGGCTCGGGCTACCCCTAGTGCAGGAATACCCAGCCTGGGTTTGCGGGGGAGGAGCAATTCGGGTCCCAAGGCCTGAACTCTCCGCGCAGGAGGGGCCCCCAGGGGGGCCGGGCCGCGGCTGCCGCGCAGGGCCTCCGGAGGGTCGGGGGGTCCCAGACTCACGCATTAACGTGCTGAAGGCCACGACGCCGAGCAGCCCCTGCAGGAAGATGCCGAAGCTGTGCATGAGCGCGCCGCTCTCGCAGCGGCCCGCCCCGGACGCGACTGTGGAGGGCGGCCCGCCTGGCAGTCCCCGGCTCGCGTTCCCGGCGGGGCCCTGCATGACAGGCCTCGCGGGAGGGGCGCGAGGGCCCAGGGCCCGCCCGGCCTCGCTGCCTGCCGGCGCAGCGCCGCCAAACCCGCAGCCGGGATCCCAAGCCTGAGCCGGTACCTCCGCCCGGCCGCCGACTCCGCGCCGCGCGTAACCCGACGTCTGAGATCGCAGTGCCTGATTGGCGCAGCCAAGGTTGGGGCGGGCCTCGGCCGCGGCAGCTCTCCCCACCCGCCCCCGAGGGGCGGGGCTCCGGCCGGGCCACGGGGCGGGGTCGCGGGTCCCGCTCCCCTCTCCAACCCCGCCACGCCCGCAGGTAGACAGGCCAGGTGAGCCGGCCACCGCAGACCGGAATGAGAGCCTGGGAATCACGAGCTCCAGGTCCGGAGGTAGGAGCTGGGACGGCCTGTGGTCAAATTATTTTTCCCTCTAAGGAAAATCCCTATATCCTGGAGAAATTATCATCATTCCTGAATTCCACCCTCAGAGATCGTGATTCAGTAGTTCTGGGGTGGGTCCCAATAGTTTGCAGCCTGGATTATTCTGAAGCAAGTGAATAAGGAAAACAATCTGAGACTGAGTACAGGAGTCTTCCCTCCAACCCAGACATTTGAGTCTTTTTCCTACTTCCCTAGCTAAAGGCTTATCAAGGCCCCAAGTCTATTTTCTTTTTTCATAGACATAATTTAAATGGTCACCTGAATCCAATCACTTTCATTTGGAAATATACCAGGTTTCACACTGAAAACCTGACGTGCACATGTCCCACCTTATTCACTTGGGGAGCACAACTACCTTTAGAGTGTAAAAGACAAATGGTTGGTATTTTCCAGGCTCCAACATCCCCCTGCACACACACACTCCCATCTAACCCTTTCCAACTTCTCAGAACCTGTGCTCTGCCTTTAACAAGACCCTGAGTCCCCATTCTCTCACCCATTCTCCCAGCCCAATCTGGGCTCTCTCTGGATACCTTCTTGTTGGTGCTCTAGAGCCGCTGACCTTCCTGCTGCAGAATGTCAGTGAACACATGGTGTAAGTCCAGTTGACACTCACCCATTCTCCCAGCCCAATCTGGGCTCTCTCTGGATACCTTCTTGTTGGTGCTCTAGAGCCGCTGACCTTCCTGCTGCAGAATGTCAGTGAACACATGGTGTAAGTCCAGTTGACACTCACCCATTCTCCCAGCCCAATCTGGGCTCTCTCTGGATACCTTCTTGTTGGTGCTCTAGAGCCGCTGACCTTCCTGCTGCAGAATGTCAGTGAACATATGGTGTAAGTCCAGTTGATACTGAGCTACGTGTTTTCAACGGTAAATATCATCTCTAGGAAAAAGTTTCCTATTAAATAGCCCCCCAAATTCCAATTACCTAAGAGGGTTATATGCTAGCTAAAAGCTTTCTTGGTGAACAGGAATATTAACCTGATTAGAGAATAAAAATGCAATTCTCCAGCCTTCTCTTACATTTTCACACCTCTGTGCCTTTATGTAGCATTCTAGCTGCATGGATGCCATTCCCTTTTCCCTGCTCCATGAACTGCTCCTCATGTGTCAAAGCCTTTCTGACCTCCCTCTCCCTCTTGCTCCCACATTACCTAGTGTGTACTGTTCCACCAAAACTTTTCAGACTGCTAAATTTGACAGCTGTACACATGTCTCTCTCCCACAGCTAAGTGTGAGCCTCCTGAGGGCAGGAATTATTTTTATTTACCCTTCAATTCAAATTCAGTATGGTGCCTGGTACAGAGAACATGCGACAAAATGCTTAATTTAAATGGAATTTTAATTTATAAAATTTTAAACTCTCCACAAGTACTGGCCGTGGGCAAATACAGAAAATCAGATTAAAAAAATAAATGGATAAGGGAAAATTAAAATTGCATGACTGTCTTTTAGTCTAAGAGGGATCTTATGAGGATGCTCAACAGTTAACAGTACATGTTTAGAGAGAACCAAACAAGAGGCTACGTCTTAAAGCAGAATAGATTGTGGTTGGGCATAAGGAGACTATTGATTGCTTGAAGACACAGACAGCTCAAGGAAAATTGGACATAGAGCTGAAAAGTGATGTTTTTGACAAAGAATTGTTCTGCACATCCAGCTGTGGAGGAATCCTTAAGGCTCACAGAGGAACAAACAAGAAGCAGTCTTCAGAGATCAGGGGCGGAATCCCCAATGTCAGGAGCAAGGTTGCTGTGGGGAAATTCTACTCTTCCTATCTTTCCTGAACTGGAATTAAAAAGCACCTAAATCCAGAAGGTAAAGGATGAGACAGCAAGAGAGGGGGAAGAATTCCGGAGTTTTATTAAAGTAGGAAGGAACTTCTCATCTATTTGGAAATGATTCTCTGAGGTCCCGCTGGAAAGAGTTTTAAAAAATTTACTCTGGCCAAAATGCCTTCCTTGTTGTCAAATCAGCACAAAGTTAAGGTTAAACATAGCTTAAGACCTGTTCTCTTTAGTTTTCTCACAACCACTTAAAACTGTCATAACGTACCACCAGTTTATATACAATCATATTTACAAAAAAAACACGCAAAATATTAATCCAAAATAGTTTTTTTTAATCCTTTGAAGTTATACCATCAAACTTGATGGTAGTTATTTTAATAGGTATTCTTGTGCATACTTCTTAAGTGTACTTTTATCTTTAATGCATAACTTTTGAAATTAAGAGGAAAAACAGCAAGCAGGAAGGATACAATGCAATAAGCATTTGATTTTGTTCTAAATGAGCAGCTTTAAAAAAAAAAGGTAAAATACATTAAACAAAGTGCATCAGTTCCAACAAGTTAGTATTAAAAAGAGGCCTAAGGACAGTGCTGGAACCAGCCAGGAGTCCCTCCCTGGCAGGCCTCTGATTGTCTTCAGAGAATATTCAATGAAAAAAAAAAAAAAAAAAAAAAGGAAGAAAGGAAGGGAGGGGAAAAGAAATGAGCACTTGAAATCTCAAGGGAAACATTCAAACTACCGTCTCCAGAGATTCTTGCAAAAGGAGCTAATGGACTGCCCAACTTTAACTCTGCCTAAGCTTTGTAACCTCCCTCAATCATCTGCTTTGTGACTTGATTTGCCCTAAAAGCCTACCCTCATCCTTTCAGCACTTTTGTCCACCTCCATTCTGCCAAGCTAGGTATGCAGTTAGATTGAATAAACCATGTAGAAACCCTCAGGCCTGAGTTTCCACACATCCTGAGAACAGGCACCCCCATCAGCAAATGGTGGCACCATTTCACTAGAAGGCACCATTTGCCTCCAGAAATAATGGGAGACCCTTGCCTCCCACAGATCAGGGTCCGTGCTTTTCTGCTGGTGTTGGAGACTTATCTGGCAAGGCTGTGGCTTGCTTCTCTCTTAAAACAGTCCTTTGTGATAGGCCATAGCACCAGGACAGACCCAATGGTGTATTAAGTCAAAAAAGACTCAAGAAGAGGGAGTTTTAGGCCTACTTCTCTATCTCCCCAACTCTCCACTCCTGGTTTTGCTGGTTCTTGTGAAAATCTCAGGCTTCTTAAACACCATACCCAAGAAAATGACTCTGCAGTGCATTTGCTGCCCACCACCTTCTACACCTCCCCATAAAGCTGCCCTCAGAAACAAGGCTACCTGTGTGGTCTGGGACAAGTACTGAAAAAACACCCCTGAAACCACCCTTGGAGTGGGCCTGGAACCAGATCCAGTTCGACTGAGCATTGAATTTAAAACTTATGCCCAAACTCTAAGTCATAGGTAGCTTGTTTGGATAAATTCAAGTTTCCAAAGTATGCACATTCTCACATAAGGGGTGGGAGTCATCAAAACTCACTAGTAAAACATCTAAAGTGAACAAAGTCAAGGAAGAATTATAATCGCAGGAAAGTAACATTTCTTTTTGGTTTTGCAGGAGGCTCTCTGTCCTACGATTTCTGAGTCAGCACCATGACAAACATATGGTTGCTTACAGTGGACCCAGGAGCAAGGAAATCCAAGCTTGCAAAGGGGGCATCTGGTCCCCACCAAGATTTGTACTTCATTTTTTGTAGTGATGCCTTCTACTCATTTAACTTCATAAGACCAACAGATTTCCTACTGATAACACAGAACACTTCTGAACTGGTGTGTGCACACACGGCACATCCTCAATATACAGGATCAGAGTTCAAATCCAGGGTGTGTTCCACTGTTGATCAATTAAACCAGTAAATGGTGTCTCAAATAGAACAATCTTTGGTGATATAGGTGCCAAGTAAATATAATTGCCTGTGATAGTTTTCCCAAATGTTCCCATCTAGATTGCCTGATATTCTATGTGTCCCTCAGAAACACTTTTTGGCTTGAGAGAGGGAAATGATTCTGAGTCCCACCCTACCTAAGGCCTCCTAAAGCTTTTAAATTGTATTCAGGTACCACATTCGTGACTGAATTGGTACTAGAGAGCAAGTAAAGTGTATCCAGGTCCTCTGGAAGCTAAGGTCCAATGTCTTCTCTCTCACAGTGAGAATATTTTACTTCCAGGAGAAAAGGCATATTAAGGCTAAGTTCTGAACTAGTTTTCTATGTTTGCTTCTACCATAAGTCAATAAATATTTATCAAGAAGCTCATCTTTTCCAGAGGTTAGTAAGTACCCTTCCCTGACCTCACATATCTATAACATAGATAAATGCTAGGAGCCACCTGCATTGCTGAACAAAGGCAGATAGCGTGCAAGCTTCCATAAATGCATTCCCTGCATTAGCCACTTCAACTCTGCTTCAAATGAGAAGGATGAAGATGGTGTACAAAGGAAAACAGCATAGTCCCCAGAAGCCCTCAAAATCTAGTCAAAATGTCACAGAAAAATCTGCATGTGCAGCAAAAAGGTTTCCCTAGCACACTAATTGAGCAGTAGTAGTCTAATATTGGTCAGCCAGCTTTTCAAGGTCCAGGAGGATGAAGTAGTCCATTAACCTGTTTTCTAAACTTGTCAATTCAGGGTAAAAAATGGGTCATGAAAAATTTTCTGACCTCAGGCAGGCTGTGGGCCCAGCTGCAGGTGAAATCCAGACAAATGCAGTCCCTTCACAATGTGACTGTTACACATTTAAGAAGTTGGTCTCTCTAAAAAACAAAGTTCTTGCACCTGTGTGCAACATACCAACATTTTACCCCAACATGGTGAGCTATTATCTGGCTTGAAATCTGTTTCAGCATCACAGTAACCAGAACATCATTGTTATCTAGCCCAGTCCCAGCAGCTTTGTGAGGTAAATTAAGTCCAAACTTTAAGTTAAAAAAGTGCCCTGTGCTAAATTCCCAATTATCCTTGCTTACATAATATACGGGAGTCGGCGCTGGGGGATATAATTCTTTATGCAATTGCCTAATAAACTATGCCTTAATAGGAGAATGCAAGAAATATTAAGGGAAACTCAACTTACTTGACCATTTAGAGTCAGCCTTTCTCTAGGAACGGGCTGAGCCTGAATAATCATGGTATAAACAAGCCTGTTGGGCTCTGACTCTACCTAGATCAGAGACTACGTAGGGCTGTATGTTTTGCCCTTCAGCGCCTTCATCCCCTCACCTGTGAAGGGAGATGATTCTTAATTCTGTGGTTTCTGGAGAAGTCAAAAGAGAGACAAAATAAAGCATTCATTGTTCTTGTGTTTGGTAAATTCCCTCTTATAGGAAATATATTTCACTTTCCTAAATAAGATAATAACACGAGGCCCTAAACATTAATTCCAGAAATTCTGTTCCATTATTCTTCCTCAAGGGGCCCTCTTTTCCTTAGTACCTTGACTGAACTCTCAGGAAATTTCATTAAGCAAGATTACCACCACTACCCACCAAAAGCTTAATGTTTAATGCTAATTATTCCCTAGCATTCCCTATATATCCTTGTCTTCCACAGACACAGATTTAAATTTTTAAAAACTGGATCTCTAAGTTTCAAACATACTAATTTTTACTTAAATGAAGCTTCTTCCCAGATAGATCTGGTAGGAACCTAAGTGAAGAGTTAATGATTTAATGTATGATTTAGTTGCAGGGCTTGAGTTAAGTTGGTTTATGAATTACCCAATGAAGAGAGGCTCCAGATTATTCATCAATGTCCACAAAAATAGGTTGGGGTGGTGGGGAATGGGAAAAAAAAATCACAATCAGTTAAAATTTGCTGTAATATTTCCTTATATTTGTAGAGCTGTTTAGAATTCACCCAGTTTGCAGGATTAAAACATTTTCAAATCTTGAGGAAGAATGATTGGGTTATAAATTTGCAGGTGATTAGGATAAAAAAAATTCAGCAAAGCAAACCATTTAAGGGAGACAACCTATGTATGTTTTTCCTCACTCCTCATGACTAGAATAGTGCAGCAAACGCTATTATTCTATAATAGCTAGCAATGGAATAGTAAGTGAAAATTCACCTGGAGTTTCATGTTAACTTGAGCTGGGCTAAAAGACACACTTAAAAGAATACTGAGTTGTTTAAATGGGAATCCTCGGACTAAAGATTATATTCAATTTAAAGGATTAGCTGAAAAAAGTCTAAGTGTGGCTAGGCAAAGAGGTTTCCAGAATCCTTAACCACATCTCAGTATTTATCCTGCCACTGAGGACACTGCTAACAGAAACTCCATGCTCTGCGTTACCCTCCAAAACATGTTTTCTGTGCTGTGCTTCTACACTGGAGACACCTGGAAAGAAGGACAAATGGGCTTCGCTGTGGGTCCATGGAACACTTACTGATTTTCACCCAAAGTAAAGACCTTAGAAATGAAACAGAGGTAGACAAACAACTCTAGAGAAAAGTAAACACAAAATAAAAGTCACTGAAGTCCCTCTGAGAATGAATAGGAAGAGGGCAATTAAACAGAAATACTAACAGTCTTGGTGATGTTACTTAACACAGGCAGCCTCGGCTGGGTCAAGATGGAGAACAGTAACAGTAGAGTTCTCAGATCAGGTCAGTTAAGGAACTGGTGTAAGTGCCCCATATAATGTTTTTAAGAAAGCAAACAGTTTCCCCCCCTCCAAATTCTGTCATAATTTTAGTGTTTATGTAGCTTAAAAATGGCATCATACAAAAAACCTCATACATGGCTGTAAGCTCAATTATCAACAGAGGTAGTAAACAAAGGAACTCCTAAGAATCGATTTTAAAATGATCAAAGTGTGACTATACATTCAAAACCCTAGAGCCACATAATCATCCCCAAAATGAACTGTTTTAATTTTAAAAAGTTTAAAAACACAATGACAATGAAGCACTGATATGCCTTAGGAACAGTCCCAAATCAGTGCTGACTTAAAGCTAAGTCCTCTCTTTCCAAGAAAAAGAAAGCAGAGAACAAAGTTCAATCTACAATGGGAGGGAACAGAATGAAAACAACCAAAAGGGTGCTTTCCAGCAGCCTAGGTTATTCTTTGTTTTCAGGCCACACCACTGGAAATGCTTTTCTTCTTATATAAGTCTTTTCCTCACAACCTTTATTTTTTAAAAACTGCCATCTGCTGAACAAGAGATGTCCACATTTCCACCAGCAGGTGATCCACTTCTGTGCACAGTTTTTGCTTCCTCACTGTGAGTCCTCCTTCCCCGAAAGTGCAAAGAGAGCAAGCTGATACCTGCAGGCCCCAGAGCCCCAGGACTATTCCAGCTCCACTTATAAAGCAGGGTGAAGGATTTGCTGCATTTGTGCTTCAAAGATCCAGCTCACTTTGGTTGTCCTTCTCAGTTGGCAAACTGCTCATAAAAAGCAAACTTGATCCTCTCTATGTGATGGCAAAGTTTGATGGCAGGGCCCAATTTTAAGTCCATGCATTCTTGAACAGTGGGAAGGGTAAGGAGCAACAGGGCCTGCCCATCAATTTCCTGTTAAAGCATAAAAGACAAATTATCTGTGATGTGCACATGAAAGGCAGCTTGATCATGACAGCCTCTCCTCACTTTAGCTCTGTCAAAACTGGAATCCCTATGCTTTCCTTTCCTTACTTTTTCGTCTTAGGTATCACACACTTCCTTTTAAGTGACTCCATAGTCTTCCACACTAATGAAGCTTCAGAATTAATAAAGTTTTACTGAGGACAATAAAGTTTTACCAAGGATAAGAATCCATTCCAGAGTCTCTGTCCCATAGAAATTTAGTAAACTGACTAGCCCTGTAACTGGCAACTAATTGTGCCATCTTTTTAGAGGGTTCCTTCTAAATCTGAAACAAAGGATTAACTATCAACTTCAATGTTTTCCTACTCTGTAACATTCATAAAAACCCGATAAGCTCTTGAATCTCCCTAATTTTCTAAACAAAACTTATTTCAATGTTTAAGGCCACTGACTGTGTTTCAGCAAGCTTGCCTTAAAACTTATCACCACTCTAGAGCCTAATGTGACAGATGCTATTTTTTTTTAAACAAGCAAATCATTATTTTTGAAAAGATGTGGACAATTAAGCATGGTATGCTTGATATTGGAGGGATGGAATCAAATTCTTAGGAAAAACTGGAATGCAATGATAATCTCCTTCAACTATGAAGCAAGTCTGATAAATAACTTTTTATCATCTTTGACTCCTAAAAATGGAATTAAGACAATTCTTGTCTTTTGGATCAAAACATTTTTCCTAAAACTTGTAAATAAATTGTTGACTATTACATCCATAATTTATTGCTAAAGAGACATTACTAAAAATTATAGGTATCTGTGATTACCTGGTCTAGGAATATTCTTGCTAATGGAGCACAGTCAGTGGATCTGATGAACCGCACAACGTCTGCCACACTCCACTTCAAGGGGTTACTGTCCAGGTGAAGCCTTTCAGCAACTTCGATCCTTATTTCCTTCATTCCCCACAACACAATCAAACCAAATGGTGTTACGGCTATTTTATTCTAAAAAAGTCTCTCTACCTAAATTCATAATCTTTCAAGACATGATTTAAAGTGGTCTTAGGACATGATTTCTCCCAGCAAAGATGGCAAAGACCCACGTGCATCAGGTACTCAGGAAATGTCTGTCTTTTATAATACGAAGTATCAATGGGAAAGAATTTATCTCAAAGTTCCAGCACAGATAATTTAGACAATTTAACTAAGAAAAACAGGGTGCTGAAGAGAAGGGGATGATAATTCCATTGAGAGAAGGCTTAACTAAACTACCAGGAGGAATCTTTACTGCTTCTGTTCATGGAATATTCTTAAAAAGCAATCTAGTTTTTGAACACTAAATTGTTCTTTAGTGTTATACATATGTTATAAAATGTTCATATGTATATAGTAAATAATATATTAAGCCAAATGGCTTAACCAGAATCAAAAGGATAACTTTTTTCTACAAAACCATATATATTATGAAACATATTAAAAAGGCAGTTTTCCCAAAAATAAATGACAAGCTACAAATAAGCTAGCAATGGGGCTTTTTTTGTTGTTGTTGTTAAAACAAGCAGCTACTCTGAGAGAGACTTTCCCCCTATAAGTAGATGATCTCAACTAATCCTTGAAACACATGTAAATCACTGCATTTGGGGTCACTTTACAAGAGACCCTGGAAATTCTACATAAGTCTGTATTGAAAGAAGTAGAATGTCAATATCACTAATAATCATATTCCAGATGGAAATTCCAGAGAGAAAGAAAGAAAAAAGAAACTATTTTTTAAATGGTACCTTTGGTGAAGGAGGTTTATTTTCATCGTCAGAAAATGAAAAGGTGCGAAGCTCCCTTTTTCTCCTTTGTCTATCTGGAGGCAGCGATGTGGATATCTCACTTTGGGTGGGAGAAGAGGAGCATGACTTTTTTTCTGACATTTCTGATTCTTCCTGTAGCTCATCCTGCTGCTCGGATGTACTGCCTTCACTTAGGGAATCATCATCCCCTTCATCTGGGTCATCCTCATCTTCACCCCCACTTCCCTGCAGGAAAAGGAGAGAAGTCTCATTGAAATTCAGGACATCAATCCCAGGTTTCATATGATTAAAAAAAAATAATAAAGAAAGAAAAGAAATTCAGGACAAACCAGTTCTTGGGCCACAAAACCATCTTCTATTGGCCAGAGATCTGAGTTAGAAAGACCTGCAGGTATTCTGTGTCCATACTATAAAGCAGTGGTCACTTGGCTTCAAGACATTACAGGCACATCACAGATCTCATACCTGGGGAGAGCCCGCTGGGGTATTATCAACAGATGCAGAGGAGCGTTTCTTCTTATGAACAAAAACATTTTTCCGCCTCTTTCTCCTCTTACTGGCTTTTTTCAGGGCACAAGCTAAGTTACTATGCCCACCAGGTGGCCTCCCAATTCTTTTATTTTTCTTCTTTCCGTAATAGTGTGCTAAATGTGGATGACAAAGAAAAATGAAGTAGCTTCATTATTTTTGTGTACCTCAAAACCACAAGAGATTTTATTAGCATAGCAAAAAACAGGTACATTGTATTTGATTGGGGTTTAAATTCCATAGAGTGGAATAAACAGATCTGAAGTGCACGGTTTGACTAGTACTGAATGATCCCTCCATATCAAAGTATATAGAACATCTTCAACCCAGAAAGCTCCCATGGTCCCTTCCCAGTCAGTACCCCTTACTAGAAGCAGCCACTATTCTAAACACTATCACTATAGATTAGCTTTGCCTCTATGGAACCACACAGTAAGCACTTTTTTGTGTGTGACTTTTTTTTTTTTTTTTTTTTGAGATGGAGTCTTGCTCTGTCGCCAGGCTGGAGTGGAGTGGCACGATCTCGGCTCACTGCAACCTCTGCCTCCCAGGTTCAAGCAATTCATCTGCCTCAGCCTCCTGAGTAGCTGGGATTACAGGCACACACCACCATGCCCGGCTAATTTTTATACTTTTAGTAGAGACGGGGTTTCACCATGTTGGCCAGGATGGTTTCAATCTCTTGACCTCATGATCTGCCCGCCTTGGCCTCCCAAAGTGCTGGGATTACAGGCATGAGCCACCACGTCCAGCAGCCATGTGTGACTTCTTCTACTAGGCATAATGTTTTTGAGTCGTGTGTTTTATTATATGTTTCTTTTCTATTTGGATATCTGGTTGTACCAGTGCTATTTGTTAAAAAGAATTTCCTTTCTCCCTTAAATTTCTTCATCTCTCTTGTTGAAAATCATTTAACCATGTTAAGTTTGGCTCTATTTCTGGACCCTGTGGTCTGTCCCATTGTTCTATTTTTTTGAGACAGAGTCTGTCACCCAGGCTGGAGTGCAGTGGCGTGATCTTGGCTCACTGCAACCTCCACCGCCTGGGTTCATGTGATTCTCCTGCCTCAGCCTCCTGAGTAGCTGGGACTACAGGCGTCTGCCACCACACGCCCAGCTAATTTGTGTATTTTCACTAGAGACGGGGTTTCACCATGTTGGTCAGGCTGGTCTTGAACTCCTGACCTCAGGTGATCTGCCTGCCTCGGCCTCCCAAAGTGCTGGGACTACAGGTGTGAGCCACCGCACCCGGCTTGACTATTCTTTAATGCCACACTCTTGATTATTATAACTTTATGGTTAAAAAAAGAGAGAGACTAAGTCTTCCAACTTTATTCTTTTTTCCAAATTGTTTCAGCTATTCTAGATCCTCTGCATTTTCATATAAATTTTAGAATATACATTCCAGAAATGAAACATACATATTCTAGCTGAGTTATGTATTAAAGTAATATCAAAATATAATACAATTTTGTGAAAAAAATGGAAATTTTCTAAAGGATACGAATCCATTTGACATCATTCAAATTACTAACTGGGAAAAATTATAACTGTCCTTCTAAATTCTAGGCTAATTTCAACTATATTATTGTGAAAGATAAATTCAGACAAAAGGCACAATAAAATCCACATATCTTCCCCTCACATATCTTCCTTCAGAGTAGTGTGCTTATATATGCATTTACATGAATAGTATTTTTCACTCAGCTCCTAATAATTGCAGTTTCCTAAACTAAGTGCTGAGTCTGATACAAGAAGCTAAGATAATTCCTACTCTTAAGGAGTTTACAATCCAATAAATATAAATAGAAACTAGAAGGTTAGACTTATAAGATTTTGTAATTTAAATACTGATTAGAAAGCTCGTCATACTAAGTATGGACCTTGGATCAATAGCATCAGTGGCATCTGGGAACTTGTTGGAAATGCAGATAGATACTCAGGACCCAGATACCCACAGACCTGATACATCAGAAGCTCCATTTTAACAAGATCCTTCAGTGATCTGCATGCACTATAGTTTAAGAGGCACAGATCCCTAAAAGAAATCTTTCCATTTTAACAAGGTAAAAATCCTCCTCTGTAGTGATTCTCCCAAGTGACATAGGGCTTGTAGGATTTAAGGAAAGGTAGGATCAGAATTTTGTCTTTGGGTGGCAATGCCTTGACAAGGCTCCAAATTGTAAATTTCATCCTATGTGACCCCTGCCCCAGTTTCTCAAAGAAGATAAGCAAGGACAGCGAATAGGTGCTATGACAGTTCAAGGTGAGGTTGCAACTACCTCCTCTCCTATTTCCACCTCCCCAACTAGTGTGGCTTCATTGCTGCTCTTCAGAGACACTAAGCAAGCTTCTGCCTCAAGCCTGTGCCCTTGATGCCCCCTCCCCAGAACACTCCCACCCAGCTCTCTGCACAGCTGGCTCCTGTTTCCTTCAAGGTGTTACCTGTCAGAAAGACTTCCCTGACCCCTTGCATAAACAGCACCCCACCTCCCAGCCTTCCTCACTGTCCTATTTTGCTTGCCCACCTTGCTTCACTGTTCCCCACAGTATTTCTCTAAATACTGACCCCTCTCTAAATTTCTTCCCTTGTTTGTTATCTGTCTCCCACATTAAAGGTAAACTCACTGAGGATAGGAATTTGTTTTCTTTATTGTTGTATCCCAGTGCTAGAGCAGCATAAGCACACAATGAGCACAAAATATATACTTGCAGATTGTATGAATGAATTACATATCCTATTAGATACAATAACTAATTTATATACATGCTATATATAAAAGTTGGCACACTAAAGCCCATGAGTCAAGTCTGGCCCATGACCTGTTTTGGTATAGCCCCCAAGCCAAAAATTACCCTTACATTTTTTAAAGGGTTCTTTTTTTTTGGAGACACAGAGTCTCGTTTTGTCACCCAGGCTGGAGTGCAGTGGCGCAATCTCAGCTCACTGCAACCTTCATCTCCCGCTTTCAAGTGATTCTCCTGCCTCAGCCTCCCAAGCAGCTGGGATTACGGGCAGGTGCCACCACACCCAGCTAGTTTTTCTATTTTTAGTAGAGACGGGGTTTCACCATGTTGGCCAGACTGGTCTCGAACTCCTGACCTCAAGTGATCCGCCTGCCTCGGCCTCCCAAAGTGCTGGGATTACAGGCATGAGCCACCACACCCGGCCAAAAGGGTTCTTAAAAAATGAAAACACAACACATAGAAAAAGAATATGTGACAGAAAGCATATGACCCACAACATGAAATATTTATCATCTGGCCCTTTACAGAAGAAGTTCGTGTGCCTCTGCTATATATGAATGTCTGTAAAGTAAAAAACTTTCCAAGATGTAAGGTATGGTCAGCTGCTATGGTTAACACATTGGAAAAACATGACTCACTGTATTTGGTCTTTGTAAGTACAGAACAGTTCTCAGAACACTTATCCAGAACCATCCGTGGACCGAAGAGGTTAGGACAGCATTCCAGTTTGATACAGGTTTGCCGGCAGAATTCAGTCACCCGATCTGCTGTTTTCACTATCTCAACAGTAGCCCGATAACTCTTTCCTTTATATCTGCCATTGGAAGACATCAGATGCCAAATATATTGGGCTAATGATTACCCAGAGAAAAATCAAACATATTAATACACCTAAAAAATATTTTTGCTTCTTGGAATATTCTATGTCCTTTATAGTTCAAGGGCCCTGAAAACAACAAGGAAGTTCTGCATATTGAACTTAAATCAAATTAAATCTGGTAAGCTATGACAACTAAAAGCTGAGTTATTTAAATTAGCAAAATTAAGCTCCTGCTTTCTGTTCCTAAGTTAAGGTTTTCAAATAGTAATTTCACTAACTGCTCTAAAAAGAAAAGTGACTTTTCACTAAGTCTTTCTTTACCCTTGGCAGTGATCCTCAGACTGTTATCCAAGGACCAGTATGACCTGCCAATTGCCTGCCATCCATCCATGACAAGATCAGAAAGCAAGAGTACCTGTTTATAACCTTTCACAGTAATTTGAAAAAGTAATTTTATGTCTCTTACATCTAATAACAAAAATTGTTCTTGCATTTTTATGTCTTAAATTTCTTATTTCCTTTTTGTTTTTGAGATAGAGTCTCGCTCTGTCACCCAGGCTGGATGAAGTGCAGTGGCATGATCTCAGCTCACTGCAACCTCCGCCTCCCAGGTCAAGAGATTCTCCTGCCTCAGCCTCCCAAGTAGCTGGGATTACAGGCACACACCACGACACCTGGCTAATTTTTGTATTTTGAGTAGAGACAGGGTTTCACTATGTTGGCCAGGCTGGTCTTGAACTCCTGACCTCAGGTGATCCGCCCACCTCAGCCTCCCAGAGTGCTAGGATTAGGGGCGTGAGCCACGGTGCCCGGTCTTAAATTTCGTATTTCTTATAATTCATTCTATCATATTTTATAAATGTATTGATCCATGAAAGAATGGAAATCTAAAAAAGAAAAACAAGCCTGGGCCTTCACCACAAATAGCTGAAAAAGCCCTGCCTAAGGAAACATAAGGCTTCTGATATTATCCACAGAACTGATTCTGTGAATTTTTTTTGTTGTTTTTTGTTTGAGACAGAATCTCCCTCTGTCACCCAGGCTACAATGTAGTGGCACGATCTCAGCTCACTGCAACCTCCACCTCCTGGGTTCAAGCAATCCTCCTGCCTCAGCCTCCCAAGTAGCTGGGATTACAGGCGTGTGCACCGTGTCTGGCTAATTTTTGTATTTTTAGTAGAGACAGGGTTTCATCATGTTGACCAGGCTGGTCTTGAACTCCTGACCTTGTGATCCGCCCGCCTCGGCCTCCCAAAGTGCTGGGATTACAGGTGTGAGCCACTGTGCCACGCCGATTCTGTGACTTTTTAAAGACAAGTAAAAGTAAAGAGTAAAAACAAGTAGTCCACTCACTTGGCTTTTAGGACTTCCCCACATCCGTGCCACACAGAGTCTTTGTCCAGCTGGAGCTCCCGAAGGACACGGCTGGGTTTGTAGGCTGCATTGATAAGTAAAGTGAGGACCTGAGCTCAGTTTTAAAGCAGAAACACAGATTGGGAAGGAGAAAAGCAGACCATTAGAATCTTGTCATCTCTTCCTTAAAATGTTAAGATTATTTAGGAGGTTAAATTCTAGTCATATGAATTAACAAATGTTAACAAAATAATAGTATCAGAGATATTACAGCCACCCAAAGGTGCAGATAAGAGAGTAACCAGATCCTTTTCAACATTTTTTAAATGTTACGGTCAGGAAAAAAACAGGTACCATGATTTTCAAATTGCTCCAGAACATGCTTCCAAATGCTTTCCCAGCCACGGTACACACAGAAAATTATATTTGTTTGGACCACTGTGTAGACAGCTGAGCCTTCTTGTGGCTGGAGGAGTCTGGTCCAGACGCTCTGGCTTCCCCAGATCCTGACTTGCCACCCTGAGGGCTGAAAGGTCTCTTATCTGTTACTTGCAGCATATCACACTGGCTGGGAAGAACAGAAAGCCCAGCAGATGTGTAGCTTTATCACGGTCGCTAGGTTAATGCCACATAGCCACGGCCTTTCAGTCATAGAGTAACCTCACAGTTCACTTTTGTATAGTTCTCTTCTGGTCTCTGACAGAAGACCTTTCTACCCTGACAGAGGTGAACCTGCTGTGTGAAGAGTTGTTTACGTGAATGTTTCCTAGGGAGGAGAAATAATTACATACCCTCTTCACTGTCCAAAACATGAGAAAAGTTAGTAACTTTTGATAAAACCTAGAACTGTCACATCTATGGCATGTGGCTCCCTGTAGAAATGACCATAGGAGAATGCTGTGAAATTTCCAAGTTATTTTGCTCTAGGCCAGAACCTTACCTCTCTAAGGACCAGAACACAGTTCCCAGGTCCTACACATTGAGGCAGCTCAGCAATTCTTCCTTTGTTAAGATATGGCCCTGAGAAGCAACGGTGGTTGAAGTATATCTTTGGACAGCAATATTTTCCATTAATCATAACTGGGAAATGAAGAAAAACAAATATTCAAAACAGTCATTCTCTACCCCACGTTTCCAAAGCTGAACTGCCAGGGAAGAAAAACGAAGCACATGTACCATTATATTAATATAAAGTTTGGAATTACTTATTTTGAAGCTTAACATGTTGTCTGAGAATGCTCTTAAGTAACTTACAGAGCTTATCACTCTGCTGAAATCAAAGAGGGTCCTGAATTAACATGCTGATTAGTTCCTAGGTTACTGCAAAATTGATAGAAGAACCCTATCTTCTATTAATAAAGAAAGTGGAGGGTGTATTTTAAGAACACATGAGGATTCTGGATGATCAATGATTTCTTTTCCAGGTCTTCAAAAACCAACTTTCAATCATCTATTCTGGAATATTTATAGAAATTGTTGAATATTATTGAGAATTAGTTTGTCTCCTAAAAACCACCAAACTAATATGTTGGCAGCCTTTGATGTTGTGAGAGCAATCCCATCTCTGAGATTTCTCAGAGGGCTAAAAGTATGCTGTGACCACATCTCTAAGTTTTTTTTGTACTGTGGGGTATAACTGGGTCTGGAGACCCTTTTCTTCAACTATTTGTCTGTATCAATACTGTCCTTCAATTTAATGTTTTTAAAAAATCCCCTCATAGTGGTAGGCATGTCAGCTGTTGAATGTAAAAAATTCAAAGACACTAAAATACTGCTATAAAGCACAGAGAAGCTCTTCTAATAGATATGCCTGTTAATCCAATGTTAAGGAAAGATATGCGCACACTGCCCATTGTTGATAGGATCCTGCAGTTCATAATGTTTTCTCTTTAATTAAGAATAGTCACAGCCAGGTGTTGTGGCTCATGCCCGTAATCCCAGCAATTTGGGAGGCCAACGGGGGAGCACATCGCTTGAGTCCAGTTTGAGACCAGCCTGGGTAACACAGTGAAGCCCCATCTCTACAAAAAACAAAAACAAAAACAAAAACAAAAAAATCAGCCACATGTGGTGGCATATGCCTGTAGTCCCAGCTACTCGGGAGGCTGATGTAGGAGGACAGCTTGAGCCCAGGAGGTGGAGGTTGCAGTGAGCTGATATCACTGCACTGCACTCCAGCCTGGATGACACAGCGAGACCCTGTCTCAAAACAAAACAAAACAAAAAAACGATGGTCTATCATAGTGGCCAGTATGCTGGTGCTCACATTTCCAGTTGAACCCTGCAACCCAAATGCCTCTTTTCAGAATTAAGGCACTCATACCCCTGCTGCTGGGTATGTTGGCAGCTTACAGTTCCCAGTTTTATGTCTATTCTGGAATCACCCTGAACTGGGTACTGCTCTCAGCAGGAGAGGGCCACCTTGCCCCTTGTGAGGTGGGGAGGGAGCAGTGGCTTACTTCCAATAACTGGTCAGTAAAGTGTGGCCACCACACCTGAATTAGGATCAACTCTGAGTGGTTAGATCAGCTTCAGGGCTCCCAGTGGAACTAGAAGAAACTTCTGTTGCAACTGCATCATGGTTCAACTTATCTCTCTGCCCAATCCTACTTCCTTTACTCCTTCTAAGGAGCTGTTCCCAAAAATACTCCCCAATGAAACTCCTGAATGCATATGTCAGAGTCTCAGACTCTGTTTCCCAGGGAACCTGACCTATGACAAAACCCAAACCAAAAGGCCTTGGCTGAGGTTGTGCAGAAGATATTAATGTCTTAAATTCTGTGGTTTCAGTAGGCATTCGAATGGCCAGGAAAGCATCAAAAGCAAGGAGTTACACAGTCCTAACCCTCTATGTACAAATGATGTAATGAAAAGGCAGTAGGTACAAGAGACGGAAGTACGGGTTTCTAATTTGTGAAAGACTTCAGTTTCATTTCTGGTCTTTCTACTCATAAGCTGTGTGATCTCTCTGAGCTTCGATTTCTCTTCTAGGCATTTACTAAATATCACCCAAATGCGCAATCTGTGCTAGAATACACACAGCCAGGATGCTAAACATTACACAACAAGCACGTGGAAGTTAAGAATAGTTCAAGAGAGGACCCTGGACAAAAGGCTTGAACCTCCAGCAAGGATTTTTCTCTCATTTATCAGGCATTAATTGCCTCTGGGACAATTTCTTTTTCCATTGCTTTATTTTTTTCACATAAACTGTGAAATTTATATACAAAGTATGCATATCATAAAAAAGGGTTTTAAAAAGAATAAACTTCTACCTCTCAACCATCTAGCTTAAGAAAGAACACTGCCTGGAAAACTTCAGGTTCTTTAGCTAAAGTCAAGGATGGTAACATTGGCCTTCTGAGCCGTTGGCACACAACGGTTGATCAGTAAAGAATAGCTACAATTATTAGAAATGGACGGAACTATCAGCCTAGAGATGATTATTAAACTAAACACATCTTAGACAGTTATAACTCTAAAGTCACAATTAAGAGACCCCTCTATGAAGACACATACTATACATCAAATGTACTGTTTTAAGTTATTTTCAGATATAGTCCATTAAAAGAAACTAAGTCTTCTTTTCCTTAAGATGACATGTGCTTATACCTGACTCTGTGGAGTTCAGCTCCTGATTCCTCAGGCCCTCGTGGACAGTCCTCGAGGATGGTACTCTGGGTCAAGAAAACACAGTAAAATAGTGAGATAATTCTTAAGATCAGTAAAGTGTGAGGCTTAGTTTCCTTCAAATCTAAGAAGAAAGCAAATGTGGCATGTTCGCAAAATCTGTAACAGAAGGTACTCCCTTGATGATACTTTTTTTTTTTTTTTTTTTTTTTAAAAGAACAAGGCTGGATGCGGTGGCTCACGCGTAATCCCAGCACTTTGGGAGGCTGACGTGGGCGGGTCACAAGGTCAGGAGATTGAGACCATCCTGGCTAACACTGTGAAACCCCGTCTCTACTAAAAATACAAAAAATTAGCTGGGCATGGTGGCAGGCACCTGTAGTCCCAGCTACTAAGGAGGCTGAGGGAGGAGAATGGCGTGAACCCAGGAGGCAGAGCTTGCAGTGAGCCGAGATCGTGCCACTGCACTCCAGCCTAGGCAACAAAGCAGGACTCTGTGTCAAAAAAACCAAACAACAACAACAACAACAACAACAACAAAAAACTACAACAACAAAAAAGAACAATTGTTTTTAAAACTATATATAGGGCATAATGAGCCAATGGACAGTCTGTATATAGCATTGTGATACTACATGTTCAAACTTTCTCTTCATTCACTGGGCAAAAAAATTACAAAATTTCTTGTGAGATGCTTAAATCACAAATAAACTACTCATTTTTCAACAGTCAAAGAACAGAAACTTTATATAGGGTTCGTTTTCTTCGTCCATCAGTTTTCAAATTAAAGACAAATTATGTTATTTAAAAAAAAACAGAGGCTTATTCTGTATGTAGCAATCACTGAAAAAAGGCTAATTTATCTTTTAGAATGCATCCTAACTAAAGCTTTGGATCAGTTTTGGCAACTAAGTCAAGGAAAAATCCAAGGTCAGTCTTTTTTTTCATTGTTACCTCACTTCTCTACTTGGTATAAATGTCTATGGCCTTTCTCTCCACTTCTGTTGTTAGTTTTATTACCCACATAGTTACAAAGGTTTAGGTAGTTATAGAATTTGCTATATACAGAATTGTTTCCTCCTACTCAAATTCATATGTTGAAGCCCTAGTGCTCAGTGTAACTGTATTCGAAGATAGGGCCTTGGGGAAGTAATTAAGATTAAATGAGGTCATAAGGGTAGGCTATAATCCAATAGCATTGATAGCCTTACAGGAAGAGAGGGGTCGGGGGGTGCCGGGGAGAGAAAGATTTTTCCACCATGCAAGGACACAGCCAGAAGACAGCCATCTGCTAGCCAGGGAGAATGCCCTCACTAGGAAGCAATCTACCAGCACCTTGATCTTGGATTTTCCAGCCTCCAGAATGTAAGAAAATAAATTTCTGTGGTTTAAAGCAGGGGTCCCCAACCCCAGGGCCACGGACCAGTACCCGTCTATGGCCTGTTAGGAATGGGGCCGCACAGCAGGCAAGGGAGCATTACGGCCTGAGCTCGGCCTCCTGTCACATCAGCAGCAGCATTAGATTCTCACAGGAGTGTGAACCCCATTGTGAACTGTGCATGTGAGGGATCTAGATTGCATGCCCCTTAGGATAATCTAATGCCTGATGATCTGAGGTGGAACAGTTTCATCCCAAAACCATTCCCCACCCCAGTCTGTAGAAAAACTGTCTTCCACGAAACCGGTCCCTGGTGCCAAAAACGTTGGGGACCGCTGGTTTAAAGCCACCGAGCCTGTGGTATTTTGTATGGCAGCCCCAGCAGATTAATAGAGAATTCAACACCCAATGTTTTAAAACACACATATACACACAGAAACATTTGTACTTTTAAGGTTTGAAGGCACTACTAATTAACTGTTTCTCAAAAGCTGTGTGTGCAGGTATGTTACAAACGAAGAATTTCTTGATGGGCACAAAGCCACTCCTTTGAATGTGCCTTTTCTTTTAGAGCTGTCTTCTACCCCAGCTTTATTTTTTTCCACTGTGACAAATCATACCCTAATTTACAATTTTTGCTCTTCCTTAATGAATACCAGCATGGGCACTCTTATTTTCTTTCTTTTATTCAACTATCTTAAGGCTCTAAAAGCCAAAGAAAACTCAATTTAGACACCATCTTGAGAATGCATTTTACCCTTTTGTATATAATGCCATTTTAGAAAATGCATATACTGCAAAGAGAAGTATACAAATGATCAAATGTTGAATTAAAAAATTATGCTTCCATCTGAGAAAATGAGGAAATATACCCTCTGAAATAGTTATTTTTCTAGATATTCTAACTTGTAAACTGTTCATATTATTACGTTACTTACTGTTTTTCTGGCTGAACCACTGCAATTTTCCTCTGTTTATATACTGTAGAAAGAAAAAAATATATAAATGCCAAGAAAAATAAAAAGACAAAGGAAAATTCATATGTGTATTAAGGTTACATTAGCATATTTAAAACCTGGTTCTGTGTGAGTGTGTGTGTATATATGTGTGTGTGTATATATATATATACACATATATATAGTACTATAAATTAATGCTTATGTCTGAATATCTAGACTGAGGCACATTTTCTTAGTAGGGATCTTTATACAAAGAGCAAAAATAATATTTTCAAGGCTCCCTGGGTCAGTAAGTGTTGGGAAAGCTCAATGAATAAAGTTGGACCCTTACCTCAGATCAGTGGTCCCCAACCTTTTTGGCACCAGGGACTGGCTTCATGGAAGACAATTTTTCCATGGACCAGGGGGTGGGGGGTCATTTCAGGATGAAACTGTTCTACCTCAGATCATCAGGCATTAGATCGTGCAACCTAGATCCCTCACGAGACAGTTCACAATAAGATTCTTGCTCCTATGAGAATCTAATGCCGCCCCGATCTGACAGGAGGTGGAGCTCAGGCACTAATGCTCACTCGCCCGCCACTCACCTCCTGCTGTGTGGTCCCACGGGTTGGGGACCCCTGCCTCATATCATATATAAAACTTAACCCAAAGGGGATCAAAGATCTAAACATAAATGTAAGGGTTAAAACTATAAAACTCTTAGAGAAAGTTTTATAGGAGAAAACTATAAAACTTATTCTTAATAGTCAAAAAATGGAAACAATTCAAATGTCCATCAACTGTTAAATAGATAAACAAAATGTGTCAGATTTATAGCATGGAATATTATTCAGCTATATAAAGGAATAAAGAACGGACACACACTACAACATGGATGAACTCTGAGAGCAGTACACTAAATGAAAGAAGCCAGTCACACAAGACCATGATCCCATTTATGTGAAATGTCTAGAACAGGCAAACCTATGGAGACAGAAAGTAGATTCGTGGATGCTGGAGTGGGGGTTGATTGCTAATGAGTATAGGGTTTCTTTCTGAAATGATGAAAATGTTCTCAATCTGACTATGGTGATAGCTGGTACGTCAATTGTAACACCAGAAAGCTGTTTAAAAAGGGGGAAACTGGGTTGCCACTTTCGAGGTTAGGTTGCAGAAAGACTCTGGCTTCCATCTTCCTCAACCTCTCTTGCTCTCTTGCTTCCTCACTCTGACAGAAGCCAGTTGTCATGTTGTGAGCTGCCTTACGGAGAGGCCCACATGGCAACGAACTAAAGGAAGGCTCCAGCCAACACCCAGCAAGGAGCTCAGGCCCTCAGTCCAAGAGCCCACAAGAAGATGCATTCTTGCTGCTATGGTCTGAATGTTTGTACTCTCCAAAATTCACATTGAAACTTATCCACCAATGTGCTGGTATGAGAAGATGGGGCCTTTGGAAGGTGATCATGTCACAAGGGCAGAACCTTCATGATGCAGATTAGTACTCTTATAAAAGAGATCCACAGAGCTAGTAGTCCCTTCTACCATGTGAGGACACAACGAGAAGGTGCCAACTATGGACCAGGAAATGCACCCTCACCAGAACCTGAATCTGCCAACGCCTGGATCTTGGGCTTCCCAGTCTCCAGAACTGTGAGAGATAAATTTCTGTTATTTATAAACTTCCCAGTGTATGGTATTTTGTTACAGCAGCTAGAATGCACTAAGACACTTGCCAATAATAATCTGTGTAAAGCTGGGAGCAGATCCTCCCCACGTTGAGCCTTGAGATGACTGGAGCCCTGGCTGACACTTTGAGTGCAGCCTGTGAGAGACTCAGATCCAGACGACCCACCTAAGTTGCACCCAAATTCCTGACCCACAGAAACTGTAAGGTATTAAATATTTGTTACAATAAATAATTTCCTATGCAGGAACAGAGAACCAGAATGTCATTTTTTTTCTCTGAAATGTCCAGATTAGTTTTAATTGGCAGCAGCCACACAGAAGATTATTTAACAATCAATCCTCTAACCCAGAAATAGACAGATACCTCGTGCTCGGCGAGGAGTGCTGAGGGGGTGGCCGTTGGTTTCACACCAGCCCAAAGGAAATATATCCATGGATTCCACACTCACAATACATTCAGGTATAGGCTTCTTAGAACCTGTTTAGATTTAAACAAACAAACAAACAAACAAACAAACCTTTTTTTAGACCATTAAATAACCTTCTTCATAAACTATTTTCTAGATAATGTTCTACTCTTATAATAATGCAGACACAAGTCTCTTGACACAGAAGTCATACATTTTCATGTATGATAAACATTATGAAAAAAAACTGTCTTCCATGTAAAACTGTATCAGGACCAAAATGGGTAGAGAATATACAGGGTGACACTTAAGCTAGGGAACAGCAAATAAGAAACTGGAACTACCACTGGTATCATTCAGATGGTTAATAAATATCACAGTCATTTCAGACAAATGGAAACCAAATGGCAAAGGTGACAATTTTACTCAATGAGAACATCAGTTCTGGTACTTCAGGAATAAGCCAGAAAAGAAGAACAGTGAATTCAAATCAGGAAGTGATTTGGCAAGCTGCTGAACAAGGATTGCATAAAAGTCTACATTCGATATTATCCTTGACATCCGCATTAAATGCCAATTCTACAAATCAGAAACAGTAGGTACCTTCTCAAAGTCTGACTATTTGGCAGCAGGATAAAAAAGCTGCTCAGGGCATATATGGTAACCGTAGCACTGAGTACTCACGCAGCGCCTTGCATCCACAAACCTGTCCAATTATTGAATATTACTTTTAGCACAGTTTACCATTTCTACTCTATATACTTTTTGGTTCTATTGGGCTGCAGCAACCAAAATATTATCTCTTCAATAAGCTAGGTGTTAATGTCCATGCTCATATAACTTGGTCACATCAAAATATATGCTATTTGACTTATGTTTTCCCCTTCCAGAAAATAGGGGACTCTGTAGTAAAGAATTTTTATTCATATTCATTTCCTAAAATTTGGAATTTGAAAGCCAAGGACAGGAAAATAAATATTTCGCTTAGAGTCTTGCATTACAAAAGTCTCTGAACAAGATCCCTATTTAACTAATCCATTAAGTTTAACAGGCAACATTACAGGAGTAAACAGGAAGCTCAAAGGAGAGTGGCCACAGGAAGGCTTCTAGAGTGCTGGCACTCACCCTCCAGCTGGAGCCACAGGTAGGAGCCTCTCACTGCAGTGATGGTAGCAACACACACTTCTTCAGGGAGAATGGGGTTCACCGCCTCGAGCTTCATGTTCTCCTTAAATTCATGTTCAGAAATTAACTAGAAAATGAATGAATCAAATCAATTTACTGGATTAACACAGTATTAACTCACGTGCTCAGCTAGAAAACCTTTTTCAAGTAGTACTTAATCCCTAGGTTTAAAGATAACATTTATTTTGCATTGTTTTGCTTTTTAATGAAGCAAAAGGAAAATGTCTGCCTTTCCTGGTGTTATAGGAAGTATACAGGAAGTACACTCTTTGATGTCAGATATTCCTGCATTATTGCTACTTGTATGACCTTGCTCAAGCTGTATAACCTCTTTTTGCCTCAGTTTCTTCACCTGTCAGATGAGGTTGAGAACTCCCATCTGGCTGTGCTATTACAAGGTATCAATGAAATAGTCTCTAAGGTTCTGTGTCCTGAACCAAGTGGCTATCAACACTGTTGACTCACTTCCCCTCATATAAAGCACCCTATCATACCACAAACTGCCTGGTTCATACTTGCATGTGTATCATAAGAGGCAGTTAGGATGAAGAATGTTTATCAACAGTGGGAAAGGGTCATTTAAAACAGAAAAATATCCAGCATCCGTGTCAAAATGGACAACTGAACATCTGCGTTTGAGTGTTCTCTCTTCTGACATCTAACTTAAAAACTAAAGTTGTTTTTGGTTTGCTTCTATTTTGAAGACAAAAACTTAACATCTATCTTAAGATGGATATAACAGGAAAGGAAACAACATTTTATAAGCTAAAATTTAGAACAGGGTCTGGAAACTAAGTTAAAGGTGACTCTAAGCTGGCAGTAAAGAAAGCTAAGAACTGGAAGAACTGCCAGGTACTAGGCAACTGGAGGTAGAGGAGACAGTCAAAACAAGGAGGATTTGTTGAAAACATTTAAGAAACATTTAGGTTATGCCATTGGCTCCTCGACTCCATGCATTAGGGAAACCATTCCTTCCTCTCCCCTACAGAAGGTGAGATTTATCCTCTGGACAGGGTAAAAGAGAAGATGCCTAGGTAAGAGGACACAAGGAACTGCTGAGGGCATGTATGTCGTGACCAAAACAGCGGTTAGCCTATGGACTGCTGAGAGGCCCAGCCCTCCGCCTCTACCCACCAGGCAGGGGACTAGAAGATACTTCTTATGGTGATATGATAAGCCCAGGAAGAAACACATAATGATATGGATTCAGGTTTCCCCAACAAATGGCCAATCAGATTCCACCCTATAGGAAAGTTCAAGGTTGACAAGCTCCATCTACCTGCTCAGAGCTTTCAATCAGCTCTTCCTTTCAGTCACCCATTCTTAAATATAGCAACAACCAAGAATTACCAGACACCTAAGAAGATGAAAGTTAGGACCAAAACAGACAAGCAACTTGGAAAAAGCAGTGATTATGCAAGAAGAAAACTTCCCAAAAGGTGTGTGTGTGGGGGGTGGATTAATTAACAGCCTCTGAGAGATAAGAAAAACTATTGCATCCTTAGAGCAAGAATAGTATGATATTAAAAACAAAGAAGTACCTGTAATCCCAGCACTTTGGGAGGCTGAGGCGGGTGGATCGCCTGAGGTCAGGAATTCAACAGAAGCCTGGCCAACATAGTGAAACCCTGTCCCTACTAAAAATACAAAAAATTAGCTGGGTGTGGTGGCGGGCCCTATAATCCCAGCTGCTAAGGAGGCTGGAGAATCTCTTGAACCCGGGAGGTGGAGGTTGCAGTGAGCCAGGATCGTGCCATTGCACTCCAGCCTGGGCAACAAGAGCAAAGCTCCATCAAAAAAAAAAAAAGAAAGAAAGAACAAACGAACGAACTATTCAGAGTTCCAGAAAATAAAAAACATGATGTCAAAAATTAAAAACTCAAAAGGAAGGCCGAAAGACAAAGTTTAGGAAATCTTCCAGAAAATAAAGCAAAACGACTAAGAAACATAAAACAGGATAAAAAGATTTAAAAAGCAGAGGTTTGATCCAGAGGGCCACAACCAAATAAAAGAACTTCCAGAAAGAGAAAAGAGACAAAACGGAAGGAAGGAAATCAAAGAAGTGATTTAAAAAAAATTTCCCAACACAGAAAGGCATGAAGGTCCAGAAAGAAAGTGCCCACTGAGAACCTAGCACAGCGGATGAAAACAGGCTCGCATCAAGGTTCATCACTGTGAAAAGTGGTTCTATACCTTCCAGAAAGGGTCGGGGGAAAAGCAGGTCATCTACAAAAGAACAAAAATAAAAATAGCTTTATAGCTTTTAACTTCTTGATAGTAACACTAGAAGTTAGAAAACAACTGAGCAATGTTTTCCGAATTCTCAAGCAAAATAACTTCCACATTGAGCCAAACTATGAAGCAAGTCAGTAGAGTGAAGACATTTTCAAATATACAGTGTCAAAAAAAATTTACTTCCCTTGTACCCTGTTACAGGAAGGTACTGAGAGATGGGGATCCATCAAAACAAGGAAGCAAACCAAGAAAGAGGAGGCCATGAGATCTCTACAAAACAAGGGACCCCAAATCATACAAAAGGGGAGTGGGCAATTCCCTGGGTGACAAGGGCATTTCCATGATTAAAACTACATGGCAAGGCCGGCACAGTGGCTCACACTTGTAATCCCAGCACTACGGGAGGCTGAGGCGGGAAGATCATCTGAGGTCAGGAGTTTGAGACCAGCCTGGCCAACATGGTGAAACCCAGTCTCTGCTAAAAATACAAAAATTAGCCAGGCATGGTGGCGGGCGCCTATAATTCCAGCTACTCAGGAGGGTGAGGCAGGACAATCTATTGAACCCGGGAGGCGGAGGTTGCAGTGAGCTGAGATCGTACCACTACACTCCAGCCTGGGCGACAAGAGCAAGATTCTGTCTAAGAAGAACAAAAAACAAACAACAACAACAACAACAACAACAAAACCCACAAAAACTACATGGCAAACCTTTAAAGAGCAACCCATCCAGACAGAGAGTGGAGGTTGCTAAGAGGGATGTCTCTTTAACAAAAGTGTTAGGAATGACAGATTTCTTGATGTGACTGCTTTTGATAATGAGAGACTACTGGGAAGTGTGGACAGCAGCAGCAATAGATAAAATTAAGTAAATTAAAAACAAGGCAATTATTATTGAGGATAAAAATTTTTAAAAAGAAACAATCATAAAATACTGCAGTGCCAGGTGCAGTGGCTCATACCTGTAATCCCAGCACTTTGGGAGGCTGAGGTGGGCAGATCACTTGAGGTCAGGAGTTCGAGACCAGCCTGGCCAACATGGTGAAACCTCATCTCTACTATAAAAATGAAAATTAGGCGAGTGTGCTGGTGGGCGCCTGTAATCCCAGCTACTTGGGAGGCCGAGGCAGGAGAATCTCTTGAACCCGGGAGGCGGAGGCTATAGTGAGCTGAGATCGTGCCACTGCACTCCAGCCTGGGTGACAGAGCAAGACTCTGTCTCAAAACAAAACAAAACAAAACTGCAGTGCTCAGCTGTAATATCTGAATGCATATCATAATGTAAAAACTCATTTTGTATTTAACCAAAAATTGTAATATAACTCTAAAGGAAGAAGAATGTGGTAAGACAGAGAGGAAAGGTAATAAAAAATAATTAAATGCTCATTTATCATAATTTAGAACCAACAGACTCAGCACCATAAGACAGGGTGAATTTAATTTGTTTTAATAAAGTCAAAGTTTTTAAATTAGAACCAAGTGACATGTCTAAAATAAATGACTCAAAAGATAGAAGGTTTTTATTTTGAAAATGAAGAAATACAAATAACTAGAATTACAGTGAGAAGAACAGGAAGTAGTTATTTCTGGGAAGGGAGACTGTGAAACGGGGTAGGGCAGGGACTGCTATTTTACCTTCTAAGCCTTTTACTGCTACATGGCTCTTTAAACCACATGCATGTATTATTTGGATAGAAGAATTTAAATAAGCTTAACAATTTTTCTCCACTTAATATTTCAACAGTTTTTCCTATTATTGAACCATGAAAAATAATCATAAAATTTCAAATTCACGATTTCAGCTAAGAAAAAATAAAACCAATAAACTTATAAAACTAACTTAATTAGCAAACTAACTGATTCACTTCTGCAGTAAATGTATTTTCCTTTAGACCATGTGATTACAATCACCACTGTGCTCATCTGGATTAAGTGAGATGATTATCTTCAGAGCAATAACATGGAAAGCAAGGGAAGCACAGCAGTCCCTGCAGCCCTGCCATAGTGGCCATGAGGCCGTGGGGGTCCTCACCGGAGGGAAGCACCTCTGGGGAGCAGCTTCAGCACCACACTGTTTGAGGTAGTCAGCCCAGTCAAAGTCCTGGCTTGGGTAGCCTAGGTGGGGACAAATGAACAATGAGTCACACTACCACACCACATACGCCTGCCTGGCTTCACCCCTCACCAAGGGTCCACTCACAACTTCCAGTGATGCTAGTCTGACAACTTTGATCATTTTAGAGGGGCGAAAAGCATTCTATAAATCTAGAGCACTGTTAATTTTATAAAATAGAGCAACTCTGGTCAAACTGTAATAAGACAATCAGACTCTGGATAAATTTGTAAACTTTCAAATTTCAAACTAGGCATTTATTTTGAGCACTATTTTATATGATTAGTTGCTGGCAATTTACCAAAAGAATTTAAGACAGTTATGACTGGATTTGATTTGTATATATAAATCCACTCTTATTGTCAATTCTAAAGGGACTCGGGCTCTCAAGGAAAAGAGACAGCAAATAGTATTAGTTAATCTGCAAAGACGAAGACTTTTTTTCTTTGTTAAAGCTGTTTCCTGAAATGTGTCTCAGATATCACTGATACAAATCCTCTTGTCATTTTCAGATTCATATATTACAGAATATCAATGCTTTTATAATCTAAATCATGTATTTATTTCAGAAAAATCAAGCTTAGCACCCCACTTAAGTCTACTGAGGTTCTTGATGGAAGCATCTCCAAGCTGCTGCTGACTCAGCACCATCTACATGCAAAGAGCTGAGCGAGGCCCAACTGCCTACTGTGTCTGAGTTGCTCTCAGCCTCCAGAGAGCTTAATGTCTCACAGGCAAAAAAATAGGCTACTCAAGTCTATGCCCTCTGACAGCCCAACAGTCCCTGCCTACCGAAGACTGGCACCATGTTCTCCCTTTGCCCCAACCTCAATGCCTGACAGTACATTTTCTGCCATTTTCAGTTATGTAATCTACTACCTTCCCTCTATTTACAAAGACACAGTTGATTTGTCTATAACAACACTGAAAGCTTCAGTATTTTTAACAACTGTTCCTTCTTTTTCACATAGAGGTGGCAAGCAGAATAAAGAACTTGGGATATCTAGAGCGTGCCTGCAAAGCAAGAACTTCCTTCTATGGCTGTTCTACACCACACCCTCCAACCAGGCATTCATCTGCTGTGTTCACTGATGGAGGAGACTCTAGGAAGTTCTGTTAATATTTCCCCCTATTTGCCCCTTGAAGGGACCGAGTTGTACTCATTGAGCTTGTCACTCTCCCCAGGGATAAGCTCAATGCCTGGCTTACAGCAAACTTCACATGAATGTTTGTTGAATGAATAAAAGCTGAATGGAAGACAAAGGTTCTGAGTTTATGACCCTTGTTAACAAGAAAGAGTACTTCCAGCCCAGTGTTCCAGCAGTCACCATTTAGAAAAGTGATGCTATGCTTTACTGAAAACCTACTAATAACATATATAGACTGCCAATCAAATAATCTGATTTGCTAATATTAAAAAATCAGATAAACATCTGACATATTCTAGATTCTCTAAGTTTAAAAATATTAAAAATTTCAGTCAAGCTCAACTAACCCATTAATTAAGGGCCTTGATTAAAGGATCAAAGACTATATTTTGCAAAGTTGCAAATATCAGGAAAATGAGCTTTTATTTTCCTACCTACTCCCTGAGTTCTACTCTTCACCATAAACTTCTCTGTAGAAAGTCCCCTCCATGACAAGGCTCAGACACCTAAAGATAATCAGTAATCTACCTTCTAACTCTGGCTCTACGGCCTCTTCTCACAAGCCAGCCCCCAGTGCTTGCTGTGCATCCAAGCTCACCCCTCTGCCACCCCTAACAGACATAAAAGGGACTAAGGAGCCAGCACGAACCCAGGTTGGAACCTGGTTTTCCAGGGGGTTATGAGGACATAGATATCAAAGTCAGAGGATAGAACGCACTCTCTTTAACAGTTTTTTAGCTCAGTTTGTAACTTTCAAATATGTAAATACATGGAATCTAGACCTTTCCTTATACTTTTCTCAGACCCCAAAAACGTTAGGAACAGGCTAGGGCAGGAGGAGAGGGACAAAAGATTTCAGCAATGCCATCTGACATGTCTCATTTCAAGGAGAAGCTCTCAAGTGACAATTCAGAAGACAGCGAATGTGCACCTGGAGGGGGGCTGATGTGTAGGCCATTCTTCAGACTCCACTGCACAGGGAAGATGCCAGGACTGTCGGCGTGGCACACAAAGGATCGCCGTGCGTGGTTCTCAGGACGCAAGTCATCCATTTCCACCAGAAAGTACTTCTCATCAAAAACCTATACATGCAATTAATAGATGAAATAGACAAATGCACACATATATATGTGCTTTCTCCTTGGCACAGCCAAACATATTACAAAAGTTCATACTCATGTGGGTATTAATAATACTAAACACTAAATGTTAGCTCTGTGTTATGTAATACATATAATTACTGTTTTAATTAAATGCTTTTCATGTATCAATTCAGTTTTAATCTTAACAACTGAATGAGGTAAGTACATATACATATATATACATATATACATATATATACATATATACATATATATACATATATACATATATATACATATATATATATATATACACATATATACATATATACACACACACACATATATATATAGTTTGTTTGTTTTTTTTTGGAGACAGGGTCTTGCTCTCTTACCCAGGCTGGAGTGCAGTGGCATGAATTTGGCTCACCGAAGCACTGCAGTCTTGACTTCCTGGGCTCAGTTGATCCTCCCACTTCAGTCCCTTGAGTAGCTGGGACAACAGGCATGCACCACCATGCCCAGCTAATTTTTTTTAATTTTTGTAGAGACTCGGTCTCCATATATTGCCCAGGCTTGTCTCAAACTCCTGGGCTCAAGCAATCCTCCTGCCTCAGCCTCCCAAAGTGCTGGGATTACATGCATGAGCCACCACACCTGGCCCAAGTACCTTTATCAACTCCATTTCACAGATAAGGAGAATGAGTTCAAACAGAGGTTAAATAACTTGCCCTGGGTTACAAAACAAAGAAGAAGCAAAACCTGGATCCAAAGCCATGTAGTTTGGCTCCAAACAAAATTTATTCTAAGCTTAGTGACAAACTTAGTTTAAGCTTATGCTACTATGTATTAGTTTTTCAAATCCTAGCCCAGTTTCAAATGCCAAAGAACGAACTTTATTTATTTATTTATTTAGAGACGGAGTTTCGCTCTTGTTGCCCAGGCTGGAGTGCAATGGCACAATCTTGGCTCACCGTAACCTCCGCCTCCCGGGTTCAAGCGATTCTCTCACCTCAGCCTCCCGAGCAGCTGGGATTACAGGCATGCACCACCATGTCCAGCTAATTTTGTATTTTTAGTAGAGATGGGGTTTCTCCATGTTGGTCAGGCTGGTCTTGAACTCCTGACCTCAGGTGATCTGCCTGCCCCGGCGTCCCAAAGTGCTGGGATGACAGGCGTGAGCCACCACACCCGGCCAAAGAGATAACTTTATGAACTTCCTCTGGCTTCCCACTAGCCCTCCCTTCAGACTCTAGGTAGGGCCTTCTGGCCCCACCTGCAGGCTCAGAATCCCTCCTTGCTTTGAGAATAATCTTCTTCCAAGACAGGGAAAACTTAAATCTCAATAGGTCAGAGGATTTAGCACCCAGGCAACTATTCCTCTAGTCACATTCAACTTTGGCTTCTATTTTCAGTAAATGTCCTTCTGCTCTAGTTGGAAACTGAAATTCTCTCGCCAATGCCTCAGTTGTAGTGACTGAGCAGGGCCTTGATAACCTTACTTCTTAGTTTTGTCAGTATTCCAAAAGATTAAATCTGAATCTGGAATACATAGCTGGAGCCAGTCCACTGCCAGAACTTTTAACACTAACTGCCTGATCCCCATTCATCTCCTCATTCCAATGAGCTCTGCATCTGGTTAGACGTTGATGAGACTGCCTGCCTCCAACTTTACAGATACCCTGGCCTCCTAAAGGAGTTAAATCTCCTTTACTTATATGCAGCTAGGCCTGCCCCAAAGAATGCGTCCCCTACTAGTCCAGTGCCCAGGCCCAAGGCTGCTTTGGCTAGGGCTACCAAGCTCTGAAGGAGGAATGGGCCACAGCAAACTGGACAAATACAAAACGTGCACAGAAGTAATTCTAGCTGCACGGCCTAGAAGGAAAAATGGGTTGGATCAATAGAGCTTAAAGATCAAAACACTACCCATTTCCTAAACCAGTCACCTTGACAGGGATTCTTACCAAGAGAGTTATCTCCATTTTACCTTAACAACTGTAGCAGGAGAGATCCCAAAAGGAGACCAGGGGTCTACAGCTTCCAATTTCATGTTTACAGAGAATGTATGAATGCCAATAACTTGTTTGTCCTGAAATGCAGACACCAAAAGGGGATGAAAACATAGTATCTGTATCAATCTTACACTCACATGTAGCTGTGATTAACAGAAATGTCCAGCTCTGGTAAATCCTATAGTTTTCTTCTTTTTTTTAAATGTGCAAAACTATCCAATATAATTTTCTACTCTGGAAAAAACTATCCAGGAAAAAACAAAACACACAGAAGTGCTTCTACTCTCTACATTCAAAGACAAGGAATATCTGGAGAAAAAAACAAATTTATTTTATCAGTTAAGACTATGTAGTTAAGGGTAAAAAAGAAAAGGTTCAAACTACTTTAGGAGAACTTGGGGAGAAAATCTAGACAACTGTTAGAAGAAAACAAGGATGATCATCAGTCCAGCCTTAACACACCCTCCTCCTTCAGAGACCATGGCATTCTTACCGACTGCAGGGGCTGCTTTACACTTTCACCTCCTGCGTTGCTTTACTCTACTGTAAGGGGAGCAATACCGGTCTATCACATGTTTTGTTTTTACCTTAAATAAGTAAGATGGTAATGGCTCTTCCTCTTCCTCTTTCACTTTGGCCAAAATCTCTTGCCACTCAGCTTCATTTTTTAGATGTCTAATGGCTTTAATAAAACATGACAACATGCTTTAGATGATGAGAAACTTATACTTTTTACCTGTCCTGAAAGCATTCACATAAACAAAAACAAGTCACTTTCCACTGGAACTAGAAAAGGGTTCAAGCCCACTTATATCCCTTTACATTCAAAGAACTTGCACCTTAACTTCAGTACTTTGCTCTATGCAGAGCCTGGACAGCTTGGCTCTATGAAAATACCTACAGTAAGATCATAATGATTGTTGTAATCCATAAAATTGTAATATAACATCCAAATTGGGGCACATAATAATAAATGCAAATTGATTTAAACAGTAACTCTAGAAATACCAATATTATTGGTATTTCTTTTAATCAACAATTTGCTGTGACCCAATTTTCTATGTACCTAGCTAAATGCTCCCTAGATAATTTTTTATTTTATCTTGGTCAAGGGTCAGTATGGGTTGGCACAGTAGTCTATGAGGTATATCAATATGTGTGGTAAATTATAAAAGCAATAAAAAGAAAAGAAAAGTAGGCACTTGGCCAGGTACGGTGTCTCACGCCTGTAATCCCAGCATTACGGGAGGCTGAGGTGGGCGGATCACTTGAGGTCAAGAGCTCGAGACCAGACTGGCCAACATGGTGAAACCCCATCTCTACTACAAATACAAAAATTAGCCGGGTGTGGTGGCATGTGCCTGTAATCCTAGCTACTGGGGAGGCTGAGGCACAAGAATCGCTTGAACCCGGGAGGCGGAGGTTGCAGTGAGCTGAGATCATGACACTGCACTCCAGCCTGGGTAACAGAGCAAGACTCTGTCTCAAAAAACAAAACAAAACAAAACAAAAACCAAAAGCAGAACAACAACAAAAAAGAAAAATAGGCACTTAATTTAACAACTCCATATAAACTGTTTTGTAATAGCTCTATTATGAGAACTAACAAAGGTTTTCATAATATGCAGAATATATTTTTTCAGCCTCATAGATATTAATAACATAGCATGTTAATGTCACAGAAGAAAAATGTCCTATTACTCTTCACCTGAAGGGGGCTGAAGCTCATATCCCTGTTGAGCAGCCCAACCAACGTGATGAAGAAATGGATCCAAGTAATACAACCAATGTTCATAATTGTCAGAACTTTCAAGTCCTTCATAACGTAGCTTCAGCCTTCCTCCAATGTTTTCTACTACAGTAACAATCCAAGTGCTTAAAGAGTCCTGGAAAGCTTGACATTCTAGTCTGGATCCTGGAGCAATGAGATCTAAAGGATTCCTCCCATTACGGAGCTGTAGGATTAAAAAGTAAAACAACCCAGTAAGAGAAATTAACATAATATTTTTGAAAAGCCAACTTATAAATGATCTCAAACCAGCCTTTGTATTTTTTACCCATTCAAAAGCCAGTGACACTAAATTGTCTATCATCATACAAGCCTCTTACAGTATTATTTCTAGGAGATATGAAAATGTTTATCTTAAAGAAAATCTACCTATAATGCAGTAAAATTACTCTAACACATCTCTATCTCTAGGACTATGTTATGTAGTTTCATTTAGTAAGAATTTTTAAAATATCATCATTCCTCATCTATTATAAAACAAATATGGTCCAGGCATGGTGGCTCACACCTGTAATCCCAGTACTTTGGGAAGCTGAGGTGGGCAGATCACTTGAGGTCAGGAGTTCGAGACCAGTGTGGCCAACATGGTGAAACCCCGTCTCTACTAAAAATACAAAAATTAGTCGGGCATGGTGGTAGGCACCTGTAGTCCCAGCTACTTGAGAGGCTGAGGCAGAAGAATCACTTGAACCCAGGAGGCAGAGGTTATGGTGAGCCAAGATCATGCCACTGCACTCTAGCCTAGGCAACAGAGCAAGATTCTGTCTTTATAAAAAATTTAAAAATTTAAAAAAAGCAAATATCAAAATACCATCATCATCATTAAAGAGAAAAAATCAAACAAAAGTCAAAGTCAAAGTCACCTGTAATCCCACCTCAAAGAAAGAACCACAAGAAACACTTTGGCATACACTCTTTTTCTCCATACAAGTCAATATCCACCTCTGCCAGTCTGTCTGTTCCTATTTTTTGAAAAATGGAAACACTGTATACTGTTTCTTAATTTGTTCTTCATTTAGTACATCATAGGTATCTTTCTATAATAGCACATATAACTCTTCCTCATGTTTTATAGTATTTTATGATATTTTACATTGTAAATGGGCAATAATTTATCCAGTTACCTACAGATAGTATTTCAGTTGTTTCTGGTTTTTTATTGATGTCACAACAATGTTCAAATGAACAGAGTAAAAGCTTTTGATTACAGTGATGGAAAGGAAAAGTTTAACTCTCACTATCTAGAAGTATATTAAAAACTACAATAAAGAAAAGAAATTCATTATCAAGTTATCACTTAATCATTTCTAATACACAACCTTACATTTTTTTCCTAGTAAAAACTGCTCTGTGACACTTACATATCCAGATATGCAAAGGGACATATGAAAAAGTGGAGGAAAAGATTTAGAGCTAAAAGTCAGCATGGCAGAGTCATGGTCAAAAAAGAGTAGAATAGTTTATCAATTCATCCATTCATTAAAATGTTACTGAGTTTTTAGTATGTATAAGGCCCTGGCTAAGCATAAATAAATGAGTCAGAGTATAAAAAATAAAAACCAGTTTGAAATAGAGTATTCACCAATCAAAATTTAAAAGGGAATGTGAATGGATGACAGAAGTAAATGTAACCATAAAACTCTTAGAAAATACAGGAGTAAATCTTCTTGACCTTGGGTTAAGCAAAGCCTTCTTAGATATGATACCAAAAGCACAAGCAACAAAAGAAAAAAAGATAATCTGGATTATATCAAAATAAAAAATGTTTACGCTGCAAACAATAAAAAGACAAACCATAGAATGGGAAAACATATTTTCAATATTTTGAAATGCATGTATATTTTGAATGCATAATACATTCAACTCAATAATAAAAAGACAACCCAATTTAAAAATGGGCAAAGAAATGTCTCCAAAAAGGATACAGAAATGGCCCATAAGCACAAAAAAACATACTCAACATCAACAGTCATTACAGAAATGTAAATCAAAATGAGATGCCACTTCATACCCACTTAGTCAGCTATAATAAAAAAGATAACAAGTGTTGGCAAGGAAGTAGAGGGATGGGAACCTTCATACATTGCATTTCACATATGCCACAAATAATTTTACCAGTATGACAGAAAGTGACAAGATATAACTTAGAAATGTCATAACCAATAAATCCATTTCACAAAATCAAGAGATCTATATTCACTAACAAGCTTAAAGGCCACACTAATTTAAAAGGACTGCTGAAAAGCAGGTGGAAGGCAGAAGTGCAATAGATCCAATGTGTTCCAAGCAAAAAAAAAAAAAAAAAAGGGTGGGTTGGGGGGACTCCAAGTCACCTGGTGTGGGAGTTACAAATGTCCACCCTCAAGCAGAATCGACCTCTGCTCAGTTTCAGAGTGAAAGCCCTCAGAAGGTCCTATTTTCCAACTGTATAAAAGAATCTGGGAAATTAGATTTTTTATGTGTTAGCAACTAATTCAGAAAATATTTAGGCACTAAGCAAGCCACCAGTTTGCAACCTCTGAGGGTAAGTTTAAACTTCCCAATACCTATGCCTATGTCTCTAATAATAACGTTTATTTTCTTCAGAGTGGTAAATAAGCAACCGATTTTAAGATTCTTTGAAAGATCAGATGGGTTTTCCATGCTGATGTGGCATGTAGTAATACTCACGCCCTCTAGCAGCGGAACAGGAGGACTACATGCTCCTATCAGGGTCTGCCGCAGAAACTCATCCCAGTCAGATACTTTATCTCTGATGCCTAGATGAGGGAATAAATGACTGATTACTCAAAATGCCAGCCACAGAATGCAGAGAAACCGAAATCAGTGGAGATGGTTTAAAGGTATTTCACATTTTAAGATCTAAGAGTCCAACATACTGCTTGAGAGCTTGAAAAGATAAAACAAAATAAAACCAAAAATGCTTCTCTAGATGGAGCTACTTTCTGGTTAGTTTATTAAGAGTTGTATACAAAACAAAGAGAATAGTCCCAACTACCTATTCCTATAATTTTACCCAGAAGGTACCTTACTTTATTTTTTATGATGGAAACTTTCAAACATACAAAAAGAAAAATGATCTAATGAATCCTAAGTGCCCTGGCGTCAACAACTGTCACCTCATGGCCAATCTGTTTCATCTAAACCAGGATTTACAAGCTACAACTCGAGGGCTTAATCCAGCCTGCTGTCTGTTTTTGTTAATAAAGTTTTACTGGAACATGGCCATACCCATTTGTTTACATATTGTCTGTGGCTGCTTTCACACTACAAAGGTAGGGTTTTAGCAGCTTTGACAGAGATTGTATGACTAGTAAAGCCTAAAATATTTACTATCTTGCCCTTTACAGATAATTTGCCAATGCCTGGCTTATACCCTCACACTCCACCCATGCCCAACCAAGGATCAGTTAGAAGACAATTCCAGATAGCATATAATTTCATCCATATATATATTTTAGTACATATTTCTAAAAGAAAATATTTTCTTACAAAACCACAATAACAACATCATACCTTTAAAAAATTAACAATAATTCCTTAATATCAAATATCCAGTCTATGTTCAAACTTCCCCAATTGTCTCATAAACAGTTTTGTCAATTTGTTTGATTACATCAGGACCCAAGTGAGACGCACGCATTGCAAATGTCTCCTTGATTTCTTTTCATCAGTAGGTTTCTTCTCCTTCCTCCCCTCCCGTGTCCCTACTCTCTCTTTTTTTACTCCACATTTATTGAGACCTGGCCTTTGTTCTCTATGGAGTTTTTTAGAGTCTGATTTCATTGGTTACGTCCCTGTGGTGACCAGTTGTTCTACTGTTCCCTGTATTTGCCATAAATCAGTATTTAGAGCTAGAAGCTTGATCAAATTCAGGTTAGACTTTGCGGGGTGGTGAGGGTGAAAGAATACTTCACAAGTGGAATAAGTTATACCCTTCCCTCAAGAGCATGAAGAGGCACATATGGTCTGGCTGTCTCTCCCTTTGTGACATTAGCAGCTTTTAACGGTTACTACATAGATGCACTGATTCATTACGGGCTCAATGGTGATATTCTAATTGTATTATTCCTTCTTCATTTACTAACCAAAGAACTTCCATAAAGAAAAATTTCTCTACATCAACTATTTGATTATGCTGAGGTAGATTTCATAGAAAGAAGGCTTTCTTTGAACATATACTTGATTGTCTTTACTCTTTCTCTATATTTACCACCCTTTAAAATAAACAGTTGATTGGCAGGCATCTTCCAAGAGTGGCTAATGAGGGTTTTGTTTCAAAATTTCACTATGAAGTCATACATTAAAACAAATACATTTCAAGCCATTACAGCTGTTGTCCTTACGACACTCTATCTTCAACCAGAGGCAGTCTCTTCAGGTTGGCTCCTGAGACCTTTTGGCATGACACTAGTAAAGAGCCACTGATAACTTTTTTGCTTTTTGGTATGACAAGATGTTCCAGGATCATCTAGGAAATTGCCTGACCTAGTGCAGGACTCAGCTACTTCTGCAAGAAGCCCCAGTTTATTTCCATGGAAATGGTATTTAGAGACCTGGGCATGCTCATTGTCACTGGGTTAGTGTTTCTCGGCCTTTTCAGTGTCTAGAGTTAATGCATTTCTTCTTCTTCTTACATCACAATACTTCCAATACAAATTCAGAAAGATAGTGCTTTCATTTAACTCATCCATCTAAGCTCTATTTCCTTTCTATAACGCTGAAAATCCTAGTTCTCAATTACACATTTCTTTTTTTTTTTTTTTTTTGAGACAGAGTCTTGCTCTGTCCCAGGTTCACGCCATTCTCCTGCCTCAGCCTCCTGAGTAGCTGGGACTACAGGCGCCCGCCACCATGCTTGGCTAATTGTTTGTATTTTTAGCAGAGACGGGGTTTCACCATGTTAGCCAGGATGGTCTCGATCTCCTGACCTTGTGATCCGCCTGCCTCAGCCTCCCAAAGTGCTGGGATTACAGGGGTGAGCCACCACGCCCGGCCACACATTTCATTCTTTATTTGCTTTTGCCTACCATATACAAACAACTATTTCAAAGTAACAACATTAAGTCTACCACCAACAGTAGGATTACTAAAAATAGGTTAAGATTTTTTCTTTGCATTTTTTTTTGTTATTGTTGTCCTTAGAATATATAACCCTAACTGGGGACATACTTTCATATTTTACTGTATTTTTAAGTCACTGAAATAGCTCCTCTTTGTGTGGTTATCCCATAAGCTCCATATACAGTTAGGTTTCCTTGATTTTTAGGAATTGCTTTCTAAACATTTAATTTTGCTTTCTAGTTGCATAAAATATTTACAAGGTTCAAAAGTCAAATCTACAAAATAAAATAAGGTACATTCATAAAATTTAGCTTCTATTCCTACCTCCTTCATTCTTTTCCCTTCTTTCCCCATAGGTAACTTTTTTCTAAATGATTCATTCTTTTTTTTTTTTGAGACGGAGTCTTGCTCTGTTGCCCAGGCTGGAGTGCAGTGGCACGATCTCAGCTCACGGCAACCTCCGCCTCCCGGGTCCAAGTGGTTCTTCTACCTCAGCCTCCTGAGTAGCTGGGATTACTGGCACACACCACTACGGTTGGCTAATTTTTGTATTTTTCGTAGAGATGGGGTTTCACCATGTTGGCCAGGATGGTCTTGATCTCCTAACCTCGTGATCCACCCGCCTCGGCCTCCCAAAGTGCTGGGATTACAGGAGTGAGCCACTGCGCCTGGCCAACGATTTACTCTTTTATTTTGAAAAAAATAAGTTCACACACACACATTTGTATCATCATATCCTTGAGCTCTCCTCCTCCTCAAGTCTGTACACATTTTTCTTTTTTTCATACAATAACATATCCTGAGCCCACTCCTTGGTTGTATGCAGACCCTCCTCCTTTTTATTGCTGTCTATAGCTGCTTTTCTTACAAAGTATCCTTTGTCAGCTATCAAGACTGACAGCTGGTTTCTTTTCTACTGGCAGTTGCCTGTACATCTTTGTCCTTTTATTTTTACTTTTTCGTAGTCTCTCTGCTTAGGTATGTCTCCTATACAGAGGACAAGAGTGGATTTTGCTTTATGAGGCAATCTGAATTTATTTGTTTACTTCTAATAAAAGAGTATGCCCAGTAACACTTATTGATATTATTAATATGCATGGCCTAAATTTCATATTGTTAAATGTTATATACTTCGTGTATATGTAGTTTTTTTTACTATGTGATCTATCCCGTTTACACATATAGTTTCTCTTTCTAAGTCTCTTTCGTCATATAGAAAGGTTCTTATTTTTGTTCTACGGATTACCTTTATATAACACTTTTAGTCCTCTCTATTTTTGGACTACTTTCTATTTTGTTGTTGTTGTTTCTATAAACAATACTGAAGTTAGCTATAAGCCCTTCGTTTTCTCTCCTTCAGCATCTCATTTCAGGTACTATCCTTTTACTCCCAGTTAACATTTAAATAGTTATATTACATGGCAATAAAGCTGTTTTTTTTTTTAAGACAATTAGTGGGCTTATACAACTATTCACGTTTTCCCCATTCTTGTCCCATATTTTTTATAGTAATAATGTAACTACATTTTCAGAGCATACAGCTATTATATACCACAGTGTCTCCCTTACAACCATCATTTAGTTTAAGTTCTATAGCTATACATATATTTAATGTTTCACTACCATTTCCCATGCTAATGTTACCTCATTAATTTGCTCAGCTGAAGCTCATTCCCTAGTGGACGCCTTAGGAAGGGCTCATGGGAACAATATTACTTAGTTCTTACCTGTTCGTAACAGTTTGCATATAGCCTTTAGATCTGAAGTTCAGTTTGGCTAGATATAAAATCCCTGTCTCATATTTTCTCTTTCATTACATTTCTTAAGTACATTACATTCCATTGTCTTTTGACATAAACCATTGTTAATAACTCTGATGAAAATCTTGTTTTCTTTCCTCTATAAGAAACTTGGTCTTTCTCCTAAATAGCCGTGGTATTATTTTTTGCTTTAAAGTTCAATACTTTCATTAGAACAATTTTGATGTAGCTGCCCTCATTTGATTTTCCTACATACATAGTAATCCCTTTCAGTATGTATTACAAGGCCTCTTTTATTTCTGTAAGGTTTACCTGAATTATGGTCCAGCATGGTAGCCGGACTACACCTGCAATCCCAGCACTTTAGGAAGCTCAGGCGGGCAGATCACTAGAGGTCAGGAATTTGAGACCAGCCTGGCCAACATGGTGAAACCCCCTCTCAACTAAAAATATAAAAATTAGCTGGGCATGGTGGCATGTACCTGTAGTCCCAGCTACTCAGGAGGCTGAGGCAGAAGAACTGCTTGAACCTGGGAGGCAGAGGTTGTAGTGGGCCGAGATCGTGCCACTGTACTCCAGCCTGGGTGACAAAGAGTGACACTCTGTCTCAAAAAATAAATAAATAAATGTTTACCTAAATTATAGTTTATAGTATTTTATTGTTTCATTGCTTCAGTTTTCTTCTTCAAGGACTTCTACTGCAGGTATGTTAAATCATTTTTACCTAGCTGTATAAGGTGTTTCTCAAGTCCTTTTTATTTCTTTGTTTGGTTTTTATTTTAAAATTTCTTTCCTTTTTTTCATCTGTTTTTCTTCAGATAGTATCCATGGTGCTGACTCATTCCTGTGCTCATTTTAACTAAGTCTTCATTTTCAATATTCTTTTATTTCCAGTTCTTGCCTAAGTTTTACTTTTTCTCTTTTCAAATCTTCCCTTTTTTAATCCTTTCATTTCTGAATGTTTATAAATTTTATTTATAATTTTTTTCACTGTTTCTATTATTGTTGCTACTTTTTTGTTACCTTATTTTGAAATGTTTTTATCTGACACAATGTTCACCTCTTCTGTGGTTGTTTCTACTCTTTTTTCACTGTAATAATCTTGTATGAGATTCAACTGAAATCCTTTTCTGTTGTTCACATTTAAACGAGATGCATTTTCCTACATACGTTAGGATGAGATGGTAGGCCAGGTGGCTTCATGTCTCTAGAGCTCTCTCTTCTATTGTTACTCACAAAGTAAAAAACCTTCACAAAGGAGAAGCCCACAGACATCCCAGGACCCTAACACTCAGATCTTCGTTTCCAAATACCATTCTTCACTAAAAGAAAAGACTTCTTGGGGAAATGGCTGATTTCAGGGCTGAGACAGCAAAATGCTTCTTGAGCCAAAAAATAAGAAACTGCTTAAAGAAAAATAAGGACATATTAAAAGGATACAGTAGCCCGCTTGAAGGGGTAACCACTCACCCAATCTAGGACAGTTTCAGGATCAAAAGAAATATAAAGTAAAGGATTATAACCCATTAAATAAGATCAGAATCATGAGTCTACACTGATAAACATACCTACATATACACATACATACATAAATGGAGGAAAGGGGGAAGCTCTTTCTATAGTATAGTAGAAAGCCAATTAAGAAATGTAGAAGAAATTTTTTAAAACACCATTTGGTAATTATTGAAAAAATAATTGTTTCAGATAAAATTTATAAATGGATACTAAGAATAGTGGGTTAAAGTGTGAAGAGTAATGGGATATTTTCATAATCTCCAAGTATCTTCCAACAAGACACTAACTAAAAAGCAAAAAATAATACCTTTACGATGAAAAAACTTGGCATATACGAACCTAATCAAGTGATGGAAGTTAATTTTACCTGTAATAAGGCAAATCAATAGCATGTATCTTCTGATATCATGCACTGGAAGGGCACAGCTTTTGCATTTTTCCTACCAAAAGTGAACAACCTGAATGTAAGGAAGCATCAGACAAACCCAAATTGTGGGAAATCTGACAGAATGACTGGCCTGTACTCTTCAAAAATGTCAAGTTCAAAAAAGAAAAACAATGGTTAAGAAAACGAGAGAGACACGACAACTAAATGCAATGTGATTCTAGACAGGAATCTTGGACCAGGAAAAGAAATACAGCATAATGAACATTATTGGGACCAGGATAGAATGAACATTGGGAAAACTGGCCTGTAACTTTCAAAATATCAAAGTCATGAAAGACGAAAAACCCTGAGGAACTGTTCCAGATTATAGGAAACTTATGAGACATGACAACTGAATGTAACACATGATCTGGGATTTTTCTTTAATTAAAAAAGAGTTATTGGCCAGGCGCGGTGGCTCACGCCTGTAATCCCAGCACTTTGGGAGGCAGAAGCGGGCAGATCACCTGAGGTCAGGGGTTCAAGACCAGCCTGGCCAACATGGCAAAATCCCGTCTCTACTAAAATGCAAAAAATTAGCTGGGTGTGGTGGCGGGTGCCTGTAATCCCAGCTACTTGGGAGGCTGAGGGAGGAGAACTGCTTGAACCCAGGAGGTGGAGGCTGCAGTGAGCTGAGATTGCGCCATTGCACTCCAGCCTGGGCAACAGAGTGAGACTCTGTTTCAAAAAAAAAAAAAAAAAAAAAAAAGTTATTGGGCCAGGTGTGGTGGTTCATGCCTGTAATCCCAACACTTTGAAAGGAGGAACGCTTAAGACCAGCAGTTTGAGACTGGCCTGGGCAACACAGCGAAACTCTGTCTCTACAAAAAAGTTTAAAAATTAGTTGGGTATGGTGACACACACCTGTAGACCCAGCTACTTGGCAGGGGTGAGGTGGGAGAATCACTTGAACCTGGGAGTTCAAGGACACAGTGAGCTAGGATCACGCCACTGCACTCCAGCCTGGCTGACAGAGCGAGATTCTGTCTCAAAAAAATAAAATAGAACGAAATTATCTTAAATGTTATTGGAATAGCTGGTAAAAACTGAATAAGGCCCAGGCATGATGCATGATGGCTCATGCCTGTGGTACTAGCTATTAGGGAGGCTGAGGCAGGATAATCACTTGAGCCCAGGAGTTGGAGACCAGTCTGGGTGATATAGCAAGACCCTGCCTCAAGAAAATAGAAATGAAAATAAAAACAAAAATACTAGAAAGTGATATAAATATAAAAATAAGACCATGTTTATTAAACAATGTTCCTTTTAAAAAACTGAGTACTATCTGTAAACAGTATTGTATCAAAGTTAATTTCCTCATTTTCATATTTTACTGTAACATGAATACCTTGTTTTTAGAAATACATACAGTATTTTTGAATAAAAGGGCATCATGTCTAAAACTGACTCTCATGTGGTTCATTAAAAGAACATGAGTAAAGCAGTGGAGACAAGATAAAGTAAACATCATATATGTCACCATTAACAACATTTGGAAACACTTGGCAAAAAGTCTCCAATAATTTTCCATATGATTCTCATAACTTTTTGGTAAATCTGAAATTATATCAAAGTAAGAAGTTAAAAGAAAAATACCAAAAGTCTGGTATTTTCTTTCTTTTGAGACAGAATCTCACTCTGTCACCCAGGCTGGAGTGCAGTGGCGCGATCTCGGCTCAATGCAACGGCCGCCTCCTGGGTTCAAGTGATTCTCCTGCCTCAGCCTCCTGAGTAGCTGGAATTATAGTTGTGAGCCACCACACCCAGCTAATTGTTTTGTATTTTTAGTAGAGACGGGGTTTTGCCATGTTGGCCAGGCTGGTCTCGAACTCCTGACCTCAGGTGATCCAGCCGCCTCAGCCTCCCAAAGTGGTGCCATTACAGGCATGGGCCACCCCGCCCAGACAACTCACGTATTTTCTTAAATCCGGAGTCCTCTTATCTTTCCCCACCTTTATCTCACCCTTCTCTTTCTTTTGCCTTTATTGTCTCTCTTCTGCTTAATTTGGTTTTTACTCCTTCTGGAATGGTGCTTGATTTAGTTCATTTAAGAGTTCCTAGTTACCAGATTGCTTGAGGGTATGAGGAGAGAGGACAATAAAAACAAAAGAAAATCAACAGCACATCAGTCTGGCCCAACGGGCTTAAAAACAACCAGATCTACAAATCTCAAACTCAGAGAACCTCACAGTCTGAAAGGATGATATGCAGCTAGTGTTCCCTATGAGCATCATAAAAACCTGAGGCTTTATGTAGCAAAGAAAATAATTTTAAAAGACAGGGAAATGTGTATTATTCCTTATAAATATTTTCACTCAAAATGCTAACCTAGAAAAGCTGGGTAAACCTATATGCTCGAGAGACTTAAAACCTCAAGACTGTGGACAATCCAAATTTTCTTACAGTAAAATCACGTCACGTCTTGATAGGAAGTATTTCATTACCTTCTGGGGCTTCAAGGGTCTTCTTATTCTGCTCACACCACCCAATGGGGTAGAGATCAGCCTTCCTGATGTCACACCAGAAATCTGCTCTCCGATCCTCCCCATAGCCATCATAGCGGAGAAGGAGCAACTGCTCACAGGTAGTGATAACGGTGGCAACCCAGTAGGTCTCAGGATCTGTTCTCACAGCCACCTCCAGCTTCATCCCAGGAGCAAATCCATTTTGCAAACGTGTGTCCACCTTAACAGGGAAATGTTATTAAGCACCAGACAAGTATCTTAAATGAGTATTTCTTTGACCAATGTTCTTTTTTAAGACTTACAATTCCGAAGCACTAAATGCAATAACATCTCAAGGAAAGCCTGAGAAATTCCAATTCTAACTTACAGAAGCAATCCAGATAAAACAAACGAATAGCAATGCTGCTCTGTTCCATCTGACAATGAAGGAACTCAATATTTTCACCAAAGCAGTCTATTATGATTACAGAAAATGCTTCCTATTAAGTATATAAATTACTAGTCACCATTTTAATAGCTTTCAACACATTGTTTACAAGAATGATTTCTGCATCAACCAACAGGAAATTTATGATGCTAGAAAAGTGAGAAGACAAAAATAAACCATAATGATAATAAATTAGTACAATATGTACCATATACAGGGAGCCATATTTCCCAGTTTCCCTAAAAGTCTATGTTTCCACCAATTACTCTTAAATAATAATTAATAACATCCCCCCTTTCCCTCTCAAAAGTGTTCTAATTTAGATGAAACATTATATGGTCACAAAGGTCTGGGTTAGCAAATCTGGAACTATTAATACTTTATGTGTATACTAACATTAAATAAATATACTATGAATAATAAGAGCCAGGTTTCTCACCATGGGAAAAAGAAGTGACAAATAAGCAAAGGGAAGCCTGTGGTGTTGGACTGGAATCAGATGCATCTGAACAGGGACATGATGATGGATTGGTAGGCAGATAGAGACAGACAGACAGGCAGATAGATGGATGGATGGATGGATAAAGAAATGAACGAATAATAGAGATGGAGACAACCATACACATGTATTTCCCAACTCTGTGAATTGAGAGGGACTAGAAATAATGACATGTAGTCACAGTAAGCAAATATAGTGTACAAATTTTGATTTCTTTCTTTTCTTTTTTATTTTTTTGAGACAAAGTTTCGCTCTGTTCACCCAGGCTGGAGTGCAATGGCGTGATCTCGGCTTACCGCAACCTCTGCCTCCTGGGTACAAGCGATTTTCCTGCCTCAGCCTCCTGAGTAGTTGGGGTTACAGGCGCCCGCCACAACATCCAGCTAATTTTTTGTATTTTTAGTAGAGATGGGGTTTCACCATGTTGGCCAGGCTGGTCTTGAACTACTGACCTCAGGTGATCCACCCACCTCAGCCTCCCAAAGTGTTGGGATTACAGGCGTGAGCCACCAGGCCCGGCCTCTTTTTTATTTTTTTAGACAGGGACTGGCTCTGTCACCCACACTAAAGTGCAGTGGTGCAATCTCGGCTCACTGCAACCTCAAGTCATCCTCCCACATCAGCCTCCTGAGTAGCTGAGACCCCAGATGTGCGCCACCATGCCTTGTTAATTTTTGTATTTTCTGTAGAGACGGGGTTTTGCCATGTTGCCCAGGCTGGTCTCAAATTCCCGATCTCAAGCAATCTGCCCATCTTGGCCTCCCAAAGTGCTGAGATTACAGTCATGAACCACTGTGCCTGGCCCAAATTTTGATTTCCAAATACCACCTTCCAATTAAAAAAAAAAAAAAACAAGGACTTCAGGGAAAAAAGCTTATTCCGATTCTGGGATAGGAAAAATACAATTAGAGCCTGGAATATCTTGTGATGCCAGAAAGTAAGGAAATGATCAAAAAATTATGGGAGTATGTTGAAGGAACATACAAGACAACTAGAAGGATCTCACTGGCTACATCTGGGACAATTTGAGCAATAAAATAAATAGTGAGAGTAATGCATTATAACTAATAGATTTAAATAAGTATCCATGAGTCCACACTGATATAAATTAGGGGAGAGGGGACAGATCTTCCTTAGAGTAGAAAACCAGTTAATAAATATTGAAAAAAAAAGATGGAAATAGAAAATCACTAGTAGACAAACATCACAGAAATAAACATTGCAAGAGCCGGGCGCGGTGGCTCACATCTGTAATCCCAGTACTTTGGGAGGCCGAGGCAGGTGGATCACGAGGTCAGGAGATCGAGACCATCCTGGCTAACACAGTGAAACCGTCTCTACTAAAAACACAAAAAAAATTAGCCAAGCATGGTGGCGGGCGCCTGTAGTCCCAGCTACTCAGGAGACAAAGGCAGGAGAATGGCATGAACCCGGGAGGCGGAGCTTGCAGTGAGCCGAGATCGCACCACGGCAGGCAATCCAGCCTGGGCAACAGAGCGAGACTCCATCTCAAAAAAAAAAAAAAGAAAAAAAGAGATAAACATTGCAGGCAAGAATTATTGATGGACTCTAAAATACTATGATGAGAAACAGGATATCTGCAAAATCTCAAAGGTTCTCCCAGTAAGATTCTTATTAACTTCAAAGGGGAAAACAGCAACATTACAGTGAAAAAATCTGGCAGATGCCACGTAACTAACCAATCAAAGTTTGCATCAGTATCATGCAGCCTTGATTTCATACAAGTTAACTGCAATATCATTCCTACAACATTATTACCAAATCTGCACAAATTCAATCCAATCATGAGAAAAAAACAAATCCAAATTGAGGAATATTCCACAAATAGTTGACATGCAATATAGGCTCATCAAAAGTGTCAAGTCCATAAAAGACAAAGAAAGAACGAGGAACTGTCATATACCAGAGAAGACTATGAAGACATGACAAATAAATGCAATATGGCAACCACAGCCACTGGAAAATGCAAGTGGAATCCTGGAGACAGCCAGAGAGGGAAAGTCCCACATTCTGTGTAAAAAGTCCTCCCCCGCTAGTCACTACCTGTTCTATCACTATCCTAAACACTATGGTTATATTGACTATGTTTCCACACTATGTTAATGAAATTATGCGGTATGAATATTTTTTGAGTGGAGCTTCTCTTGTCGAACATTACTTACGAGATTTATTCATGCTGTTGCATGTAACAGTAGCTTACTTCTTTTCACTACTGTGTAGTATTCCACTATATGAATATGTCACAATTTATTCATTCCACTTCTACTAGTTACTAGCTATTTGGGCAGTTCACAGTTTTGGGAAGCTACAAATAATGATGCCATAAACATTTTTGCTTGTCCCTTGGTACATACATACATGAATTTCTAAAATACATAACAACCAAACTGTTTTCCAAAGAAGTTGTACCAATTTAGTTTCCCAATAGCATATGAGAAATCCTTTTGCTCCATTCCTTTTTTTTTTTTTGAGACAGAGTCTTACTCTGTCACCCAGGCTGGACTGCAGTGGAGTGATCTCGGCTCACTGCAAACTCCACCTTTCAGGTTCAAGTGATTCTCATGCCTCAGCCTCCCAAGTAGCTGGGACCACAGGCACGTGCCACCACACCTGGTTGATTTTTGTATTTTTTGTAGCAACAAGGTTTCACCATATTGGCCAGGCTGGTCTCTAACTCTGGGCCTCAAGCGATCCACCTGCCTCAGCCTCCTAAAGTGCTGGGATTACAGGCGTGAGTCACCACGCCTGGCTCCTTTTGCTCCACTCTAACCAACATTTTTCTATTTTCAGTCTTTTTCACTTTTTTTTTTTTTTTGAGACAAAGTCTCACTCTGTCGCACAGGCTGGAGTGCAGTGGCGTCATCTCTGCTCACTGCAAGCTCCGCCTCCCAGGTTCACGCCATTCTCCTGCCTCAGCCTCCCAAATAGCTGGGACTACAGATACCCGCCACCAAGCCCGGCTAATTTTCTGTATTTTTAGTAGAGACCGGGTTTCACCGTGTTGGCCAGGATGGTCTCGATCTCCTGACCTTGTGATCCGCCCGCCTCGGCCTCCCAAAGTGCTGGGATTACAGGCGTGAGCCACCGCGCCCAGCCCCTTTTTTCACTTTTAACCATTTTGGAAGGTGTGTCATGTATCTTATTGTAATTTTAATTTGTATGATCTGATTATTAATCAAGTTGACAACCTTTATATTTATTAGTCATTTAGATTTCTTTTGGGAAATGCTTAAGTTCCTTACCCATTTTTAAATTCAGTCTATATTGTGGGCATCAGTTCTTTGACAGTTGTGTTGCAAACATTTTTCTCATTTTCACTATGATGTCTTTTGATAAACAGAAGTTCTTAAATTTATTGTAGTCTAATTTATCAATATTTTTCCTTTAAAAAGGTAGTGATTTTCTATATATGTATTTTTTTTTTTTTTCCTCGAGACAGCGTCTCCTTCTGTCGCCCAGGCTGGAGTGCAGTGGCGCGATCTCAGCTCACTGCAACCTCTGCCTCCCGGGCTCAAGTGATTCTCCTGCCTCAGTCTCCCAAGCAGCTGGGACTACAGGCATGCACCACCATGCCTGGCTAAGTTTTGTATTTTTAGTAGAGATGGGGTTTCACCATGTTGTCTAGGCTGCTCTCGAACTCCTGACCTCAAGCAATCCGCCTGCCTCGGCCTCCCGAAGTGCTGGGATTATAGGCGTGAGACACCGCACCCAGCTGCTTTTTCTGTATTTTTAAACAAATCTTTTCCTATCTTTAAAGGTCATAAGGATCATAAACTATATTATTATCTAGGAGCTATCATATTTAGAACTAACATACACCTGGAATTAATGAAGTTAATATGAAGTTAAATATGGGTAAGGGTTTATTTGTTTCAACATGTGTACACAATTAAACCAGCACTTTTCCCGACCACTATAAGTCATCAACTTTGTAATAATCAAGTGTCCCTACAAAAGTGGATCTGTTTCTGATTTACTTTTCCTTAAAGTAGCACTATACTATCTTAATTAAACTTGATATCTAGTACAGCAAGTCTTCTCATTTTGTCTTATTCTTTAGGTGTGTCTGGCTACCCTTGATCCACGATATATCCATATAAAAATCAGAATCAGCTTGTCAATTTCTACCTAAAATTTTATATATATGTACTTTTTGAAATTTAATTTGTTTGCAGTAAATCTACAGACCTAGTTAGGGAAAACTGGTATCTTTACAATAGTGACTCTCTCATTACATGAACAAGGTGTATCCCTTCATGTATAATGGTCTTTATTTTACATCAGTAATGAATTGGAGTTGCCTTACAATTATTATTATTATTATTATTATTGTTATTATTATTTTTGGAGACCGAGTCTCTCATTCTGCCGCCCAGGCTGATGTACAGCGGCACAATCTCGGGTCACTGCAACCTCTGTCTCCTGGGCTCAAAGGATCCCCCCACCCCAGCCTCTGATGTAGCTAGGATTACAGGTGTGCTCCACCATGCCTGGCTAATTTTTAATTTTTTTTTTTTTTTTTTTTTGTAGAAAAGGTCTCACTATATTGCCCAGGCTGGTCTCGCATTCCTGGGCTCAAGCAATTCTCCCACCTTGGCTCCCAAAGTGCTGGGATTACAGGTGTGAGCCACTGCACCCAGCATCCTTGCAATTTTTTTTACATTTAATCCTAGACATTTTATGTTTCTGATGTTACTGCATTTTCATTTAGTTCCAAATATTTCAAAGTTTCCCGAGACCGCTTCTTTTATCCGTGTTATTCACAAGTGTGTTGTTTAATCTCTAAGTAACTAGGGACTTTCCAGCTATCTTTCTGTTATTGATTTCTAGTTTAATTTCACTGTGGTTTGAGAGCACACTGTATGATTTATATTATTTTAAATTTGTTAAGGTGTGCTTTATGGGCCTGGGTGTGGTCTATCTTTGTGAATGTTCCATGTGAGCTTGAGAAGAATGTATCTTCTGCTGTTGTTGAAGTAGTCTATAGATGTCCATTATATCCAGTTGATTGATGGTATTGCAGAGCTCAACAATGTCCTTACTAATTTTCTGCCTGCTGGATCTGTCCATTTTCGATAGGAGGGCGTTGAATTTCCCGACTAATAATATTGAATCCATTTGTTTCTCCATGCAGTTCTACCAGGTTTTGACTTGCGTATTTTTACATTCTGTTGTTAGATGCATACATTTTAAGGACTGTTACGTCTTCTTGAAGAACTGACCCCTTTATTATTATGTAATGTCCTTCTTTTTTTTTTTTTTTTTTTTTTTTTTTGAGACCGAGTTTCACTCTTGTTGCCCAAGCTGGAGTGCAGTGGCATGATCTCGGCTCACCGCAACCTCCGCCTCCTAGATTCAAGCGATTCTCCTGCCTGAGCCTTCCTGAGTAGCTGGGATTACAGGCATGCACCACCACGCCTGGCTAATTTTGTATTTTTAGTAGAAACAGGGTTTCTCCATGTTGGTCAGACTGGTCTTGAACTCCCGACCTCAAATGATGCACTCATCTCGGCCTCCCAAAGTGCTGGGATTACAGGCGTAATGTCCTAACATTCCTTGCTTTGAAGTCAGCTCTGTCTGACATTAATACAGCTAGGTCTTTTTTTTGTTAGTGTTAGCATGGTATATCTTTCTCCATCCATTTACTTTTAACCTATATGTCTCTTTATATTTAAAGTGCTTTTATTATAGACAACATATAGTTGGGTCATATTTTTTGATCCACTCTGATAATCTCCATCTTTTTAACAGTGCATTTAGACCACTGACATTCAAAGTGATTACTGATATAGTTGGATTAATATCTACCATATATGTTAGTGTTTTCTATTTGTTGCCTTCTTCTTTGTTTCCATTTTGTCTTTCACTCTTTATCTGCCTTCTGTGGTTTTAAACAGGCATTTTATATTATTCCACTTTGCCTTCTTAGCATATTATATTTCTTTTAACTGTTTTTAGTAGTTGCCCTAGAGTTTACAATATACATTTAAACTAATCCAAATCCAATTTGTGATTTTAAAAAACCCTTATAATAACAATTCTAATTCTGCCATTTCTTCCCCTGTATCATTGCTACCATTTATATATGTAAGCATGCCTTAGCATATATTTATACATAAGCATACATAATCAAATAAATTGTTGCTGTCATTACTTTTTTTGTTTGTGTTTTGAGATGGAGTCTCGCTCTGTTGCCCAGGCTGGAGTGCAATGGCGCAATCTCAGCTCACTGCAACCTCCGCCTCCCAGATTCAAGCAATTCTCCCGTCTCAGCCTCCCAAGCAGCTGGAATTACAGGCACCCACCATCATGCCTGTCTAATTTTTGTATTTTTGTAGAGACAAGGTTTCACCATGTCGGCCAGGCTGGTCTTGAACTCCTGACCTCAGGTGATCCACCCGCCATGGCCTCCCAAAGTGCTGGGATTACAGGCGTGAGCCACCGTGCCCGGCTGCTGTCATTATTTTGAATAAACTGTTATATGTTCCCTCAATAAAGAATAAGAAATATTAGGCCAGGCATGGTGGCTCATGGCATAATCCCAGCATTTTGGGAGGCCAAGGCAGGAGGTTCCCTTGAGGCAAGGAGTTCAAAACCAGCCTGGGCAACATAGCAAGACCCATCTCTACCAAAATATATATATATTTTTTTAAGTTAGTCAAGCATGGTGGTGGGTGTCTGTAGTCTCAGCTACTCTGGAGGCTGAGGCAGGAGGACTGCTTGAGCCTGAAGCTGCAGTGAGCTAGGATCACACCACTGCACTCCAGTCTGGGCAACAGAGCAAGACTCTTATCTTAAAAAAAAAAAAAAAAGAAAAATCCAAGGTTTTCTTTTACATTTTAAAATTCCTTCTCCAAAAAAAAAAAAAAAAACACACATTCCTTCTCTAACACTCTTTTTTCCTTCCTCAGAAACCATGCAAGCAAGGATAGAGAGGACTGAAATAGTTAAGGCATTTAAAGCAAAAAGCCACTAATTTAGAGCTGTGTATCAAGCAAAATTATCCTTAAAAAGTACTAAAGATTTTCTCAGGCAAACAAAAATTAAGGGATTCTGTCACCAGTAGACCTGTCTTGCAAGAAATATTAAAAGAAATTCTTTTTTTTTTTTTTTGAGATGGCATTTTGCTCTTGTTGCCCAGGCTGGAGTGCAGTGGCATGATCTTGGCTCACTGCAACCTCCGCCTCTTGGGTTCAAGTGATTCTCCTGCCTCAGCCTCCTGAGTAGCTGGGATTACAGGTGCTTGCTACGACTGGCTAATTTTTGTATTTTTAGTAGAGAAGGGGTTTCATCATGTTGGCCAGGCTGGTCTCGAACTTCTGACCTCAGGTGATCTGGGCCGAATTAAATGAATAGGTTGGGCTATTTAACTGCAGCAGGAACATGCCCTTAAAGACACAGATTGCTCATGCTTTAGTTTGTGTCTAAAGAATGCCTTTAAGCGGTTTTCTGCCCTGGGCGGGCCAGGTGTTCCTTGCCCTCATTCCCATAAACCCACAACCTTCCAGCTTGGGCGTTAGGGCCATTATAGACATGTTACAGTGCTGCAGAGATTTTATTTATGGCCAGTTTTGGGGCCAGTTTATGGCCAGACTTTGAGGGGCTTGCTCCCAACAATGCAATATGAAATAAAATCCTTATCTGAAATATGTAATTCTCACCACTTTAAGAGAGATATAAATGAACAAAGAATAATCAAAAAGGGCAGCTAACATGACTGAGTTTTTACACACGGAAAACTAAAAATAGTGGGACTCGCTGTGCATGGTGGCTCACGCCTGTAATCCCAGCACTTTGGGAGGCTGAGGCGGGCGGATCACGAGGTCAGGAGATCGAGACCATCCTGGCTAACACGGTGAAACCCCATCTCTACTAAAAATACAAAAAATTGGCCGGGTGTGATGGCGGGCGCCTGCAGTCCCAGCTACTCGGGAGGCTGAGGCAGGAGAATGGCAGGACTCTTTAGCATATAAAGACAACAGCTAAAAGAATATGGTTTATATTCACAGACAACACTGACTGTGCATCAGTGTCTTCACAAATCCTAGAACAAAAGAAGTATGCCCTACTGAACATTGCTATGGGCTAAACTGTTCACCCCAAAATTTGTATGTTCAAACCCTAAGCTCCAGTATGACTGTTTGGATATAGGCCCTTTATGAAGGTTGTCTTAGTCCATCTGGGGTGCTACACCAAAATATCTTAGGCTGGAAAATGTATAAACAACAGAAATTTACTGCTCACAATTCTGGAGGCTGGAAAGTCCAAGATGAAGGCCCCAGGGGATTCAGAATCTGGTGAGGGTTCACTTTCTGCTTCAAAGATGGTGCCTTCTTGCTGTCTTCACATGGTGGAAGTTGAGCAAACAAGCTCTCTCAAGCCTCCTTTATAATGGTGCTAATCCCATTCATGAGAAAAAACCTTTATGGCCGAATCACCTCTCCAAGGCCCCACCTCTTCATACCAACGCAATGGGGATTAGGTTTCAACATATAAATTTTGGGAGGGCACAAACATTTAGAGGTCATAAGGATGGAGCCCTGATCTAACAGAATTGGTTCTTCTTCCTTTAAGAAGAGACACCACAGAACTCTTACTGTTTCTACCATGTGAAGACACAGCAAGGTGGCAACTATCTGCAAGCCAGAAAGAGGGCCCTCACCAGAAAGCAGCTACACACCTAGGCTTTCAGTCTCCATAACTGTGAGAAGATAAATGTCAGTTGTTTAAGCCACCTAGTCTATGATATTTTGTTATGGCAGCCCAAGCAGACTATGACAAATATGAAATAAGTAGTTTTAGAATTAATTATTCTGTGTGTTTTAAGAGGGAGTTTGAGTAAACAGGTTAAAAACTAGGTCTAGGATGGGCACAGTAGCTCACGCCTGTAATCCCAGCACTCTGGGAGGCCAAGGCAGGAAGATTGTTTAAGCCCAGGAGTTTAAGACTGGCCGACATGGTGAAACACCATCTCTACTAAAAATTAGCTGGGTGTGGTGGTGTACACCTGTAGTCCCAGTTACTTAAGAGGCTGAGGTGGGAGGGTCACCTGAGCCCAGGGGGTTGAGGCTGCAGTGAGCTATGATGGGCGATGGAGTGAGACACTGACCCCCTACCCCCCTCACCAAAAAAAAAACCTAGGTCTAGATATAAATTATAAACAAAATTTGGGGTACTTTCTTACATTCTAAAGTCATTACACAGGGCAAATATGTTGTCATTGACAAGGCATTAAACTGGGTTGTTAGGGCATAAAACCAGGCTGCACAGGCCACTAATATGACATGTAAATATGCATGTCATACTTATGTTCTGCTCAGTAAGAGTGACAGCAAATAATGCTATTGAAATTACTTTCAATGAATGCAACAAAGTAAATGTAACAAAGTACAATAATTTTTTTCAATTTATGACAAGGTTTTTTGACAAAAGTAAAGGAATATTCATAAATGGTCAAAAAGATAAGTCATGCATTGAGTAGCAGAAAATACACAAAACCAAAAAGGATTTTAGAATATGGCAAGTGTGACCAGGCACAGTGGCTCATGCCTGTAATCCCAGCACTTTGGGAGGCTGAGGTGGGAGGATCACGCGGTCAGGAGATCGAGACCATCCTGGCAATGGTGAAACCCCATCTCTACTAAAAGTACAAAAAATAGCCGGGCGTGGTGGCAGGCGCCTGTAGTCCCAGCTACTCGGGAGGCTGAGGCAGGAGAATGGCGTGAACCCGGGAGGCGGAGCTTGCAGTGAGCCAAGATCGTGCCACTGCACTCCAGCCTGGGCGACAAAGCGAGACTCCATCTCAAAAAAAAATAAAAAAATAAAAAAATAAAGAATATGGCAAGTGTTCTTACTAAGGGTGGCAGGAGGAAAGAAAAAGCTCTTAAATTACTTCAAGTACCACAAATTAAAATAACTTTAAATTCTCTAATGATAATACAGAGATTCGAAATAAAGGGATATAACACCAGTAAGGCAAATATAGTTATTGCTTACATGTTTAAAAGACCCATAGGGAACTGCTGTGGACCCTGTTTCTTCTAGATAATCTTCCCAGCTTAATTCTACCTCTTCCATACCAGAGCCGGCATCTAGAATTAAAAATAAAACAAAAACAGGTGAATCCCAATTAAAGAAAACTCAAGGTATAAAAATATAAACTTAATAAACCTAACTTTACAGAATTTACTTCACAACTGATTTTGCACAAAAGAATTAAGTGGGGTTTTGTTTTGTTTTGTTTTTGTTTTTTAAATGATAGGTGCCCTTAGTGCACTGATTGTCAACGAATCTTCACAGAACAGCAGTTTGACATGCTATCTCTTGCTGAAGAGGCACCCAAATCTAGAGTTCACCCAAATGGATCACATAAAACTGGTAGGAGTATAAACCATTACTATCACTTTGGACTGAAATTTAGTATTCTAATGTCAAACATTGAAGACACTTAATAAGCATTTCAAACTTAAATTTTCAACTTGATCCTTTCTTAGTACTCTCAGAGTGAAAGATACTCCTAGTAAATATTTTACCTTAATAAAAAAAAAAAAGTGTCATTATCCTTGCCCCCCTCCCTTTTTCTCCATACCTTATATCCAATCCATAGAAGAATTCTGTAGGTACTATCTTCAAAATATATCCAAAAGCTAGAAAGATCTCCTAACGTCACGACTAAATCAACTAGAGAACCAAGAGCAAACAAACCCCAAAGCTAGCAGGAGACCAGAAATAATCAAGATCAGAATAGAACTGAAGGAGATAGAGACACGAAAAACCCTTCAAAAAAATAAACAAATACAGGCACTGGTTTTTTGAAAAAATTAATAAAATACCTGTAATCCCAGCACTTTGGGAGGCTGAGGTGGGCAGATCACTTGAGGTCAAGAGTTCAAGACCAGCCTGGCCAACATGGTGAAACCCCGTCTCTACTAAAAATAAAAAAATTAGCCAGGCATGGTGGCACATGCCTGTAATCCCAGCTACTCAGGAGACTGAGTCAGGAGAACTGCTTGAACCCAGGAGGCAGAGGTTGCAGTGAGCCGAGATCGTGCCAGTGCACTCCAGCCTGGGTGACGGAGCGAGACTCTATCTCAAAAATAAATAAATAAATAAATAAATAATAAAATAGAACACTAACTAGACTAATAAAGAAGAAAAAAGAGAAAAATCACATGGACACAATAAAAAATGATAAAGGAGATATCACCACCAATCCCACAGAAATACAAACAACCATCAGAGAATACTATAAATACTTCTATGCAAATAAACTAGAAAATTTACAAGAAATGGATAAATTCCTGGACACATACACCCTCCCAAGACTGAACCAGGAAGAAGTTGAATCCCTGAATAGACCAATAATGAGTTCTCAAATTGAGGCAGTAATGAACAGCCTACCAACCAAAAAAAGCTCAGGACAGATGGATTCACAGCACATTTCTACCAGAGATACAAAGAAGAGTTGGTATCATTTCTTCTAAAACTATTCCAAAAAACTGAAAATGAGGCACTCCTCCCTAACTCACTTTATGAGGCCAGCATCATCCTGATACCAAAACCTGTCAGAGAAACAACAACAAAAAATAAAACTTCAGGCCAATATTCCTGATGAACATCAATGCAAAAATCCTCAATAAAATACTGGCAAACAGAATGCAGAAGCACATCAGAAAGCTTATCTACCACAATTACGTAGGCTTCATCCCTGAAATGCAAGGCTGGTTCAACAGACGCAAATCAATAAACGTAGTTCATCACATAAACAGAACTAAAGATAAAAACCACATGATTATCTCAAAAGACACAGAAAAGCCTTTGAAAAAATTCAACATCCCTTCATGTTAAAAACTCTCAGTAGGCTGGGCGTGGTAGCTCACGCCTGTAATCCCAGCACTGTGGGAGACCGCGGCAGGCAGATCACGAGGTCAAGAGATGGAGACCATCCTGGCCAATGTGGTGAAACCCCGTCTCTACTAAAAATACAAAAATTAGCTGGGTGTGGCGGCACGCACCTGTAGTCCCAGCTACTCGGGAGGCTGAGGCAGGAGAATTGCTTGAACCTGGGAAGCAGAGGTTGCAGTGAGCTGAGATCACGCCACTGCACTCCAGCCTGGTGATGGAGCGAGGCACTGTCTCAAAAATAAATAAATACAATAGGCTGGGTGCAGTGGCTCACGTCTGTAATCCCAGCACTTTGGAAGGCCGAGGCTGGTGGACGACAAGGTCAGGAGTTTGAGACCAGCCTGGCCAACATGGTGAAATCCCATCTCTACCAAAAATACAAAAAAATTAGCCGGGTGTGGTGGCGTGCGCTTATAGTCCCAGCTACTCAGGAGGCTGAGAGAGAAGAATCACTTGAACCGGGGAGGTGGAGGTTGCCGTGAGCCGAGGTTGCGCCACTGCACTCCAGGCTGGGCGACAGAGCGAGATTCCATCTCAAAAAATCAATAAATAAAATAAAATAAAAACTCTCAATAAACTAGGTATTGATGGAACATATCTCAAAATAATAAGAGCCATTTATGACAAACCCACAGCCAATATCATACTGAATGGGCAAAAGCTGGAGGCATTCCCCTTGAAAACTAGCACAAGACAAGGATGCCCTCTATCACCACTCCTATTAAACATAGTATTGGAAGTTCTCACTGGGGCAATCAGGCAAGAGAGAGTGATAAAGGGTATTCAAATAGGAAGAGAGGAAGTCAAACTGTCTGTTTGCAGGTGACATGATCCTATATCTAGAAAACCCCATCGCTTCAGCCCAAAAGCTTCTTAAGCTGAGAAGTAACTTCCGCAAAAATCTCACGATACAAAATCAATGTGCAAAACTCACAAGCATTCCTATACGCCAACAACAGACAAGCAGAAAGCCAAATCATGAATGAACTTCCATTCACAATTGCTACAGAGAATAAAATACCTAAGAATACAGTTAACAAGGGAAGTGAAAGACCCCTTCAAGGAGAACTACAAACCACTGCTCGAGGAAATGAGAGAGGACACAAACAAATGGAAAAACATTCCATGCTCACAGACAGAAAGAATCAAAATATCATGAAAATGGTCATACTACCCAAAGTAATTTATAGATTCAATACTATTCCCATTAAACTACCACTGACATTCTTCACAGAATTAGAAACAAATTTCACAGGAAACCAAAAAAGAGCCTGTATAGCCAAGACAATCCTAAGCAAAAAGAACAAAGGTGAAGGCATAGCCCTACCTGACTTCAAACTATACTACAAGCCTCAAAACAGCATGATACTTGTACAAAAACAGACATCCAGACCAATGGAACAGAATAGAGAACTCAGAAATAAGATTGCACATCTACAACCATCTGATTTTCAACAAACCTGACAAAAACAAGCACTGAGGAAAGGATTCCCTATTTAATAAATGGTGCTGGGAGAACTGACTAAGCCATAAGCAGAAAATTGAAACTGGGATTCCTTCCTTACACCTAATACAAAAATTAACTCAAGATGCATTAAAGACTTAAATGTAAAACCCAAAATTATACAAACCCTAGAAGAAAATCTAGGCACTAACATTCAAGGCATAGGCATGAGCAAAGATTTCATGACAAAAACGTCAAAAGCAATTGCAACAAAAGCAAAAATTGACAAACGGGATCTAATTAAACTAAAGAGCTTCTGCATAGCAAAAGAAACAATCACCAGAGCGAACAGACAACCTAAAGAATGGGAGAACATTTCTGTAATCTCTCCATCTGACAAAGGTATAATACCCAGAATCTACAAGGAACTTAAACAAATTTACAAGAAAAAACCCAACAACCCCATTAAAAAGCGGACAAAGGACATGAACAGACACCTTACAAAAGAAGACATTTATGTGGGCAACAAACATAAAAAAAAGCTCAACATCACTGATGATTAGAGAAATGCAAATCAAAACCACAATGAGATACCATCTCACGCCAGTCAGAATGATGATTATTAAAAAGCCAAGAAACAGGCTGGGCAGGGTGGCTCATGCCTGTAATCCCAGCACTTTGGGAGGCCGCGGCAGGCGGACCACTTGAGGTCAGGAATTCAAGACCAGCCTGGCTAACATGGTGAAACCCCATCTCTACTAAAAATACAAAAATTAGCCAGGCGTGGTGGCGTGTGCCTGTAATCCCATCTACTCAGGAGGCTGAGGCAGGAGAATCTCTTGAACCTGGGAGGCGGAGGTGGCAGTGAGCAGAGATCACACCACTGCACTCCAGCCTGGGTGACAGAGTGAGACTCTGTCTCAAAAAAAATAAATTAAATTAAAAAGTCAAGAAACAACAGATGCTGTTGAGGCTGCAGAGAAATAGGAACACTTTTACACTGTTGGTGGGAATGTAAATTAGTTCAGCCATTGTGGAAGACAGTGTGCCAATTCCTCAAAGACCTGGAACCAGAAATACCATTTGACCCAGCAATCCCATTACTGGGTATCTACCCAAAGGAATATAAATCATTCTATTATGAAGATACATGCACATGTATGTTCACGGCAGTACTATTCTCAATAGCAAAGACATGGAATCAACCCAAATGCCCATCAACAATAGACTGGATAAAGAAAACCTGGTACATATACACCATGGAATACTATGCAGCCATAAAAAGGAACGAGATAATGTCCTTTGCAGGGACATGGATGGAGCTGGAACCCATTATCTTCAGCAAACTAACACAGCAACAGAAAAGCAAACCCTACATGTTCTCACTTATAAGTGGGAGCTGAACAATGTGAAAACATGGACACATCGGGGGGAAAAGCATACATTGGGGCCTGTCAAGGGGGACGGGGGAGGGAGAGCATCAGGAAAAACAGTTAATGTATACTGGGCTTAATACCTAGGTGATGAGTTGATAGGTGCAGCAAATCACCATGGCACATGTTTACCCATGTAACAAACCTGCACATCCTGCACATGTATCCCGGAAATTAAAAACAAACAAAAAACATATTTCAAATCGAATCACTTCCCACCATATCTACTGGCTATCTCTAGTCCAAGGTCTAACCACAATATCTTCCACCTTTCAATTACACTTAAAATCTAAAATCTGTGGGACACTACAAAGGCCGTACATGACCTGATCCCTGGCTGCCTACCCTACCACTTTATCCCCAGCCAGACTCTCCAGGCTCACCACACTCGGGTGACAATGAGGTTCCTGCCATTCTTTAATCATACTCTTTCTACAAACCCTCTACATTTGCTATCCCTCAACTCAAAGAATCATCTCCCAGTGTCCTTCATGCTCCATTTCATTCAAGTCTCTACTCAAATGTTCGTCTTCAGAAAGGCAACAGTATCCATCTTTAGGCTCTGCTTCCCTTTTCTTTATGGCATTCATTCCTATTGACAATATACCTGTTAGATCATAAACTCCATAAAGTCAGGAATTTGCCACCTAGATTCTTACAATACTCTTGTTAAGTGAGCCAAGACTCAAATACTCTATAATCCAATAATCTCACTTCACATAAACTCCCTAAGAGCAGGGATGGTTGTTTTGTTGTTGTTGTTGTTGTTGTTGTTCATTGACGTATTCCTTCAGAACAATGCTTGTTATATAGAAGACTCTCAATAAACTGCTGAATGAGTACACCCTAGGGGAAACCATACTCCACATGACCACAAGGAGGTAAATATAAGGATGTTCATCACAGCAGCATTTGTAATATCAACAAACTGGAAGCAGTAAGTAGAATAGATAAGTTATGGCAACCCTTCAATGGAATACTACTACACAGCAGTTGAAATGAATGCTAGCGTTGACACAGATAAGTCTCAAAAACACACATCAAGCAGAAAAGGCAAGTGCAGAATGAAAAGCACAGCTAGGTTTCAAAACAAAACTTTGCAGTGTAATGTTTATGAATACATGCATATTAATATAAGAGTGTAAAGAAAAGGATGAAAAGAATACGTATCAACTTCAACAAAGTTACCTTTGGGGATAAAGAGAAGGAAACAGATTAGAAGGGAAGTACAAAAGAGGCTTAAACTGTATTATGTTTCACTTCTTTTAAAAAATGAAAATGCATGAAAAGATGTTCAACATTACTAATCATTAGGGAAATGCAAATCAAAACTACAATGAAATGCCATTTCACACATATTAGAATAACTATAAACAAAAAGACAAAAAATAATAAGTGTTGGTGAGGATATGGAGAATTAAGAATGGTTGTATATTTCTGGTGGGAATGTAAAATGGTACAGCCACTATAGAAAACTGTACAGTACTTCCTCAAAATATTTTTAATTATCATATGATCTATCTATCTATCTATCTCTCTATCTATCTATGCATGTCTGTGTATATACCCAAAAAGAATTAAAAAGAGGGACTCAAACATGTATTTGTACACAAATGTTCATAGCAGCAATATTCACAATAACCAAAAGGCAGAGGCAACCCAAGTGTCCATCAACAGACGAATGGATAACAAAATGAATGTGGTATATACATACAATGGAATATTATTTAGCCTTTTAAAAAAAGGAAATTCTGGCCGGGTGCGGTGGCTCATGCCTGTAATCCCAACACTTTGGGAAGCCAAGGCAGAGGACAGCTTAAGCCCAGGAGTTTGAGACCAGCCTGAGCAACAGAGGGAAATCTCGTGTCTACAAAAATATTTTTAAAAGTAAGCTGAGCATGGTGGTGAGTGGCTGTAGTCCCAGCTACTTGAGAGGCTGAGGTGGGAGGATCACTTGCAAGGTTGGGGCTACAGTGAGCAGTGATCACATCACTGCACTCCAGCCTGGGCTGTTAGAGACCCCATCCTCCCAAAAATAAAGTTCTGACACATACTACAACATTGATAAACAATGAAGACATTATGCTAAGAGAAATAAGCCCGTCACAAAAGACAAATGGATACCTACAGTAGTCAAATTCATAGAAACAGAAAATTAAATGGTGGGTGCTAGGGGCTAGGGAAACTGGGGAATGGGGAGTTACTGTTGAACAGGTATACCTTTCCATTTGGAAAGATAAGGAGATGGATGGCAGTGATTACTGCCCAACAATGTGAATGTACTTAATGCCAATAAACTATACACTTAAAAATTGTTAAAACGGCCTGTAATCCCAGCTACTCAGGGGGCTGAAGCAAGAGAACCGCTTGATCCCAGGAGTTCAAGACTGTAGTGTACATGATTGTGCCTGTGAATAGCCACTGCACTCCAGCCTGGGCAATGCTGCAAGACCCCACCGCTTTAAAAAAGGTGAAAGTGGTAAATTTTACATTATGGACATTTTACCACAATAAAAAATTAAAAACATATTGAACATTAACATTTATTAAATATTTATGCTAGGCACATGATTGTTTGTTGTAGTCTTTTCCATAGTTTTAATGTATTTGAAATGTTTTCATTAGAAATACAAGCCAATAATAAAGACAGCTTTGAGGGCAACTTGAAAGTACAGGCCAGCAGAAAGTCAATTTACATTACTAAAACTTAACAAGGCTGGGCATTCGTGGCCCTTAGCAAGGACTCTAGGTCCTTAAATAGCATGTTAATTTAAAAATAAAAAATAAGTAACAATTAAAATGATGAATCACTCAACTAAAATCTCTCACACAATGCTGAGAAGAAACAAGACTAATGATGTGATGAGATGATGAGCAAGATATATGAGAGTTTATTAAAGAAATAAATGCATAATCCTTAAATATATGAAAATGTGCAAATTTTGTTTTAAGAGAAATGCAAATTAAAACGACAGAGATATCAGATTGAAAAGAATTCCAAAGTGTGACAAGCCTCAATGGTGAGGCTGTAAACAGGTAAAGCATAATGACACAACCTCTGTGGAAGAAAACTTGGCAATATCCAACAAAATTACATATGTATTTACCTTTTGATCCAGCAATCCCACTTCTAGGAATCTATCCCAAAGATATGCTGGCAAAAATACAAAAAGACATTTGTACAAAGCCATTCATTGTAGCACTATTTGTAATACCAAGACTGGAAATAACCCTGACGTCCATCAATAAGGAAATGGTTGAATAAATATGGTATATGTATTCAGTACAGGTTGCTGTAAAGCAATGAGAACAATCTCTATATACTGATGTGGAATAATCTCCAAAATATACTGTTAAGAGTAACCACACTACCAAACAGTATTTTTTTTTGTATCCCTATTTTTTGTATAAGATGGGAGAGAGGCCAGGCGCAGTGGCTCATGCCTATAATACTAGCACTTTGGGAGGCCGAGGTGGGTGGATCACATGAGGCCAGGAGTTTGAGAGGAGCCTGGCCAACATGATGAAACCCCATCTCTACTAAAAATACAAAAATTAGCCAGGTGCATGGTGGCACGTGCCTGTAATCCCAGCTACTCAGGAGGCTAAGGCATGAGAATCGTTTGAACCCAGAGGCAGGGGTTGCAGTGAGCCGAGGTTGTGCCACTGCACTACAGCCTGGGTGACAGAGCAAGGCTCCCTGTCTCAAAAAAAAAAAAAAAAGGAGAGGGAGATGTGAGTATGAGGATATATGTATATACACTCACATATATTAGTTTATATTTTTAAAAATGAACAACAGGAGAATAAATTAAAAAGTAATAAAACTGGCTATATATATGGAAAAAGAGAAAGAATTAGTAATATCAGGTTGAAGTTATTTTATTTTATTTTATTTTATTTTATTTTTGAGATGGAGTTTCACTCTGTCACCCAGGCTGGAATGTGGTGGTGCGATCTCGGCTCACTGCAACCTCCACCTCCTGGGTACAAGAGGTTCTCTTGCCTCAGCCTTCCTAGCAGCTGGGATTACAGGCGCATACCACCATGCCCAGCTGATTTTTTGTATTTTTAGTAGAGATGGGGTTTTACCATGTTGGCCAGGCTGGTCTCAAATCCCTGACCTCAGGTGGTCCGCCCGCCTCGCCCTTCCAAAGTGCTGGGATTACAGGCATGACCCACCGCCCGGCCAATTTTGACTTTAGAAATATGCAGGCTCATTATACAATTTAGAAACAATTAAATTGAAATTAAAAAAATTCTATAAATTTCAAATAAACTGAAACACATGAGCTAACTGTTGGTGGGAAAACCACAAGAAAACAGGATTCCTTTAAGTAATGTTATTTATTTTTATTTGTTTTTGAGACAGGGTCTTGCTCTGTCACCCAGGCTGGAGTGCTGTGGTGCAATAAAAGCTCTCTGAAGCCTCAACCACCCTGGCTCAAGCAATCTTCCCACCTCAGACTCCCAAGTAGCTGGGACTACAGGTACATGCCACTGCACCTGGCTAATTTTTTTTTTTCTTTTTGGTAGAGACAGGGTCTCCCTATGTTGCCCAGACTGGTCTTGAACCCCTGGGCTCAAGCAATCCTCCTGCCTTTGCCTCCCAAAGTGCTGGATTACAGGCGTGAGCCACCGGGTCTGGCCTATGCCATATTAAAATACAATACTCTGACTATAAACACCAGTGGAATATATTTAAAAGCAAAAACTATAAAGAAATCTTAAACTGCACACTGTGGTTGATATCTAAAATGTTGGTATTATTATTTTAAAATAATTAGAGGACTTCTATAGGATAAAAACAAAGAATAATATTACCATCATTAGCAAACAAGACATTTCTAAAAGGGAAGAGATACAAGCATAAAATCAAAGAAGAAAAAACTTTGTAACCCTGTTTTATTTTTGTTTGTTTGTTTTGTTTTTTTGAGATAGAGTTTCCCTATATTGCCCCAGCTGGCCTTGAATTCCCAGGCTCAAGCCACCTCAGCCTCCCAAGTAGCAGGACTACAAGTGCATGCCACTGTGCCCAGCTAAAACCCTGTACTTTTAAATTTACATTGTAAGTATCAATGTAAAACCATTATTTTCTTTACTTTTCAAAAGATGTGTATTTTCATGGCTGGGCATGGTGGCTCACACCTGTAAATCCCAGCAATTTGGGAGGCTGAGGCAGGAAGATCACTTGAAGCCAGGAGTTTGAAACCAGCCTGGGCAACATAACATAGCAAGACCCCATCTCTACAAAAATTAAAAAATTGCTGGGGATGATGGCATGTGCCTGTGTTCCCAGCTACTTGGGAGGCTGAGGTGGGAAGATCACCTGAACTTAGGAGTTTGAGGCTGCAGTGAGCCATGATCATGCCACTGTACTCCACCCTGGGTGACAAAGCAAGATTTTGTCTCTAAAAAATAGAAAATAATTTTAAATGTGTATTTTCTAGCTATGTCTGTAAGTAAGGCCTAGAATAAATGACAACCTAGTATCAAATTAGCACTCCAGCACCCAGATTGTGGTCTCTAAATATCATACCTACTTTAAAGAAAAAAAAAGCTCCTCAGAGAAACAGCGGATTGCAAGTTTGGGGGGCAGGATATGTTCAGGAGGTACTTGGGAATCTTACTGGTCCAGAAAGCAAGGACTAACTGTATCAAAGGTACATGACGTCACATCAGAAGAACACAGGAACCAGTCTGAAACAACTCTTGCTGCTCTAGAATTTGATCATCAAATGAATGATGACAGCAATACATTCAAACTCATCAAATGTATACATATACATATACGTACTTAAATACATGAGTTAATAATATTTAACACAAAGGAAAAATCAACTTCTGAAATGGCAGAATGATTATTGCAGTGAACCCACTCTCCCATAAAAGAACCAAAGGACTGGCTAACCAATGAAAATCATCATTTCAAAGTCCTAAAATTAACCAAAGGCAGAGAACAAGCTAAAAAGCATCAATTCAAGATAAGCCACTAAACCTCAGTTAGAAGAGCAAAATGCGACATTTTAGGTTGAGACTATTCCCTTCCCTCTTCCTTCTCCAGCTCAAAAATAAAATTTTAGAGCTGAAAATAACCCAATTAATTAAAAAAAAACCCTCTATGGATAAGTTCAACAGCAGAATGAAGCAGACAAGAAAGAATGAGTAAAATTGAAGACAAAACAACAGAAAAAACCCAATCTAAACAACAGAGAGAAAACATTAAAAAAAAAAATGAAGAGAGTCTGAGGGACCTGTGGGACAATAAGATAAGCTTAAACCCAAAAAATATATACACCAGACTCAAACTTCCAAAAACTAAAGGCAAAAAAAAAAAAAATCTTAAAATTAACAACAGAGAAACCTCTCTTTTAAAGCAAAGCGTTGCGGGTGGGAGGTGGGAGAGTGTCCAATGACAGCAGATTTCTCATCAGAAACCATGGAGGCCAGAAAGAAGTAGCACAATTATTTTCTGAGAGCTGAAAGAAATGAGCTTTCAACCCAGGATTCCATATCCAGCAAAAATATCCCTCAACAATGAATGGGGAAATCAACATATTCTCAAATGAAATGAAATGAAGACAATCTGTCACTACTAGACCTCCTTTAAAAAAAAGACTAACGGCCGGGTGCGGTGGCTCAGGCCTGTAATCCTAGCACTTTGGGAGGCCGAGGCGGGCAGATCACAAGGTCAGGAGATCGCGACCATCCTGGCTAACACGGTGAAACCCCGTCTCTACCAAAAATACAAAAAATTAGCCGGGCGTGGTAGCAGGCACCTGTAGTCCCAGCTACTCGGGAGGCTGAGGCAGGAGAATGGCGTGAACCCGGGAGGCGGAGCTTGCAGTGAGCCGAGATCCCGCCACTGCACTCCAGCCTGAGCGACAGAGCAAGACTCCGTTTCAAAAAAAAAAAAAAAAAAAAAATAGGACTAAAGCCGGCGCGGTGGCTCACGCCTGTAATTCCAGCACTTTGGGAGGCCGAGGCGGGCGGATCACGAGGTCAGGAAATCGAGACCATCCTGGCTAACAGGGTGAAACCCCGTCTCTACTAAAAATACAAAAAATTTGCCGGGCGTGGTGGCGGGCGCCTGTAGTCCCAGCTACTCGGGAGGCTGAGGCAGGAGAATGGCGTGAACCCGGGAGGCAAAGCTTGCAGTGAGCCGAGCCGAGATGGCGCCACTGCACTGCAGCCTGGGCGACAGAGCAAGACTCCCGTCTCAAAAGAAAAAAAAAAGGACTAAAGCCGGCGCGGTGGCTCACGCCTGTAATCCCAGAACTTTGGGAGGCCGAGACAGGTGGATCACAGGGTCAGGAGATCGAGACCATCCTGGCTAACACAGTGAAACCCCGTCTCTACTAAAAATACAAAAAGTTAGCCAAGCGTGGTGGTGGGCGCCTGTAGTCCCAGATACTTGGGAGGCTGAGGCAGGAGAATGGTGTGAACCCAGGAGGCGGAGCTTGCAGTGAGCCGAGATCACGCCACTGCACTCCAGCCTGGGTGACAGAGCGAGACTCAGTCTCAAAAAAAAAAAAAAAAAAAAAAAGACTAAAGAAAATTCTCTAAATAGAAATGAAGTGACAAAAGAGAGAATCTTGGAAAATCAGGAAAAGAATAAATGACAACATAAAGAGTAAAAATACTGAAAAATATAATAAATTTTCCTTCTCTCAAGTGTTCTAAATTATATGTTTGACAGTTTAAACAAAAATGTTAAGCATGTCTGATGTGGTTCTCAAAATATGTAGAGAAAATATTTAAGGCAATTATAAATAAAAGAGGGTAAAGAGAAGTAAAAGTAGGTAAGATTTCTATACTTCACTTTAATAAAATGAAGATTGTGATAAGTTATATATATATATATATACTATAATACCTAAAGTAACCACCAATAAGTGCTACAAGAGGATATACTCAAAAACACTACAAATCAAAATGGAATTCTAAAAAAAAGTTCAAGTAACCCACAGGAAAGCAGAGGGAAAAAAAGAACACAGGAGCCAGTCTGAAAGAAATCTCACTGCTCTAGAGAAACAAACAAACAAAAGCAGAAAAAATAAATAAGCAAAAAAGGCAGACTTGAATCCAAACATATCAATAATTACATTAAGTATAAATGGTATACATACATCCTATAAGGCCAAAATTTTTAAAAATTAGTGTATGCTGTGTCAAGAACCTTATTTCAAATATAATTATACAGGCATGTTGAAAAGAAAAGGATGAAAAAGATATACCATGCAAATGTTAATAAAAGAAAGCTGGAATAGGTAAATCCTAGAGACAGAAAGTAGATTATGGATGTCAGAGTCTGGGTGGAAAAGGAAATGATGGCTAATGGTTTGTTGTGATGGAATGTTCTGGAATTAGATAGCAGTGATGGTTGGAAAACTTTGTGAATAGACTAAAAACCTCTGAATTATGTACTCTAAAAGGGTTGATTTTATGGTATGTGTATTGCATCTCAAAAAACATATTTCAATAAAGTTTTTTGAAAAACCTCAACAAAAAAACCAATCTTTATTAATTAAAAATAAACCAATTGATAATGAGCCAAAGACATGAAGAGACATTTCACTGACGAGGATATGCAGATGCCAAGTAGGAACATGTAAAGATGTTCAATATCACTGGCGGCCATGAGGGAGGTACAAATTAACACCAGGATGAGCTGTCACTACCCACCTATCAGAATGGCTTAAACAAAAGTAATGACAACACCAGATAGCAGTGAGGATGTAGAGAAACTAGAACTCTCATATACTGCTGGTGAGAATGTAAAATGGCACAGCCACTCTGGAGCATAATTTTGCAGTTTTCTTTACTAAATATGATCTAGTGATTGTGCTGCTGGGTATGTACCCCAGAAAAATAAAGTATTATATACACAATTGTTAATAGCAACTTATGTGTTGGTAAGAGCCAAAAACTGGAAACAACCAAAATGTACTACAATAGATGAATGGTTAACCAAACTGCAGTACATTCATGACTGCTCCTCCACAATAAAAAGGAACAAACTGTCAATATACGCGAGAGCTTGGATGGATGTCAAGGGCATTATTAAAGCCCATCTCAAAAAGCCATGTACTGTGTTATTCTATTTATGTAACATTCTTTAAATGACAAAATTACAGAGATGGAGAACAAATTAACAGTTGCCTGGGATTAGGGAAAGTCAGGGGAAGGAGGATAGGTGTGGGAGCTCTTTGTGGTGATGGAATAGTTCTGTATTTTGACTGAGGGGATGGTTCCAGGAATCTACACATGTGACAAAATGACATAGAATTGCACATTCTTTATACTAACATCAATTTCCTCAGTTTTATATCATATTATAGTAACTAATGAGAGAAACTGGGTGAAAGGAACATGAAATATGTCAGTAAGTACTATCTTTGCAAACTCCTGTGAATGCATAATTACTTCAAAATAACTAGAAAGTAATCATCAAAATTTTAATGCTATTTTAAAAAAGAAGTCTGTTCAAAACAGTTTCTTTTTTTTTTTTTTTTTGAGAAGGAGTCTCGCTCTGTTGCACAGGCTGGAGTGCAGTGGCGCGATCCTGGCTCACTGCAAGCTCTGCCTCCTGGGTTCACACCATTCTCCTGCCCGAGTAGCTGGGACTACAGGCACCCGTCACCACACCCAGCTAATTGTTTGTATTTTGTTTAGTAGAGACGGGGTTTCACCGTGTTAGCCAGGATGGTCTCGATCTCCTGACCTCGTGATCTGCCCACCTCGGCCTCCCAAAGTGTTATGATTACAGGTATGAGCCACCGCGCCCGGCCTTGTTCATAACAGTTTCTTATTTTTTCAGCAAACATTATTAGTAGCCCCTAGTGCCAGGTTCTCTGAGAGGTACAGAAGATGGCAATGAAAAACAACTTAAGACTTCAAAGAGCTTCCAGTTCAGTGGTAGAGAAACAGACAATATAACACAGGCAAGTAATATAATTGTGCATCCTAGAGAATAAATTCTGAGAATAAAACCAATACCTGCATCAAGCTGCTGCTCCCCGTTCATTTCCACAGCATATAGGCAGGCTATATCCTCCCAAAACAAAGGAAAGGCCTATGGTTCTGCTAGGATCTGAAGATTACTTGCAGGTTTCAAGCATCTGTTCAATGGGTATCCACGGGTCCAAATGAAAGTGCTGAAAAATGAAAAAGAACACATTAAACAGCCTGAAGCCCAAGTGTGCTCACTCACTCATCAAACAGGGCACTCGACTGGTTGAGAGATGACATAAGACAAAAACATACTGGCAGAATAGATAGGACTGGAGGAAAAAATTGATACCTTTTCTAATTTTGAAGAGTCTGTATGTGTATGTGTGCGCTCATGTGCGTCTGTATGTGTAGAGAACGCACACTATCGAGATCTTGATAATAAATCTAAAACTCACAACAAAGTAAGATGCATATGAATCATTACCCTTTAAATTTACATTACCATACTTAGCACCATGATTCCTATACACAAAACTCCAGTTCCTAATGGTCTCCTAGGGAGACAGGGGAGTTAGCTTTCAATGCTGTCTTACACAACGAATATGATTCAGGATAGAGTATTACTTTATCTAATTTTCCATCTCATCTATCTAGAATATTATGCAGATCCATAAATATCAACTGTATTAGCCTACAATTATAAAGAGAATTCCTCCAAAATAAGCTTTGAACCTGCTTATTCTTTTTTTAAAAAACAGCTTTAGGGCTGGAAGCGGTGGCTCATGACTGTAATCCCAACACTCTGGGAGGCTGAAGTGAGAGGATTCCTTTGAGCCCAGGAGTTTGGGACCAGCCTGGGCAACATGGCAAAACCTCACCTGTACTAAAAATACAAAAACTAGCTGGGTATGGTGGCGCACGCCTGTAGTTTCAGCTACTTGGGAGGCTGAGGTGGGAGGATGGCTTGAGTCTGGGGGACGGAGGTTGCAGAGCCAAGATCGCACCACTGCACTCCAGCCTGGGTGACACAGCCAGACACTGTCTCAAAAAAAAAAAAAGAAGAAGAAAAGCTTTATTGGGATATAAGCCACATACCAAAATTTCCCATTTTGAGGTACAAATTAATAATTTTTAGTAAATGTACAAAGTGTAACCATCATAATTGAATTTGAGAATATTTCTATTATCCTGAAAAGAAGCCAAATGCTCACTTGCAGTTCCTTCCTATTCCATCCCTAAGCTCAAGCAACCACTCATCTCCTTTGTCTCTACAGATTTTGCCTTTCCCAAACATTTCACATAAATGGAACCATATGAAATGTGGTCTTTCATATAACCTTGGTTTTCTTTCACTTATCATGTTTTTGAGGTTCATCCACGTTGCAGTATGGATGAATCTATTTATTCTTGCTTTATATATACATGTAAAATAATCTAAGATATTAATCTAAGATATTATCTTAATATGTGCCTAACAGATTAGAAAGAGTAAATGAAAGGGAGAAGAGAGCTGCTACAGGAAGGCATGGCATGAACTAACTGCAAGAGCGACAATACAGAAAACTATAGCATTGGGATGGGTACTTAACAGCACAGCTTTGGGAGTGATATTCTGCAGGATCAAGCAATTCTATACTTCTCAAAAGTTTTGAGTGTGTATTAGAGCCCCCAGTAAATGATTCTCATAAGCAACTTTAATCATGAAGAAAAAGCTTAGCTTTTAATACATCCTTATACCACTTTTGCCTGAAAAGGTACCAGCTACCTAAAGGACAATAGCTTAAAATGGGTAGGGATGGCCAGGTGCGTGGCTCATGCCTGTAATCCTAGCACTTTGGGAGGCCAAGGCGGGCAGATCACTTGAGCCTAGGAGTGAAAGACCAGCCTGGGCAACACAGCAAAACCCTGTCTCAAAAAATATATATGAAAATTAGCTGGGTGTGGTAGTGCATGCCTGCAGTCCCAGCTACTTGGGTGGCTGAGGCAGGAGAATCGCTTGAGCCCAGGAGGCTGAGGGTAAGGCTGCAATGAGCCAAGATCATGCCACTGCACTCCAGCCTGGGCAATGAGAGTGAAATCCTGTCTCAAAAAAAAAAAAGTGGGGAGGTAAGGAAACCTAGGTTCTAGTGCCAGCTCTACTGATAACTAGCTATGCAATCTGATACGCTACCGTATTATGTCCATTTTTTATCTATAAAACAAATAAAGATCTTTTTCAGATTTTAAATTTTCATTTCATAATGAGCGTAGAAAACGTTTTGATAACTATTAAAATTGTGGACATCCCACTTGAGATAAATGCCAATTATCCCAAATCGTATCACAGAATATAAGCACCGAAACCCACACTTTCAAAGATGGGAACAATTGAAAAGAAACTTGAGAGTGATGTTTAAGGCTTCTAAATGTGCTCTCTTCCCTCAGTTTACTTTTCTACCCCAAGCCCAAAACATCCAAACTGTATCACTCCACCTACCAATTTATTCATCCCCATATACTTATCAAACACCAGCTCCTTACCAACCACTACTGTAGGGGTGGGGTAAAGTAATCAAGAGAGATATGGTTCCTGCTTTCATGGAGCTTATTTTCAACTGCAGGGAGACAAATTAAGCCAACAATAAAAAAATTATTTAAATTGCTAGCAAGTAGAAGTACTAGATGATAAGAAAGAATATAAAGGCAGGTCTAACCTAAGGTCACTGACAGTGTCCCTGAGAAAATGATACAGCAGCTAGGCAAAAGGGGGAGAAAAGGAGGACTATTCCAGGCACCAAGAACAGCATAAACCAAGGCTCTACAGTGGGAAGGACCTGAAGGCTGCTGTGGCTAGAGCATGCAAACCAACAGAATAAGTGGCAAATAAAAGACTGAACAGGAAGAGAAGGGATAACAGCAATTAATATTTACTGAGGACTGCCTACGTGCTGGGGCACTGTTTTAAGCAGGTTGTTGACAGGTTCAAATTTCTATGGCTCTAATTTAGTGGATAATCTCCACATATAAAGTCTTGACACTTCAGCATGGTTTTGATAGAACGAAGTCAGTGCTAAATAAATATCTGTTGGGTCACTAGGCTTTGAAGATGTCATCTACTGTTTATGTTCATGAGCTCTTGGAACATGCTAGAGTATTTTGTGCAGAGAGCCACAAAGTACAAAAATAATAATGAAGCTTCAAAGCCAAAAGGCATTAAGTGGAGAGATGCAAGTCTTACGTAGCAGAAAGCTAAGGCTGTGACATTTTTTCAACCTTACATCAATCATTTAGATTTTAGCCAATGAGCAATCAGTTCATCATCTTAATAGGATCACAAGAAATAGACTGATGAAGTCTTCTGCTGTGGAACATCTGTTCACGCTCTCTCTTTATTGTTAGCCTGCTGTCTTTTCATGCAGTAAAGAAAAAACGGTAAACTATCCAGGCGCTTAGTATATGAAAATTTAATTCACTTTTCCTTTATTTCCTGTTCATATTAAATTGTCTTACTGTCATCATTTATTTTATCATTTATTTTGGTATTATCACCCTCTTGTAGTGAACAGAACACACTAAGAGTTACTCATTTAAGGCCTGGTGAGGTGGCTCACGCCTGTAATCCCAGCACTTTGAGAGGCCGAGGCAGGTGGATTGCTTGAGATCAGGAGTTTGACAGCCTGGCCAACGTGGTAAAACCCCATCTCTACTAAACACACACACACACACACACACACACACACACACACACACACACACACTAGCTGAGTGTGGTGGCGGGCCAATGTGGTAAAACCCCATCTCTACTAAACACACACACACACACACACACACACACACACACTAGCTGAGTGTGGTCGCGGGCACCTGTAATCCCAGCTATTTGGGAGGCTCAGAAGAGAATCGCTTGAGCCTGGGAGGCTGAGGCTGCAGAGAGCCAAGATCGTACCACTGCACTCCAGCATGGGTGACAGAGCGAGACTCTGCCTCAAAAAAGGAAAAAAAGAAAGAGTTATTCATTTAAATAAGTACTTATAAGGCTGGGCCCAATGGCTCACCCCTGTAGTCCCAGTGCTTTGGAAGCCTGAGGCGGAAGGATCTCTTGAGCCCAGGAGTCTGAGGTTACCATGAGCAATGATCACACCACTGCATTCTAGCCTGGGCAACAGAGACAGACCCTGTCTCAAAAATTAATAAGTAAAAATAAATAAATAAAAGTAAAAATAAATAAATTCTCATGAATTAACTGATCTGGATCTTACTCATCTTATTTAATACTTTAGTGAACTAAATAGGTGCCTAGATATTTGGAGGGGGTTCTAAGAAAATATACTGAAGCTTGGAGAAATTTTAAATACTTCTAAGAAATATAAATAAAAATTGAAAAGGCAAAGCTAATTGGATAAAATAAGCTTTCAAGACAAATACTAAAAAAGAACAACAACTAAACCCAGGCAGAAAAATCAAACTGAATAGCTATTTCATTTTTAAGTGGTACATCAATATAAAATAAAACTACCATGGAATTTTAACAGGTTTTTTTGAAAGACCTAAAAGTCATCTGAACAACAAATATGTTAGACAAAATTTTCCCCTCCCATCTTGGTGGGGTTTTTTTACACACAGTATCACTGTGTTGCCCAGGCTGGAGTGCAGTGGCACAATCTCGGCTCACTGCAACCTCTGCCTCCCAGGTTGAAGTGATTCTCCTGCCTTAGCCTCCCAAGTAGCTGGGATTACAGGCATGAGCTACCATGCCTGGCTAATTTTGTATTGTGGTAGAGACCACGTTGGCCAGGCTGGTCTCGAACCCCTGACCTCAAGTGATCCGCCTGCCTCAGCCCTCCCATCTTGTTTTATATTACACATACAAGTCCACACTCTAAGCCTAGTAGTAGTAACCTGGCTTCATGTTAATGCCCTTTCTTTTCAAGGCTAAGATAAACATTGATTAAGATGAGTGATTACATGGGGAAGTTGCAATAATGCAAGAAAAATTTCTGTGGGAAGTATCCTCAGCCAAATGATTTAACATGTCTGACATAAGTAACTTTTAAAGGGCTTAGAAAGGACAGGACCTCAGGGTGGTTCTAAAGATCACTGATATGTTCGGTGGCTGGAAAAACAAAACAAAACAAAACACTTTAATTCAATAAATACCAGGCAGTTAGCAAGAAAATTCCTATTGAAATGTTTGAATTTGTACACTTATCCCTCAACAGAAACAAGTCCAACAATAATTTCGAGTATGTTGTTAAATATACTAATTGCAACAATTCAGCAAATCAGATGCTCCATTTTCAGCAGATGTGCAAAGTTAACTCTGACCCTGACAGTGCAGTCAGTGGTAGAGTCACCTTATATTTCCTGTTCCCATTCCCCAACAGGTGTAGTTTTCTGTCAGCCTTTCACTCTTACTATAGTCAACTGTAACTACATGTTTTATTTGTCTATCTAAATTAAACGTTGTCCTTCCATTTGTCAAATGCCAACATAACTCAGGGGCAGAAATCTTCTATTGTTTCATTAAGTTGTTTGTTATGTCATTTTTATTCTTTTAACCCACTGCTACATGTCTGACTAGAGAGATTAAAAAATAAAGTCTGATAAAGTCAAGGTTTTAGTTCAATTTTGCGAGAAAAATCTTAGCCACTCATATCATCTAAATTAAATCTGAGGCCAGGCACGGTGGCTCACGCCTGTAATCCCAGCACTTTGGGGGGCTGAGGTGGCGAATCACTTGAGCTCACGAGTTCGAGATAAGCCTGAGCAATATGGCAAGACCCTGTCTCTATAAAAAGTAAAAAAAAAAAAAAAAAAAAAAAATTAGCTGAGTGTGGTGGCACATGCTTGTAATCCCACCTACTCAGGAGGCTGAAGTGGGAGAATTGCTTGAACCCAGGGCAAAGGTTGCAGTGAGCCAAGTTTGCGCCACTGCACTCCAGCCTGGGTGACAGGGCAAGACCCTGTATCAGAAAAAAAAAAAAATCTGAGCCAAACCTTTTCATGATTTTATAAACCCAACACAGGGCAAATCCATCTCAGTTGAATAAACTGGTACTAATAAATTTATAAAACCACTGAAAAAGTTCTAAACAAAACCCAAACTCAAGAATAACCTAAACTGGAAAAAAAGAAAACAAAGAAAGTGAAACTGTGGAGCCAATATTTTTAAAGATTTTGGACAACAATGAGAAATTGTTAAGTAAAATATAGCATAAGCATACAATGCACCATACATGGCCATTGGAAATTGTGTTAGAGAAATGGTTTTCTTCTCCAAATCCCAATAGGGCATTTTTTTTCTTCTGATTCTATGGTTGACCCAATAGGCCACTGTATTTGACTTGATAAGATAATTTTAGAATGCACCTAAGCTGGGCATAGTGGCTCACACCTGTAATCCCAGCACTGTGGGAAGGCAAGGCGGGAGGATAGCTTGAGCCCAGGAGTTGCAGACCAGCCTGGGCAATATAGTAAGACCTCATCTCTACGAAAAATTTAAAGAACCAAAATTAGCTAAACGTGGTGACACATGCCTGTAATCTCAGCTACTCAGGAAGCTGAGAATTTTTTTGTTTGTTTGTTTTGAGACAGTCTACTTCTGTTACCCAGGCTGGAATGTAGTGGCGCAATCCCGTTTTACTGCAACCTCCACCTCCCAGGCTCAAGCAATTCTCGTGCCTTAGCCTCCTAAGTAACTGGGATTACAGGTGTGTGCTACCACGCCCGGCTACTTTTTGTATTTTTGGTAGAGACAGGGTTTCACCATGTTGGCCAGGCTGGTCTCGAACTCCTGACCTCAGGTGAGTTGATCTGCTCTTGCCTCAGACTCCCAAAGTGCTGGGATTACAGGCATGAGCCACAACGCAACCAGCCAGGAAGTTGGGAATTGCTTGAGTCTGAGAGGCAGAGGCTGTAATGACCCAAGATCATGCCGCCGCACTCCAACCTGGGTGATAGAGCAAGACTGTGTTCCAAAAAAACAAAAAATAAAATGAAATGCATCTAAAAGAGAAAAAAATGGACAATCCAGCTACATTTTTGTAAAACATGACACAAGGCAAGTTCCTTCTATCAAAATATTAAGCCAGACACAGTGGCTCATGCCTGTAATCCCAGCACTTTGGGAGGCCAAGACAGGAGGATCACTTGAGGCTGGGAGTTCAAGACCAACCTGGGCAGCATAGTGAGACTCCATCTCTACAAAAAAAGTTTTTTCTCAAATCAAAATAGTGTAATATTAGCATAAGAAAAGACAAACATCAATAAAGTAAAATAAAGTTGAACAAAATAGATCAATTTTTATGAGAGTGCAGTTTGTGATAAAGAGAGCATTCCATATAAAATCGTGAAAGGATACAAACAAATAGTGTTAAAGAATTGGCTATCCATTTTGGGAGGAAAAAAAATTAGAACCTTACTTTATGCTGCCACATAAATAAATTCCAAGTGAATTAAAAGAGAAAAACATGAAAAAGAAGATTCCAAAGAAATTAAAAGAAAACATACGTGAATATGGTTATAGCCTTGGAATAGCATAGATTTCCTTAAGCAAGGAAGCCATAAAATGGATACATTTGACTAAATAAACATTTAAAACTTTCAACTGGCAAAAAGAACCATAAACAAATTTAAAAAACAAGCTACAGAAAAAAAACTATCTCCAGCGTATATAGCAGACAAAATATTAATAGCCATAATAACAGCACCTATTAGATAAATAAGACCAAACCTAATAACATGGACATTTTTTTAAAAGGTCAGATATGAACGATAATTGTAGGGAATGACTGGTAATCATATGAAAACATATTCAACCTCAACAGCTAAAATTTTATTTTTCACCCAGATTGGCAAAAACAAAAGATTAGTAACACTGAATATAGTTGAAGACATGCAGAAATGGAAGCCGTCATTATCAGTTCAGGAGCACAAATGGATATAGCCCTTTTAGACAGAAATTTTATTCTATCAAAATTTTAACTTGCATTCTCTACAACCCACCAGTTCCACTTCCAATACATTTCAGAAAAATATCCTGAGACAACAAGCAAATAAATAGCACAACAATTTCAAAGAAAGAGTTTAAACTGTCCTCATTTCAGGGCATACACAGAGAAACATCCCCATGTGTACAAAGTAGCAAGAACCAAAATGTTTGCTTGAGCAATGCCTGTATTAAGAAAAAACTGGAGGCTGGGAGCGGTGGCTAACGCATGTAATCCCAGCACTTTGGGAGGCTGAGGCAGGTGGATCACGAGGTCAGGAGTTCGAGACCAGCCTGAAAAACATGGTGAAACCCAGTTTCTACTAAAAATACAAAAAGATTAGCCAGGCCTAGTGGCGGGCGCCTGTAATCCCAGCTACTCGGGAGGCTGAGGCAGAAGAATCGCTTGAACCCAGGAGGCGGAGGTTGCAGTGAAGCGCACCACTGCACTTCAGCCCAGGCGACAGTGTGAGACTTCGTATCAAAAAAAAAGGAAAAAGAAAAAGAAAAGAAAAAACTGGAAACCTCAGGGTCAATCAATACATAATGGCACATCCACAAGATGAAAGTTAAAAAGAGTAAGACAGCTTAGTAAGCATAAAGTTCATGCTGGGGTGATGAAATAAGCTTTGGATTTGGATAGTGGTTTTATATAGATGTATACATATAACCTATATCTACATAAAACTGAACAAAAACAAAACTACGTATTTCTATAGGCACACATATATATGTGCAGATACCTTTAACGTGGTCAGGAAGAATACATCCAAATCATTAACAGGAAAGTGAGATTCAGGGGCAGGGCAAAAGGGAGTGTTTCTTTTAACAGTATTGGGTAAACTTTTTAAGATAAAAATGTACTCATATGTTTACTTCAGTGATTTAAAATTTTAAGACAAAAAATGCATTTATTGACATGGAAAGCTATTTATTCATTCTTTCAATAAATATTTACTGGAAACTTATTATGTGTCAGGCACAATAAAAAAAAATTAGAGATATATCAGTGAAGAAAACAGACCAAAATCTCTGCCCTCATGAAGCTTATATTTTAGTGTAAGGAAGAAAGTATAATACTTTTTCTAAATGTCATAAGTGATAGAGCTGGGGAGGAATGACAGTGTGGGGTGGTTAAATCGGGTAGAGAGAAAGGAGGTTTCACTGAGAAGGTAACATATGGACAAAGACTTGAGGGAGCTACAGAAGGAAAGAGCATGCCAGGCAGAGGGAAAAGCCAGCAGAAAGGGCCTAAAGGGAGAGCATGTGAGAGTGAGCTATGTTCTAGGAATAGCAGGGAGGCCAGGGTAGTTGGTGCCAAGTAAGCAAGCAAGAACAAGTAGAAGGAGAAGAGGCAGGAGAGAGGTCAACTTCACACTGCCTGCCACTCCCATGTACCTCTGTGAGTACCCCCCACCTACAGCCCTTAAGGAACTATACTTACCAGGTGACCCTACTCCTCTGGGGGTAACAAAACGTAAAGGCAATGTTGGTGGGAATGTAAAATGATGCAACCACCTGGGAAAACAGTCTGGCAGTTCCTCAGTGTTAAACATAGAGTTACCATATGGGCCAGTATTTCACTCCTCAATATATACCCAAGACATTTGAAAACATATGTCCAAACATAAACTTGTTCATGAATGTTCGTAGTATTATTTATAATAGTCAAAAAATAGAAACAAATCAAATGTATCAACCAATTAATGGTTAAGTAAAATGTAATATATCTAATATAATGGAATATTATTCAGCCATAAAAAGAAATGAAGTACGAATACATACTACAACAAGGATAACCTTGAAAATATTGTACATGAGAAGATAGACACTAAAGGCCACATATTATACGCTTCCATTTATATAAAATGACCACAGAGGCAAATTCACAGAGACAAGTGGGTAGATTGTGGTTGCCAAGGGCTGGTAGAGAAAAGGTAATGGATAACGACTACTAATATGTACAGGGTTGCTTTTGGGGGTATTAAAACATTCTAATATTAGACTGTGGTGAGAGTTGTACTATTCTGTGAATAAAAAAACTGTAAACTTTAAATAAGTGAGTTTTATGGTCTGTGAAATATATCTCAGTAAAACTATAAAAATGGTACTTATATTCAAGGACATAACTGTGCTTTTAAATAACATTTCAAATACAGAAGCCAATGACAAAAAAAAAAGAGACAAGATATCTGGGTTACCCTTAGGATATGCAACAGAAGGAGAAAGAAAATAATTTGGCTGTTACTGGTTTGTATCAGTTAAGGTAATGTTATGCTTTAACAGATAAATTTCTATTTTCAATTGCTTAATCCAACAGATATGTATTTCCCACTCAGATGAAGTCCAAACAGGTGTTCCTAATCAGTAGGCAACTCTCCACCATGTGATTATTCATGAAGCCAAAAGCCTTCCGCCACATAGCTCTACCACCTTCAACAAAGTCTTCACAAATCATTCACTGTAGGGGATCACACATGGGAGGTTTTCATGGGACAGACCTAAAAGTGGTACGTCCCTTCCACCCACATTCCACTAATTAAAATCCGGTCACAAGACCCCATCCAACTACAAAGGAAGCTGCAAACTACAGTATGGCACTTCCCACCATTAGTAACAGAGTGCTTAAATTAGTATTGCCATTCACCAGAACTTATATTAACAGTGAATAGCAGTTATTCTACTTAAAGGAGGCTTCATGAATCAATAGTAGTGATACTATGAACAGTCATGGAATTCTGTCAATAAATATTTACTGAGCACTTATTATCGCCACACCACATTTGTTCTAGGTGAAGAAATATTTTGAAACCTGCCCTCACGAATCTCATAATCTAAAGTGTGTAGATAGCCAGCAATAAAATAAATACAACTGAGCCTTGAACAACATGGGCATTAACTACATGGGTCCACTTACAGATTTTTAAAAATAACTATCTTGGAAAAATTTTTGGAGATTTATGACAATTTGAAAAAACTTGCAGACAAACCATGTAGCTTAAAAATATCAAAAAATTAAGAAAAAGGTGTGTTGTGAATGCATAAAATACATGTACCTATTAGTCTATCATTTACCACTTTTATATACAAATCTATTATTAAAAGTTAAAAAATATCAAAACTTATACAAACACAGACTGTACATGGTGTCATTCCCAGTCCTGAGAAATGTAAACAAACCTAAAGATGCAGTTTTACATCATAACTACACAAAATTAAGTGTAGTACATATTGCATCATTTGCAATATGAAATCATTTTGCAGCTATCTCCTGTTGCTATTGCCTTGAGCTCAAGTGTTGCGACTATCTCCGTAAAATGCTGTATGACACTAATCATCTCCACGTGGGCAATTCGTCTCTCCAGTAAAATGCATAAATAATATCACAATAAAAAGTGATCTCCCATGGTTCTTACACATTTTTCATGATGCTTAGTGCAGTACTGTATTTAATAACACCGTAAGACCCATAGAAAGTACCGCTAGAGATGCTGGACGTGCTTTCAAGAAGCAGAAAGAAGTGGTGACATTATAAGAAAAAGCTGGATTGCTTGATATGTACAATAGATTGAGGTCTACAGCTGCAGCTGCCTCCATTTCAAGATAAGTAAATCCAGCACAAGGACCATTGTTTAAAAAAAAAAAAAAAAAAGCAAAGGAAATTTGTGAAGCCATCACTGCAGCTACGCCAACAGGTGCAAAAACCTCGCATTTTGTGTGAATTATGTTTTTATCTCATGTTGAAAATGCAGCTTTTATGTGGGTGCACGACTGCTGTAGAAAGGCATACCTATAAACTTTCATATGATTTGAGAAAAAGCAAAGTCATTATATGACAAAGCAAAAGAAAGGTGAAGGAGTCCGGTCGCGGTAGCTCACGCCTGTAATCCCAGCACTTTGGGAGGCCGAGGCGGGTGGATCACCTGAGGTGGGGAGTTCGAGACCAGCTTGACCAACATGGAGAAACCCCATCTCTACTAAAAATACAAAATTAGCCGGGCGTGGTGGCACATGCCTGTAATCCCAGCTACTCGTGAGGCTGAGGCAAGAGAATCACTTGAACCTGGGAGGCAGAGATTGCAGTGAGCCAAGATCATGCCACTGCACTCTAGCATGGGCAACAAGAGCGAAATTCCATCTCAGAAAAAAAAAAAAAAAAGGTGAAGGATCTAAAGCTGGAGGATTTAATGCCAGCAAAGGATGGTTTGATAATTTTAGAAAGTGGTTTGGCTTTAAAACTTTAGGAGGAGAAGCAGCTTCTGCTGACCAATAGGCAGCAAATGAGTTCCCCAATGCCAGTTAAGAAAATCATTAAGGAGAAAGGATTTCCACCTGAATAGGTTTCTGTGGAATTTTTTTGAGACAGGGTCTTGTTCTGTCACCCAGGCTGGAGTGCAATGGCATGAGCTCGGATCACTGCAACCTCCACTTCCTAGGCTCAAGCAATCCTCTCACCTCAACCTCCCTAGTAGCTAAGACTACAGGCATATGCCACCATGCTCAGCTAATTTTTTTTTTTTTTTTTTTTTTACTTTTCTGCAGAGACGAGGTCTCACTACATTGAGCAGACTAGTCTGAAACTCCTGGGCTCAAGCAATCCTCCCACCTTGGCCTCCCAAAATGCTGGGATTTCAAGAATGAGCCACTGCACCCAACCTGAACAGGTTTTTAATGCTGATGAAAGTGCTCTATTTTGGGGGAAAATGTGCTACAAAGGACATTAATTAGTAAGGAGAAGAAAGTACCCGGATTTAAGGGAGGAAAGGATAGGCTAACTTGACTATTTTGAGCAAGTGCAGTTAGGTTTATAATCAGGACAGCCCGCTAACCCCCACGCCTCGAAGGGAAAAGATAAAAGCCAGCTGCTAGTTTTTTGGTTGTACATTAAGGCCTGGACAAAAAGAACCCTTTTTCTGAACTGGTTCCATCAATGATTTGTCCCTGAAGTCAGGAAGTACCTTGCCAGTAAGGGTCTGCTTTTTCAAGTTCTTTTGATATTTGACAATGCCCCCAAGCCACCCATGAGTTCAACTCACCCCATGAGTTCAACACCAAAACTGGTGAAGGGCGTCTACTTGCTCCCAAACACAATGTCTCTAATTCAGTCCCTAGATCAGGAGCTCATAAGGGCCTTTAAGGCTCATTACACACATTCCTTTATGGAAAGGACTGTCAACACTATGCAAGAGAACCCTGATAGAACATCATGAAAGTCTGGAAGGATTACACTATTGAAGATTCCATTGTTATAGAAAAAGTCCTGAAAGCCATCAAGCCTGAAACAATAGACTCCTGCTAGAGAAAATTGTCCAGATGTCCTGCATAACTTCACAGGATTGACAACAGAGCCAATCACAAAAATCATGAAAGAGGTTGTAGATACGGCCAAAAAGGTCGGAGGTGAAGGGTTAAGATATAGATCATGGGCCGGACGCGGTGGCTCACGCCTGTAATGCCAGCACTTTGGGAGGCTGAGGCGGGCGGATCACTTGAGGTCAGGAGTTCCAGACAGGCCTGGCCAACAAGGTGAAACGTCGTCTCTATTAAAAATACAAAAATTAGCCGGACATGGTGGCATATGCCTGTAATCCCAGCTACTCAGGAGGCTAAGGCAGGAGAATCGCTTGAACCCAGGAGGCGGAGGTTGAAGTAAGCTGAGATCGCGGCACTGCACTCCAGCCTGGGCGACAGAGCAAGACTCCCATCTCAAAAAAAAAAAAAAAAAAAAAAAAGATATAGATCGTGGAGAAATTCAAGAGCTAATAGATAGCACACCAGAGGAATTAACAGAAGACGACTTGATGGAGATGAATAATTCCAAAACCAGTGCCAATAAAGAAGAAGATGTAGAAGAAGCAGTGCCAGAAAATAAATCAACATTGACAATCTGGCAGAAGGGTTTGGATTACTCAGGACTGCTTTTATGACAAGATCCCTCTATGATATGGCACTGAAACTAAAGCAAACAGTGGAAGAGGAGTTGATACCATATAGAAACAGTTTTAGAGGAAGGAAAAAGCAAACATTCAGACAGAAACTATAATGTTATTTCTGAAAAGTTACACCACGTGTACCTGCCCCTCTTGCCTTCCTTTCTGCCTCCTCCCCTCTTCCACCTGTGGCACCCTAAGACAGCAACACCAACCTCTCCTCTTACTCCTCCTCAGCCTACCCAACGTGAAGATGACAAGGATGAAGACCTTTATGATGATCCACTTCCACTCAGTGAAGAGTCAATATTAATATATTTTCTCTTCCTTATGATTTTCTTTGTAACATTTTTTCTCCAGCTTACTCTATTGTAAGAAAACAGTATGTAATATATAACATATAAAATACGTGTTGATTGACTGCTTATGTTATTGTGGTAAGGCTTCTGGTCAACAGTAGGCTATTAGTAAAGTTTTTGAGAAGTCAAAAGTTATATGCAAATCTTCAACTGCGTGTGGGGTCAACACCCCTGTGTTGTTCAAGGGTCAACTATAATATGTATGTTGAATGAAAACAAATGTTAGGAGAAAAAAACTGAACAAGGGAGGAGGACAGGGAGTCCTACTTTTAACAGAGTGATCAAAGCCTTAGTGTTGAGGTAACACAAAACAACACCAGAGGGAAATGAGGAAGTGAGCCATGTGGGTACGTGCGGAAGAATATTCAAGGCAGAAAAACAAAAAGAGCAAAGTCTCTGAAGTGGGAGCTTGTGTGGCGTATTTGAGGCCACAGTGGTTGGAACAAAATGATCACAGCAGAGATGCTAGGAGATGAACTCAGGAAGCTATCAGGGAGTCATATTTTATATGAACTTGCAGGCTGCTGTGAAGATTTTGGCTTTGGGGAAGCCATTGAAGGATTCTGAGCAGAGGAGGAACATAATTTGATTTATCTTTTAAAAGGATCACTCTGCAGCTATGTGAGAAGAAAGCAAGAGCAGAAGCAGGAAGACCAACTAAAAAGACCACAGAATAATCCAAGTGAAAGGTGTTGGTGGCTAGGTCTAGGACAGGAGAAGTGAAAATGTGGAGGAAGATGTAAGATGGATTTGGTGTATGAGAGAAAGAGCAGTATCTGGGCTGACTGAAGTTTCTGGCTTAAGCAACTGGAAGGATAGAACTGCCACTTATGGAAAAAGGGAAGTCTGAAGTAGGAATGGTTTGAGGAAGAAAAATTATGATGAGCTTCAGTGCAAAATAGGGCAATATGATTACTTCCCTCACCACTAAAGGTTTGTTCTTGGAGTTTTCAGGAAAATGTTTTCAATCAACAAAAGTATAATTACTATCTGTGTAGTGTCTCCAATTTATAAGCTTTTTTTCACCCACGATGCTTCATTTGAACATCATAAAAAACTTTTTTAGACAGCAAGAATGGGGCCAATTCTTTTTTTTTTTGCCCCTTGGGAACCTCCTTGTTGGCTTCAATCCCATCTTACATTTCACGTTCTCTAGGTTTACCAATCAGCCTTGAAGGCATTTCCCCATAGCAATTCAGTAATTTATGCTGCCTTGTTTTTTAACATTCCAATTTCAACACCCACATACTTTCCAATACAGGCACTTCAATGACAAATTTTCTAGCTTTCTTTAATGTATGTCTTTCAATAATCTCAGGCATAAATAATCTTTAAAAATTCATACTATAATGAATACTATATTGAATATAGGTAATATATATTATTATAATATATACTGAATACTATACTAAATACTGTGTGTGTGTGTGTGTGTGTGTGTGTGTGTGTGTGTGTGTGTCTATTCATACTATAATGATTCATACTATAATGAGTTTGGAAATATCAGGCTGACCACCCTATAAATCCCTGGTCCACAGTTGGCTAAGTATGACCACTTCGCAGCCCGGCTTCCTTAGCAATTACTGATTAGTACCAGGATATTGAGCACCTCCTCTTTGCCAGATACCAAGACGACTAAATTGCAGTTTTGAAATTATCTTTCACTGTACCAGAATATGTCAAAAGCATTTAAAATCATTCTTTATCCTTATATTATCTTATAGGCTGGAACGGTAGCTCTTCCAGAGTTCAAATATGATTACATTTTCATCAATTAAATGCTTTATTTATGGGAGCCAGTAACATGAGCACATGTTGAAACAGTATGTCTTTGTTCTGATTAAATCAGGAGCTATTTGATTCACCAACACAAGCACTGTCAAAACATACCAATTCCAATAGTATTATAAAAAGATTATAGGAAAAGACCATGTTCAGTTATGAAAAGACTTGAAATTATTCTGTAATTTCATGGTTGCTGTTTCTCAGCTTTCTCATGTCAAGTCACAGATCAGAAACTTCATCTCAACAGAACAAATGCTTGTTAACCATTTATCAAGAAAAAAGAAAAGATTATTTGAGTACCTACTATGTATGTGCCTGGCACTTTTTATGTATTGTATACTAAATAATTAGGCACACAGAACACTGTCCAACACATGGTAAGCTTAATATTTAAGTGTTTATTATTTTTTAATAATCTTTTATTTAATCCTATTCTGCTTAACTCATACAATGATAATTCCATTTTACAGATGAGGAAAAGTTAACATGTCAGTTCATACACAGTCATGCATCGCTTAATAATGAGGATATGTTCTGAGAAATTTGTTGTTTGGCAATTTTGTCATTATTCGAACATCATAGGGTATACTTACGCAAACCTAGATGGTGCGGCCTACTATACACCTAGGCTATACGGTGTAGCCTATTGCCCCTAGGCTACAAACCTGTAGGCAACTGTAACACAATGGTAAGTATTTGTGTATCTAAACATATTTAAACATAGGAAAGGTGTAGTCAAAATATATCATAAAAGATAAAAAATGAGGCCAGGCGAGGTGGCTCACGCCTGTAATCCCAGCACTTTGGGAGGCCAAGGTGGGCAGATCATTTGAGGTGAAGAGTTTGAGACCAGCCTGGCCAACATGGTGAAACCCCGTCTCTACTAAAAATACAAAAATTAGCTCGGTGTGGTAGTGGGCGCCTGTAGTCCCAGCTACTCAGGAGGCTGAGGCAGGAGAATTGCTTGAACCTGGGAGGTGGAGGTTGCAGTGAGCTGAGATCATGCCACTACACTTCAGCCTGGGAGACAGAGTGAGACTCCGTCTCAGGAAAAAAAAAAAAAAAAAGATAAAAAATGGAACACTTATATAGGGCACTTATCATGAATGGAGCTTGCAGGACTGGGAAGTTGTTCTGGGTGAGTCAGTCAGTGGTGAGTGAATGTGAAGGCCTGGGATATTACTGTATACTACTGTAGACTTTCTAAACACTGCACATGTAAGCCACATTAAATTTGTTTTAAGAATACTTTTCTTCCTTCCATAATAAATTAACCTTAGCTTACTGTAACTTTATAAACTTTTTGATTTTTAAAATTTTTTTGACTTTCTTGTAATAACACATAGCTTAAAATACAAACACTGTATAGCTGTACAAAAATATTTTTTTGGTCGGGCGCCATGGCTCACGTCTGTAATCCAATACTTTGGGAAGCCGAGGTGGGCAGGTGACCTGAGATCAGGAGTTTGAGACCAGCCTGGCCAACATGGCAAAATCCCATCTCTACTAAAAATACAAAAAAAAAACTTAGTCGGGCAGGCATGGTGGCAGGTGCCTGTAGTCCCAGCTACTCGGGAGGTTGAGGCAGGGAAATCGCTTTAACCTGGGAGGTGGAGGTTGCAGTGAACCGAGATCGCGCCACTGCACTTTAGCCTGGTGACAGAGCAAGACTCTGTCTCAAAAAAAAAAAAAAAATTAGCAGGGTGTGGTGGCGAGTGCCTGTAATACCAGCTACTCAGGAGGCTGAGGCAGGAGAATCGCTTGAACCCGGGAGGTGGAGGTTGCAGTGAGCCGAGATCGTGCCACTGCTCTCCAGTCTGGGCGAAAGAGTGAGACTCCATCTCAAAATATATATATTTTTTCTTTATATCCTTATTCTATAACTTTTTTCTATTAACTTTTTATTTACTTGTTAAAACTTTTTGTTAAAAACTAACACAACAGCCTAGGACTACACACGACCAGGATCATCAATATCGTTGTCTTCCACCTCCACATCCTGTCCCACTGGAAGATCTTCGGGAGCAATAACATGCATGGAGCTGCCATCTCCTTGATAACAGTGCCTCCTTCTGGAATACCTCCTGAAGGACCTGTCTGAGGCTGGCTTACAGTTAATTTTTTTTTAATAAATAAAAGGCATATACTCTAAAATAATGATTTAAAAGTACAGTAAATAAACCACAGTTATATATTATGATCAAGTATTATGTACTGTACATAACTGTATGTGTTATGCTTTTATACAACTGCCAGTGCAGGTTTATTTACACCAGTACCACAACAAACACGAGTAGGTATCTCACTATGACTTTAGGATGGCTACTACATCATCATTAGGCCATAGGAATTTTTCATCTCCATTATAACTGTATGGGACCACCGTCATATATACAGGCCACCATTGACTGAAACACCATCATGCCATGCATGACTGTAGATAGGAAGCAGCAGGGGCAGCATTTGAACCCTCATCTGATCCCAAGCCTGAGCTCCTTAGTGTTTCTGGGCTCTGGGGCTTTTCTTGGAGCTCAGAGAATACAAGGATAATTGTGAGGTATGTCTTATACCATAGAGTGATGGCCCTAGATGATCTGCGCTCAAGTTGTTTTATTCATTCATTCATTTAACTTCTAAGTTCCATACTGTTCTGCTTAGAATGGTGAGTAACCAAGAGTCTGGATGGCACCTAGACAGATGCTGCCATCTATAAGCTTCTAAAATCTTATTCTAGTAGGGCCCTAAAACAGATTAATTCATATGAAAGGATACAGTACACATTTTTAAATTAAAACACATTTCCTTATTAATTCTTTAATGGAATGGAATAACACTGAATTAAGAATGGAATAACACTGAATTTAGCCAAAAGGCTAAAAAAATCAGTGTAATAAACAGCCATCATCAAAAATGTCAGAATCATCAGGAAAGCATAAAAAACAAAGTCTTTCCCCAACGGAGTAACAGGCTCTGCCTCAACCCAGAAGAGAGCTGAGGGGAAGTTATAGTGGTTGACTTAGAGAGACCCTTGGGAGGTCCAATCACTCACCAAACTTTAACTCGTGATTATAAGAGAGGATGCTCTGGGGATTTTGCTGCTTTGTATTGTTACATTAAACATACAAGCATTTTTAAAAGCTCTATGTTAGAATTTAAAGATGCCTAGACTATAGACACATATGCTGTACAATTAATTCACTGGAATTTTTTTTAAGTTTAAGGCCCTATAAGAACTAGATTATCAGTTATAAATATTGAGAACTTTTGGATAGGCTACCACCCCTCAAAAATCACGACAGGCAACCATACAGGTCAGTCCCTCAAGAACACCTCAAGAACCTGTCCCTCAAGAACGCCTCCCAACTCCAGGGTAATGCTGCTGCGAGGGTATCCTCGGGGAAACACAATGGTGAATGTCTGCTGCAAAACACTGAGCCAATACCTAAGAGGCATGCTGAACATTTAACAACAATGATACTAGGAACAAGTATTAGTTATTTAGAAAAAGTATAAATTATTTAGAACACAAAACAACTCTTCAGGAGCTTTTAAAGTAAGTGCTTCCAAAAAAGGAGTAAATCTCTGGTTACTACTAGAGATGTACTACGTAACACATTAAATCTGTAAAATAATTTGGCACAAAAAGTTAAATGGACATGAGGAAAAAAACCAGCCTAGGTTATGATAATTAATTAGGAATCTAAACAGACTTATATGCAAGATGTAAAACCAAAACCCTAACTGGCAGAATAGCAGTCTACTTACTTACCTGTTATTTCCAAAGCGCAGCAGGACACTTGGCAGCCTTCTGTTTGGTTAGTATTAGACCCTAGTCACACCTTAATAGTTGTTTTTATAGATTTCAGTACCCCCACACCTTTCAATCTAACATATGTAAACATTCTCTGAAAACCAAAAGTATCTAATGTTAAATATATAGAAATTTTTGGTTAAATCTCTACACCTGTTAAACAGAAAGATTCCTCTTCCTGATTTCTTTTCTCCACTTTTCTATTCTTTCCTTAAAAATAATTTGGTTTCTTTCCTACCACTAAATTATTATTTTGTGAACTTAAATGCAATATTACAAAGGTGGCCAGTTTTCTAAGATTAGGACTTACCAATTCCACTTTACAGTGCTTAGTACAAAATTATTGGTATAATTTTCAATCCTTAATAATACTATGCTACTAATGGTCATGTTTTCATGTGTTATAAGAAACATGCCTTTTGGGAGGCTGAGGCAGGAGAATGGTGTGTGAACCCGGGAGCCAGAGCTTGCAGTGAGCTCAGATTGTGCCACTGCACTCCAGCCTGACTCCATCTCAAAAAAAAAAAAAAAAGAAAGAAAGAAAGAAAGAAAGAAACATGCCTTCCATAAAACTATTCCTACTAATGTTCATGTTTTATAAGAAAAAAATAAGGCCAGGTGTGGTGGCTCACACCTGTAATACCAACACTTTGGGAGGCTGAAGTGGGCAGATCACGAGGTCAGGAGATAGAGAACAGCCTGGCTAACACGGCGAAATGCTGTCTCTACTAAAAATACAAAAATTAGCTGGGCATGGTGGCGCGCGCCTGTAGTCCCAGCTACTTGGGAGGCTGGGAGAATTGCTTGAACCTGGGAGACAGAGGGTGCAGTAAGCCAAGGTCACGCCACTGCACTCCAGCCTAGTGACAGAGCTAGACTCCATCTCAAAAAAAAAAAGAAAAAGAAAAAAATAGTGTTTACATAATGTATAACTTCTTTCAGCCTTGGACAAAACTATCATTGAAACAGACGTCTGAAGTCATCCAAACAGGCCGACAAGAATTTAAAACTTCATTATTTGCAAATTAACAACGAAAAAGGTAGGCTTAAGGCAGACAATTGGTTACTAATGTCTCCTTCAAAGGGAAAAAATTTCCAGCACCATCTACTAAAACTGTTCGGATATATTCCAAAGGCTAGTTGTCTTTTAGGATTTTTCTTGGGAGGGGTTGTTCATTTTAATTGTTGCATTTAAAATGTTCAAAAAATAAATGGGCTTAGTTGGTCAAAACACAACCACTCACTCAGGAAAAACATCATCATAAAGGTAAAAATAACTCAAAGCATACACCCGAAGTCATTAAAAGGTTTTTCCTCAGTTTTCTCTTATAGGATGTGAGATAAATGCAGTATTATTCTCTATTAAAGTATAAAAGACAACTCGACTCAGTTGTCTAACTCACATTAAATTCCTCCAAAATGGTATTTTGAAGAGTATCACAGGCTCAGCCACATCAAGTTTGGAATTTTGTGACACAGAGTCAGATGACAGAACACTCAGTCCTTCCTCACTTGGAAACAAAAACCAAATGCTTGAAGAGACTTAATGTCAAATCTAACTATGCAAAGTCTTAAGTTTACTTCAATTTCATCTCAAAGCAATCTTTAAAGAAAAAAAATCAATAAGCCATTCAAACACCAGAATACTACTTTTCTCGGAATCTTTAACAAAACGTCAAACAAATTCAGACTGTTGGACTGTTAAACTTCAAAGAGCCACCTTAATATTTTGAAAACATCAAGAAAAAGTTGAGCAAGAAAGAGAGGAAAGGGAGGGAGAGAAGAAGGAAAGAAGGATGGATGGAAAGAAGGAAGGAAGGAAAAGTTTTCTCAACTTTAACAAATACTATTATCAAAGCTAAGGAGTTTTGGCCTTGGGAATTCAGATATTACGCATAAAACAAGGAAATAAACCTAATGAACAAACATTACTACTATGGGGTGATGTCAACCTTGCAATTTTGGAGAGAGATTAATGAAGTGGGGTGAAGTATAAAGAGAATAATTTTTTCACTTCAAATGATGAGTAATGAAGTTCAACATATAAACATTTTTTGTTTGCTCATTTTTTCCCAAATAACTACTTTACACCCACATTACTGTCTCATTTGCAAACGTCTGCATAGTATCTTCAGCAACTATACCTAGCACTGCATTTTTACATACATTAAGCCAGCTGCCTGGATGATTTTTTAAAATTGCTCTTTGTTTCACTGAATAACTGAGGCTGGTGACTCTAAAAGTTAGAGAAAACTTTAATAAGTAACACCCAGTCCAACAGTCCTCAACAGTTCTGTTGTACACACCATTCCCATGTGCCAACATTTCCTCAAATAACAGCTCTCCATTACCCTACAGTGCTTTTCTAGAGAATTCTTCCCTACCTGCTGTGGTTTGAATGTTGTGTCCCACCCAAAATTCACATGCTGAAACTTCTTTTTTTTTTTTTTTTTTTGAGATGGAGTTTTGCTCTTATTGCATAGGCTGCAGTGCAGTGGCACAATCTCAGCTCACTGCAACCTCCACCTCTTGGGTTCAAGCAATTATCGTGCCTCAGCCTCCCGAGTAGCTGGGGCTACAGGGAGGCGCCACCATGCCTGGCTAATTTTTGTATCTTTAGTAGAGACGGGTTTCACCATGTTGGCCAGGATGGTCTCGAACTACTGACCTCAGGTGATCCGCCCACCTCGGCCTCCCAAAGTGCTGTGATTACAGGCGTGAGCCACCTCGCCCAGCCTGCACGTTGAAAGTTAATCCCTAATATGAGAGTATTAAGACGTGTGGCCTTTCAGGAAGCGATTGGATCAATGCCATTATAAGAAGCTTCTGAGAGCTGCCTGCCCCTTCTTGCTTTCACATTCCCTTCCACCTTCTACCACATGAGGATGCACCATCAATGAGGAATGGCACCTCCCCAGACACTAAATCTGCCAGCACCTTGATTTTGGACTTCTCAGACTCCAGAATAGTGAGAAAATAAGTTTCTATTATTCATAAGTTACTGAGTCTCAGGTGTTCTGTCATAGCAGCACAAATGACTAAAACATCATCCATCCCCGAGGAGGAGATTGTCCATTTCTGTGTTCCAACACCATCAATGACACAGGGATAAAAAACTCCCACGACTACCTTCTAGGATAATCTATTCCACTTCTAAGCAGCTCCGCCACAAAGCCTGTCCTTAACCTGCTGCAAAGTCCCTATGGCTTCTGCCCATTGCTGTTGCCCACTCAGAATGAGTCTGTGTTCATTCACTCACACAGAGCCCTTCACATAGCTGAGAGAACTAACGTTCATCAACTGTTCTTCCTAAGCAGGTCCTGAGCTGCCTCACCTTCCTAGTCCCTCCTCTAAAATACATTCCAGTTTATCTGTAGCCCAAAACAGAATACAAAAGAATAAAGTATTGTTTATAATACAAAGGGTAAGTGTTTGAGGATGGACACCTCTATTTTACATTACGTGATTATTACACATTCTATGTCTGTATCAAAACATCTCACATACCCCATAAATACATACACCTCTATGTAGCCACAAAAATTAAAATAAAAAAAATTTTTTTAATAATAAATTAAAATGTTAAAGTGATTTTGATTTCTGCTTTATATCGTGTATTTCTGTGACTAGGCCAAACAGGTCATGGGTAAATCTGCTCAGTTAATTAGACTTTGATATTGAGCTCTTGGTAATCAGTCTTAATGGAACAAAAACTACTCCTTCCTCAGTATGTTTCCTTAAACTAACCAATAATTTCATAAAAGCAGATCATCTTTCAGAAGGAAAAACTAAGGGAAATCATAGGTGGGTTAGCACACTCCACAATGTAAAGGAAACAATAAATATACATTCCCATGCAAAATTCAATTCTCTCTCTTCAAAACTACCACAGCATTTTGTGGGACCCTCTAGAAGAGCATTTCACCTGGAGTGATTCAGGCCTACCTGCTCCTCAGGGTCTGGGCCCCACCTTCATCTTTCTCTATGATTTTACACTGTGCCTGACAGTGGTGAGCTTGCAACTTCTGTCTGAATGAAACTGATCAGGAGTAGTTCTGGCAGCTATTTAGATAGAATTGGAGTCTCAGCACTCATTATTTATCATACTCATCCTTTAATTTAAAAGAGGGCCAAGAAAACCAAATTATTTAAAGATTTCCCAATTTCTGAAAATATAATGCTGTATCAGTTGTTTTTTTTTTAAGCAGCTCAAAAAATAGCACATAGAGCAGGTAAAAAGGGTAGGAAAAATTTTTTTCTATGCAAAAGCCTTAACATTTATAAACTTCAACCAAATCCCTATAAAAAACATGTAGTTTTTGCACTGTGTAGTCCATATGCTAAATGGACATGTTTAGTTACATGTTTTCTTGAGCAGTACTTTTTATTTGTAGCAAAGCTATTACATCTTATACATTATATTACACGTAAAAGTCCATTTTAAACCAAATTACTTCAAAATTTGACCTATATTACATCTGGCACAGACTAGCTGTTCTGCTATACTGTTTAAATGCCTGCTATATTCGCAGCAGTTACTTTATAAAACACATAATCTTTATGTGCTAGCAGTAAATTTCTATACCTTTAAGGGATAATTCTAGGCTAATCAATTAGTATACCAACCTTCCCTATCCCCGACCCCATTCATTCACTTGGCCCTGACCATGCTAAGCATCTGCTACATATAACTCCTAGTAGGAGGTACAACTATGTAGAAACACTACAAAGTTACTGTGACAGTATTTAAAACAGATGCACTGACAGCCAAAAAAAAGGGGAAAAAAATCCCATACAAAAATTGTGAAAAGAGTTAAGATACAAAAGAAAAAAATAACAGTAAAATAGCAAGCGCTCAATATAATTTATGTCAATTTTGTAACTTTTCTTATTTATACACAAGATCAAGGAAAGAACAGAAAATCCTTTTATAACAATAAAACAGTGTAAGAGACAGAAGCATCGTAAGTCAAAGCTAAAAAAAAGCAACCAATTATTATATACTCATTACAAAATAATACACTGGGAAAAGGTCGAAACTGTAATTGGCTCTTATAAAGTAGTAATTCAGGATATATACAGTCTATGACTGTAAAGCACATCTTTATAATACAAGTAGAACACTTTCATACAGTTTCCAACAGAAGGGTTTATTCATAAGCCATTACTGCAGAGGAAAACAACAACAGACAAATCCTCAACCTGTTAATAAGTTCAAACTGTTTGCCAATTCAACTGGGAAATAATGCATTAGAAAAAATACCTACTTGTTAACAAAGTCATTGCATTTGTAACTAAAGAGATCACACACAACTGTGCCATCTGGTCACAAAACAGAAGATAAGGACAAGTTTCTTTTTATAAAAGTATTCCAGCTAATAAATGATGAAGGAATGACAGACTCTCTTATTAAATTACTGGACCTAGGTGTTGACCATCAATAACAGAGACACATCAATCACAAGAGACAACCTGAAACATCATGTGCCTCTTAATGGAAGAACACAACACCAACTATTGAACTATCTTTCAAAAAAAAAAATCAAACTTGAATCTGATTGAGCTTCTAAACACCACAGAGAAGTTAGAGGAACATGTTTGTTTGTTTTTTGAGACGGAGTCTCGCTCTGTGGCCCAGGCTGGAATGCAGTGGGGCCATCTTGGCTCACCACAATCTCCGCCTCCTGGATTCAAGCAATTCTCTGGCCTCAGCCTCCCAAGTAGCTGGGATTACAGGTGTGCACCATCACGCCCAGCTAATTTTTATATTTTTAGTAGAGATGGGGTTTCACTGTGTTGGCCGGGCTGGTCTCAAACTCCCGACCTCAGGTGATCTGCCCACCTTGGCTTCCCAAAGTGCTGGGATTACAGGCATGAGCCACTACGCCCCGCCTAGAGGAACATGTTAACCACCACAATGGTGAGCCAATCAGCAAAATCAAACTCTGGAAAACACCATTAAGACAAACTACCTGGTTTTATCAAACAAATTGGAAAGAAAAAAAGAGCAAGAAATTGAAAAGGACACTATAGGTTAAAAGAGATTTAAAATGAAATTTTAAAAACAATTTGAAAAAAATCTATTCACTGTAGCATCAAGAAAGAAAGAAAGAAAGAAAAGAAAGCAAGAAAAAAAAAAGGAAAAGGAAAGAAAAGGAAAAGAAAAGCCTGTACACTGAAACTGGAAAATATGGCTTAGTTAACTAAAAAAATACCTAAATAAATGGAGAGGCATACGATATTCACAGACTAAAAGATCCAAAGATGCCAAAGGTAATTCAATGGAAATGGAAAAAGGATAGTATTTTCAACAAATGGTACAGAAACAACTGGATATCCACATGGACAAAAATGAACCTCAACCTTACCTCATACCATACATAAAAACTCAAAATGGACCATAAACCTAAATGTAAGAGCCAATATTTTTTAATATCCAGAAAAAGAAAATAGAAAATCTTTCTGAGCTTGGACTGGCAAAGAATTTTTATTTTTATTTTGAGGCAGGGTCTTGCTCTGTCGCCAAGTTTGGAATGCAATGGGCACGATCACTGCTCACTGCAGCCTTGACCTCCTGGGCTCAAATAATCCTCCCATTCTCAGCCTACCAAGTAGCTAGGACTACAGGCATATGCCACCATGCCTTGCTAACTTTGTTTATGTTTTGTAGAGAAGTGGTCGAAGTGGTCTCACTATGCTGCCAGGCTGGTCTCAAACTCCTAAACTCAAGTGATCCTTCTGCCTCAGCCTCCCAAAGTGCTGGGATTACAAGTGTGAGCTATTGCACCCAGCCTGGCAAATAACTTTAAAACATGACACCAGAAAAAGCACAAACAATAAATTGGGACTGTATCAAAGTTTAAAACGTTTGCTCTTCAGGCCAGGTGCCACCCCCCAGCTCACGCCTATAATCTTAGCACTTTGGGAGGCTGAGGCGGGTGGATCACCTCAGGTCAGGAGTTCGAGACCAGCCTGGCCAACATGGTGAAACCCCGTCTCTACTAAAAATACAAAAATTAGCCAGGACAGTGGTATGTGCCTGTAGTCCCAGTTACTTAGGAGGCTGAGGCAGAAGAATCACTTGAACCCGGGAGGCGGAGGTTGCAGTGAGCCAAGATCACACCACTACACTCTAGCCTGGGCAACAGGGTGAGACTCCATCTCAAAAAAAAACAAAACTTTTGCTCTTCAAAGACACAATGAAGAAAAAAGACAAGCCAGAGGCTTAAAAAGAAATTTTTTTGCAAAACATATACCTAATATGGATTTATATCAAAAAGCTCTTAAAAATAAACAATCCTTTTTTTTTTTTTTTTTTTTTTTGAGACAGGGTCTCCCTCTGGTCACTGGGCTGCAGTGCAGTAGCACCATCTTGGCTCACTGCAGCCTCAACCTCCTGGGTTCAAGTGATCCTCCTGCCTCAGACCTGCCAAGTAGCTGGGACTACAGGCGCACGCCACCACACCCAGCTAATTTTTGTATTTTTTTAGTAGAGACAGAGTTTCACCTATTACCCAGGCTGGTCTCGAGTTCCTGAGCTCAAGCGATCTGCCCACCTCAGCCTCCCAAATGCTAGGATTATAGGCATGAGGCACCACACCCGGACAATAATCCAATTTTTCAATCAAAAGATTTGAATAGGTACTTCAGCAAAGAAAATATATGAATGGCAAGCACATGAAAAGATAATTAGTCACTAGGGAAATACAAATTAAAACCACTATGAAGTATCATTACACACCAACTAAAATGGCTAAAATACGAACAATAGGAAATTTAATAAGGATGGAGAAGTGAGTCCTCATACAATGCTGGTGCAAATGTAAAAATGGTACAGCCACTTTGAAAATGGTTTGGCAATTTCTTAAAAAGCTAAACACAGGCCGGGCACGGTGGCTCACGCCTGTAATCCCAGCACTTTGGGAGGCAGAGATGGGCAGATCATGAGGTCAGGAGATTGAGACCATCCTGGCTAAAACGGTGAAACCCCATCTCTACTAAAAATACAAAAAATTAGCCGGGCGTAGTGGCGGTCGCCTGCAGTCCCAGCTACTCCGGAGGCTGAGGCAGAAGAATAGCTTGAACCTGGGAGGCGGAGCCTGCAGTGAGCCGAGATCGCACCACTGCACTCCAGCCTGGGCGACTGAGCGAGACTCAGTCTCAAAAAAAAACAAAAACAAAAACAAAAAAAAAGCTAAACATAGACTTATCATACAACCAAGCAATTCCACTCTTGAGGATCACCAAAAAGAAATGAAAACAGCCACACAAAGACTTTACTTGTGTTCACTGCCAAGAACTAGAAATAACCCAAATGTCCATCAACTAGTGAATGGATAAACAAAACGTTTTACCTATTTATACAATGGAATTATTCTCCCAGCACTTTGGGAGGCCGAGGGGGGCGGATCACGAGGTCAGGAGATCGGTACCATCCTGGCTAACACTGTGAAACCCGTCTCTACTAAAAACACAAAAAATTAGTCTGATGTGGTGGCAGGCACCTGTAGTCCCAGCTACTCGGGAGGCTGAGGCAGGAGAATGGCGTGAACCCAGAAGGCGGAGCTTGTAGTGAGCCGAGATCATGCCACTGCACTCCAGCCTGGGTGACAGAGCGAGAGTCCATCTCAAAAAAAAAAAGAAAAGGAATTATTCTCAGCAATAAAAACAAACTACTGATACATGCAATAACAAGGATAAATCTCAAAAACTTCATGCTATATGAAACATGCCAGACACAAAAGACTACATATTGGATGATTCTATTTATGTGAAATTTCTAGAAAAGGCAAAATTGTATAGAAAATACATCAGTGGTTTCCCAGAATCAGGATGCATTGTCTGTAAATGACCACATTTTGGGGGTAATAAAATGTTCTAAAACTAAATGGTGATGATGGTTGCATAACTCTATACAATTACTAAAATTCATCAAGTAGGTCACTTACAATATAAAACATGCTTCAATAAAACATTGTTTAAAAAAAGAGAGAAGATAACACAACGTGTTGGTCAATTGGATCCTTTAAACAATATTTTTTAAATTTATTTTTGTTATTGTAAAATACACATAAAATTTACCATTCTAATCACCTTAGATGTATAGTTCTGTGGCATTAAGGACATTCACAATGTTGTACAAGAAAATTTTTTAAATTACAGCATGTATAACAATGGGAACTGAGCTCTGCATAAATTCTAGTGTTCATAAGAAAAAATGTAGATCAGGTCGGGCACGGTGGCTCACGCCTGTAATCCCAGCACTTTGGGAGGCCAAGACGGGCAGATCACGAGGCCAACACGGAGAAACCCCGTCTCTACTAAAAATACAAAAAATTTGCCGGGCGTGGTGGCGGGCGCCTGTAGTCCCAGCTACTCCGGAGGCTGAGGCAGGAGAATGGCATGAACCCAGGAGGTGAAGCTTGCGGTGAGCCGAGATCGCGCCACTGCACTCTAGCCTGGGTGACAGAGAGAGACTCCGTCTCAAAAAAAAGAAAAGAAAAGAAAAAATGTAGATCAATAATATTATTTTGCTGACGCATTGGAGAAAGTAAAGGCTGGGTGCAGCTTCAAGCTGAGGACCACCCACCATGCCCCCATCATGGTGGTTCCCCTAGGTGCTGAAGGGCCCAGCCATAGCTCTCGCCCTCGCAGGGTCCCTCCAGGGTCTCTGCTGTTTCCTACCTAGGGGTGACTGCAGCCATGGCTAAGAAAGCGCCAGCGCCCACCCACCTGGGCCAATGGACTGGTTCTGCTCGTGCCACGCTGGTTCTGCTCCTCGCCATCTCGGCAGTTCAGAAAGAACCCCAACGAGCTTGTGATCTCCCGGGTCCTGTGGGCGTATCAACAGGGGGCCAGCCCTGTCCCTCAACCCTGGGGAGCTGGTGCTGCCGATCGACCTGACTGGCCCACAACGTCTTCAGCTACCACTGCAAGGGCCTGCGGGGTGACGGCTGTGCAGCGCTGCTCGCCTAGCTGTTGATCGCCTGGCTGTTGATGGGCTGGCACCCGCAGAGCTGCCCTGCCGGCCACCGACCACCATGGAGGGAGCATTCAGCTGGTGCGCGAGCTGGGTACTAAACTGGCTCTACTGTGAGCCGCCCTCGGCCCCTCCATCTCCTCTTACCCCTTGTCATCCATGCGTAAGCCGGGGACGCCCGAGGACATGCTCTTCACCCAAGGCCTGCGCCGGCGTCTGCTGATCAAGGGCCCAGTACAAAGGCCGTCATGGAGATCCAGGCCTTCGCCAACAGCGGCCTGTTCTGGTGCAAGGGCCAGCCGGGCAGCCCAAGGACCTCACGACTGGCTGCTGGGTCAAGGCGTTCCCGGGGTGAAGGTGGATAAGCAGACCACCAAGGGCTCCTGGAACCCTACGTGAAGGAGGCCAAGCACAGCCGTGGACACCGGCCTGAAGGCTGGGAAAGGAGCCGACGCCCCACCTCCTCTGACCAGGCCTGCGGGGAGGAGCCACCCACGCGCCACAGCAAGTCCTGGACCTGGCCCTGCATTCCAGGGTGGGGCAGGGAGGCTGGATTCTGAGAGAGCTGCTTCCGGATTGCGTTGGGGTAGTCAAGGAGCTCGGGACATCGCAGGGGAGGCAAAAAGCCTTGGCCAGTGCTCTTTTGGTGTATCCCTTCAGCTTCCAGAGGGGAAGCCACACCCTGATGCTATGTTCAAACGCTCCAGAAGACAGGAGTTCGTGTCCTTGCCCCTAACCACTGCTGTGGATGTCACTGGCCAAAGGTCATGAGGGGAGTGGGCCACATGAGTGGCCACTTGCCATGACTCCCTGAGCAGGGTGAGCCCCCACTCATCCTGTGCCATGTTATGTTTCCACCCAAGCAGCAGGGTAGGAGGCACAATGAGTGCCCATTCCTCTCCCTGATGGGCCCCCCAAGCTCTACAGACCAAGCAAGGAGACCCCATGACCCATGGCATGAAATCATCTTGAAGTTTTTGCTTTTTTTTTGGAGACAGAGTATCGCTCTGTCGCCCAGGCTGGAATGCAGTGGCACAATCTCGGCTCACTGCAACCTCTGCCTCCCGGGTTCAAGCAATTCTCCTGCCTCAGCCTCATGAGTAGTTGGGACTACAGGCATGTGCCACCACATCAGCCCGGCTAATTTTTTGTATTTTTAGTAGAGACAGGGTTTCACCGTGTTAGCCAGGATGGTCTTGATTTCCTGACCTCGTGATCCGCCCACCCCGGCCTCCCAAAGTGCTGGGATTACAGGCGTGAGCCACCGCACCCAGCCTACTCTTACATTTTTTTAGGTTTTTATTTACTCACTGCTTTAAGCATACACGACACTTCGGTTTTATTCCTCCCTTTGTAATGTTTTTTCTCTTAAGCCACTTTTTTTTTTTTTTGCAATGCCTTCCTCTTTGAAAGCATTAAAAAAACAGTATTTTGTTTATGTTTCAACAACAACAAAGAGGACTTAATGTCTGGCACACTAAAATATTTACCAATAAAACAAACTGATATTTGGAATTTTTTTAAGTTTTAAAAGTGTGGTCACTGTATTGTGATCACACAATTACATTAGGAAAATGTCTTATTCTTAGAGATGTACATTAAAGTATTAAGAGTACTGAGTTATAATGTCTGCAATAGAGCCTCAAATGTTTCACAGGGGACTATATAAATACATATATATGCCTATATATACATATATTACATATATACACATATATAAAAGACAAAGAGAGAAAGCAAACAGTGATTCTAGGTGAAAGACAAAGTGAGAACTCAGCAAAAACGTAAATTAGTACAGGTTTGTTGGAAAGCAATGTGATGACATCTCAAAATTGGAAGAAATTTACAAAAACTAAAACATGCCTAATGCATGTCCTTTGACCCAACACCCCTTCTAGGAATTTATCTTTAAAAAACTCACACAAGACCACAAAGCAAGAAAGGGTATTAATTACAAAAATTTTTTAATGGTTTAATACTCAAATATCTACCAATAGGTGGTTAGGTAAATAAGTTATTGCAAATGCTTAAAATGAAAAAAAATATATGAAAAGAAGAAAGGGGTGTGGGTACAGATGAAACCGCATTGGCTGTGAGTTTATTACAGAAGCAATCTTTGAATAATGGATATTTGGATGTTCATCTCACTGTTTAGTCTACTTTTATATATGTTTGACATTCTCCCTAACAAGTCAAAAACAAAAAAGAACCACACAAAATTCCAAGGGCACAATTCTTTACAAGTGGTCATCGACCCCCTTTCTTTCCCAAATTAATAATATCAACATGGGAGGGAAGGTTCTACACTACATAAACAAGTACACATAAATATTAAAGTTCTTTCAGCCTGGGCAACATAGTGAGACCCTGTCTCTTAAAAAAAGATTTTCTTTTAGTTAGCTAGGTGTGGTGATTCACATCTGCAGTCCTAGCTACTAGAGAGACTGAGACAGAAGGACTGCTTGAGCTCAGGAGTTCAAGGCTGCAGTGAGCCATGATCGTGTGTCACTTTAGCTTGCATGACAGAGTGAGACTCCAACTCTTCAAAAAAGAAAAAGTTCCATCACTCTTAATTATTCTTACATCCTCAGGTCATCCCTGAACAGAAGAGTTTTGCTTTCAAGCATCTTGGATCCAGTAGTAAGTAGATGGCAGCTCACATTTACTGTGCTCCCACCAGCAAGCAGCTCTTCATTTCTAATAGCTCTAGCTAAGGAAAGAAACAAGTGTAGAAAAAGCCAGGCACAGTGGCCGCGCCTGTAAATTTTAGCACTTTAGAAGGCCAAACAAAGCAGGAGGACCACTTGAGCCCAGGAGTTTGAGACCAGCCTGGACAACATAGGGAAATGGGAGATCCTATCTCTACCAAAAAAAAAAAAAATTGTAAAAAATTTGCCAGGCATGGTGGCTCATGACTGTGGTCCCAACTACCTGGGAGGCTGAGGCTGGAGGATATGTAGGCCCAGGAGGTCAAGGCTGCAGTGAGCACTGATCCTGCCACCGCATTCCGGCCTGGGCAACAGAGCAAGACCCAGTCTCTCACACACACACACACACACACACACACACACACACACACACACACACATAAATGAAAGATTACTGCCTGTTTTGAACTTTGTTTTCTATGGAGTTGTTCAGCTTTTCCTATTAGAAGTTCAAATATGTGTACTACATATTGTGCCATTTCTGAATTATAACAAAAGCAAGAGAGCTTAGAAATCATCCAGCCCAGTTGGCCGCAGTGGCTCACGCCTGTAATCCCAGCACTTTGGGAGGCCGAGGCAGGTGGATCACGGGGTTAGGAGATCGAGACCATCCTGGCTAACACGGCGAAACCTGTCTCTACTAAAAATACAAAAAATTAGCCGGGCGTGGTGGCGGGCACCTGTAGTCCCAGCTACTTGGGAGGCTGAGGCAGGAGAATGGCGTGAACCCGGGAGGCGAAGCTTGCAGTGAGCCAAGATCGCACCACTGCACTCCAGCCTGGGTGACAGAGCGAGACTCCGTCTCAATAAAAAAAAAAAAAAAAAAAGAAATCACCCAGCCCAGTATCTTGAATTAACAAATAAGCAAAACTATCCAGGCCCAAAGTTATTATTTCAAATTATAATAACTTCAGTATTCTCTAGTTAGGAGGTATTCTCCTCAGTTTAATTTGAATAAACTAAGTGCTCACTGAACACCTGCCACAGTGAACTGTAATGAATAACGAGCAAAAGTTGGAAGTCTGTCTTGAGGGTGCTAAACTCACAGTCCAAGGCCACTGACTACCATCCAAAACCCTACAGTCATTGGGCTCAAGAGCCCACAAACTCAACACCTGCTCAGCACCAGCCTGCTTAAACTTGAAGCAGGAATTTTCAAAACAGCCTCCTCTTTCTTTCAGCAAGTCATATGATATTCATTAACTTTCAAAGCAATGAGAAAATATAATGTAAGTTAAAATTAACCAAGACTGATAGTTACATGAAGATGTCTAGTTATTGGGTGTTTTCCCCCGCTCTCTGGTCCTGGCTGAGGCAAGCGGATCACTTGAAGTCAGGAATTTGAGGGTAAAACCCTGTCACTACTCAAAATATAAAAATTAGCCAGGTATGGTAGCACATGCTTGTAATCCCAGCTACCTGGGAGGCTGAGGCAGGAGGAACACTTGAACCCAGGAGGCAGAGGCTGCAGTGAGCTTAGATAGTGTCACTGCACTCCAGCCTGGGTGACAGAGTGGGACTCCATCACAAAAAAAAAAAAAAAAAAAAAAAAGATGGTGTTTAAATTTTTATTCCAGGAACAGGGTTATTCTTTTTATATTCCAATTTCAAAAGAAAAACTCTCTATATGTTCTGCATCAAGCTAATACCACAATTAAAACGTATTCTTCACATGATAGAGAATTTAAAATAATGATGACACAACTAGATACTTGATAATATTAAGGAATTATTCATTTTACATGTGATAAACGTATTACGGCTTAAAAAGTCATCATTTTAGAGATACTGAATTATTTATGAAATAATACTTGAGATTTGCTATAAAACAGTGCAATGAGGGACGCAAAATTGTGAACGTGCATGAGAGCAAAGTATAGATAAAACAAGTGGGCCACGTGTTGATAATTGTGGGAACCAAGTAACATGATATTCTCTCCGTTTTTCCGTATGCTCAAATACCTCCATGATAAAAAGTAAGCCAAAAAATAAAATTATAGTAACAAATCAGCCTTCTCAGAGGGCATACCACAGAAGCAGTAGCATCATAATTAGTTGTTGTAAACACAGGTATTAAAGAGCACACAGTGACTGACAGCATTATATTCATGGATGCTGCTACCCTGCTGAAGAAACTGCTGCATTTGTCAGTACCATAGAAAGGTCAAAAAAAAAAAAAAAAGAAAAGAAACTGCTGTATTTCAGCAGCGTGAGAGGTGATTCCCATGACTAATATCCAAAATTACATGACATTACATCCAAAATACATTTTATATCTTAGAAATCTTTCTGAGAAATCAACAATACTTAACAAGTATGGAATGACTATAAGATCATCACCATTAGCTAGATATTTCCAATTCCTAACCATTCTTTTCCTCAACAACCTACTCCTTCAACGAGTGCTGAAGAGAGAAACAATGGTCACTGGAAATTCATCTTTTAAAGTTATAGATATGAGGTTTTAACTCAAAAAGAAGGAATTTCATCAAGTATTAGATCATATTCAGCTACTGAAACAAATTCATATTTCCTCGTTTCATGTTCTCAAGGCACAAAATACTTTACCTTCATGGTACTCAGGAGCATTTCCTTCCTTCCTTCCTTCTTCCCTTCCTTCCTCCCTCCCTCCCTCCCTTCCTCCTTCCCTTCTTTCTTCTTTCTCTCTCTCTCTCTCTCTCTCCTCCTCTCTTTCTTTTAGATGGAGTCTCGCTCTGTCGCCAGGCTGGAGTGCAGTGGCGTGATCTCAGCTCACTGAAAGCTCTACCTCCTGGGTTCAAGCGATTCTCCTGCCTCAGCCTCCCAAGTAGCTGGAACTACAGGCATGTGCTACCATGCCCAGTTAATTTTTGAATTTTTAGTAGAGAAGGGGTTTCACCATGTTGGCCAGGATGGTCTTGATTCTCTTGACCTTGTGATCCCCCTGCCTCGGCCTCCCAGAGTGCTGGGATTACAGGTGTGAGCCACCACGCCTGGCCATTCTTTCTTTTTTAAAGCAAGAATTTCATTTAATGACCTAGGTGGCTTTATTCTGATTTTCACTTTTAATTATGGTAGACAACCAAATGATAGATCTCTGAAATTTTGAGACACAACTTCTTGTGTACAAAGAGAAATGCAGGGTTCTCCATCTTAAGCCCCTAAAGCCTTCAGGAGCCTTCATTCACCTGTGTAACATAGGGCCTCCACCTTGATGCCAGCCAACACACACATGTGCTAAGCTGAAGCAGCCATCCCTGGAACCGGAAAGAATGAGAAGGGAACACAACTGTCTCAAGTTTGAGGCTTCCTTCTTGACAACAATATTCACAGTACAAAAGTACTGTGCTTAGAGGAGACGTAAGTCAGATAAGCTGTAACTTTTCACAAAATGCACAATTAGTATAAAGTTTAATAATTTTTTTTCTTCCAGTGTAAATTCAGTTTGTTTACTGCTTTGTAGTTTTGAAAAGTCAGGAGTTCTTTTTAAATTCTTGGGAGCTGGTCTGAATGTAGTCAGGTCACTTTTCTTATCAAACAGCAAAAACTTATTCGAGATTACATAAAAATGGGAAATATAAACACATGTTACATACAGTCCGTACACTTTGAGAGCATGTCATGCCAGTTGGAAAAACCTAACAGCAACTTACAATGGTAAATGATGACTACCAAATGCTCTGAATAGGCTGTACGCATGATGGGAGTAAAGTGAAGAGGGGGTTTAAGCCATGTGGGTTTTTTTGTTTGTTTAAGAGACAGGATCTCACTCTGTCACCCAGGCCGAAGTGCAGTGGTACAATCATAGCTCACTACAGCCTTAAACTCCTGGGCCCAAATGATCCTCCTACCTTATCCTGCCATACGGTAGCTAGGACTACAGGTGCATGCCAGCACATCCTGCTAATTGTTATTGTAGAAACAGGATTGGGTCTCACTGTGTTGCCCAGGCTGGTCTCAAACTCCTGGCCTCAAATGATCCTCCCACCTTGGCCTTCCGAAGTGTTGGGATTACAGGCAGGAGCCACAGAGCCCAGCTGGGATTTAATTTTGAAAAACAGAGGAGAGGAAGAGAATTCCAGGCAGGAGGATAAAAGCAAAAACATAGAGATGACAACACACAACATGTGTTTCAGGCACAGTGACTAGACCAATTTGGCTGGGGTACTTTTTCTCCTTTGTTGTCATCTTTATTTTTCTACCTGGGATGTAAACGATGTGAATATGGGTCAGAAAAATCAGCTGCACAGAAACACCTCAGCCAATTGTAAGACAGAGAGAGGGTGGACATGCATGAAGGGGCAGTAGCAATTCCAGACCAGCCTTCTGAAAGAGCCTGTGGTCCAAGCCGGCAACCAGAAGGGCACTCTGGGTGGGGCAGGCAGGACCATGCAATGCAGGTTCTTGGGAGGAAGGATGAGGAGGAGCAGTCACAGCAGATGCTGTGGCTGAGCTCCAACAAGTTTATTGGACTCTGCCTTCAAGCTGCTGCCTGAAGAAGTTGATTAGCCCATTGGCGGAAGCATAGTGAGAGGTCACTTCAAGGCAAGCAACAAGAAAAGACTAGAAAGCTAGGTTGGAGTTAGCCTGGAGGCCTTATATACCAAGAGTTTGAATTTCAGACTGAAGGCTTCTGAATGGGATTAAAATGACAGGAAAGTAAGCAGCAGTGCACATATACAGAGATCAGAGACTGATGTTCAGGACGGAATGGGGAGGAAGAGCCTGGAGGTTAGTTCTCAGGGGATGTTTACTTTAGCAATCATAAAGAGTCCAGGCCTGGCGCGGTGGCTCACGCCTGTAATCCCAGCACTTTCGGAGGCCAAGGTGGGCAGATCACGAGGTCAGGAGCTCAAGACCAGCCTGACCATCATGGTGAAACCCCGTCTCTACTAAAAATAGAAAAATCAGCCGGGCGTGTTGGCACGTGCCTGTAACCCCAGCTACTCAGGAGGCTAAAGCAGGAAAATCACTTGAACCCGGGAGACAGAGGTTGTAGTGAGCCGAGATCCTGCCACTGTACTCCAGCCTGGGCGACAGAGCAAAACTCCGTCTCAAAAAAAAAAAAAGTATACAGGAGGATGTGTGTAGATTATATCCAAATATTACGTCATTTTATATAAGGGTCTTGAGCATCTATGAATTTTGGATATGGAGGGGTCCTGGAACCAATCCCCTGCAAACACCAAGGGAAGACTGTACTTCATTTATGTAAGCTTCCACAGTTTACAAAGGACTTTTGCTTACATAATCTCATTTTACCTTCAGAACAATTTGTAAAGTAGAACATTTGCTATATTTCACAAGTGAGGAATTGCTGCTCCGGGCAGTTCCTTTTATGACCACCATTCCATGTTTCATTTTATGGCTCTGTCTCTCAACCAGTAGACTGTAAGCTCCATGAGGGTATGCAGGGACCACACTGAATTTTGTTTGCCTTTGTAGCCCTGGCTGCCTCATGAAGAGCCCTGGTCCCTGATCCCAGCAGACACATGCTCACTAAATATGTGACAGATGGGTGAGGAGCACATCCCCTCTCCCACTCTTGTTTCAATGATACTAAAATGCTTTATCAATCAAAAGTGTTTGGGGGCTTTTTGTGTTTGTTTTAAATTATTGTTCTGACAATTAAAAGGCTTTGACAATTTTAATACCTCTACTTAGCACTTTCTAAACAAGACCTCTTTTCCCCCGCTAGGTAGGAAAAAGGAAAAATATACAAAAAAGGAATATCAGGCTGCCTGCCACCTTCACCGTTGTATCAAAAAGTCACTCTAAGTGATATATTAGACTAAGGACCAAAAAAAGGTCAATATTTGCTAATTATTTTTTCAAATATCTTCTATTTCTTTGCAGAATGGAATGTATGCTGAAACAAATAACCACACATATGAGTACCTACAGTGCCAGAGTTGAGAAATTCTGGCCTAGAACACTTGTGCCAGAAAACAAGAAAATGCTCCAAGAATAATGGAGACATGTCAAAAGGACAAAGCAGCAGCTTGAAGGGCCTCCCACTGGCCAAGTCTGAGACAATTTAAGCATCAATACAAATAATAAAAGATTATAGCTCATTGATTAAAATAAAAAACATGAGTTCATATTGATATAAATTAATAAATCAATAAATTGAAAATGTGATGAAGAATGAGATAGTTAACATAATTTGGAAGTACTTATCCATAAAATACCAATTACAAATGGAAGAATAATTTAGCAGTAGAAAAATGCAAAAAATTGAAATTGTATGTCACCTACTAGGAGGCAATGAGACATAACATCATTTCTGCCATATTTCTGCCAAAGATACGCAACCTGAGTTTAATCATGAGAAAACATGAGACAAACCCAAATTGAAGGACAGGCTACAAAATAACTGGCTTATAATTTCCAACCCATCAAGACCATGAAAGTCAAAAGAAGGCTGAGAAAGACTTGGCAACTAAAAGCAAAGCATGTGAATCTGAACTGAATCCTTTTGCTTGCCCCACCCCCGCAAAAAAAAAAAAAGGCGGTGGGGAAAGGAGCTGGAAGGTCTTTATTGGGACTATTGGTCAAACTTGAATGGGGAATGGGGGGGTGTGAGGAGTATTTGATGGTAATATAATGTGTCAATGTTAATTTCCTGCTTTTGATGGTTATGTTGTACTTATGTAGAAGAATGTCCTTACCATTGGAAACATACACACACTAGGGTAATTCCAGAGTGATGGAGCATCAGGCGGACAACTCCAACGGTTCTGGAGAAGAAAACAAGTTTTCTCTACTGTACTTGTAACTATTCTGTTTTGGGCTGTTTCAAAAGTTTTCAAAAACATTTTAAATGATTAGTATCTCTCCAAAATGAAAGTAATGGATACAATCTTAATACATACACACAAATTCTTTCCAACAAGAATGTTCTCTTTGTAAAAGTACTAAATAAGTCTTCCATTTGGTCACTAGGGAAGTAGTATAAAATAGTGTTGCATAACAAAAAAGAAAAACCAGGCTTTCCATGTAGTAACACTGACTTCAAGCTCCAGTTCATCACATACAAATTTCATGACCCTAGGTAGACTTTTTTTTTTTTTTTTGAGATAGAGTCTCGCTCTGTCACCCAGGCTGGAGTGCAGTGGCGCGATCTAAGCTCACTGCAAGCTCCGCCTCCCAGGTTTACTTACACCATTCTCCTGCCTCAGCCTCCCGAGTAGCTGGGACTACAAGGCACCCGCCACCACGCCCGGCTAATTTTTTGTATTTTTAGTAGAGACGGGGTTTCACCGTGTTAGCCAGGATGGTCTCCATCTCCTGACCTCATGATGTGCCCACCTCGGCCTCCCAAAGTGCTGGGATTACAGGCGTGAGCCACCGTGCCCGGCCGGAAGATTTTGTTTACCCTTCTGGGTCTTGATATCCTACTCTGTAAAGTGAGAATACCAGCCAGGCATGGTGGCTCATGCCTGTAATCCCAACTACTCGGGAGGCTTGAGGTGGGAGGATCACTTGAGCCCAGGAGTTGGAGATCAATCTGGGCAACATAGCAAGACCCTGTGTCTATAACAAGGAAGAAAATGAAAAAAGAAAAAACAGGAAGTGAGAATACCACTTTTGGCTGGGCACGGTGGCTTATGCCTGTAATCCCGGCACTTTGGGAGGCTGAGGTGGGCAGATCACTTAAGGTCGGGAGTTCAAGACCAGCCAGGCCAACATGGTAAAACCCCGTCTGTACTAAAAATAAAAAATTAGCCCAGTGCATGGTGACATATGCCTGTAATCTCAGCTACTCGGGAGGCTGAGGCAGGAGAATTGCTTGAACCCGGGAGGCAGAGATTGCAGTGAGCCGAGATCACGCCACTGCACTCCAGAGACTCCATCTCAAAAAATAAATAAATAAATAAAAGAATCCCTCACTTTGAACAACAAAAGTTGTTAATCTGCTGAGAATACAGGAGAATACAAGGGTGGGAGGAAATCTGGTGCTAGATAATACAATCCTTCACTCTTTCAGTAAGTTTGGTTTTTAAACACATGAATCACTTATTCATTCAACAAATATTTACAGTTGACCCTTGAACAACACAGGCGTCAGGATTACCAACTGCCCTCACAGGAAAAAATCTGCATGTAACTTCTGACTCCCCAAAACTTTACTAATAGCCTACAGCTGACCAGAAGCCTTACTGATAACATAAACCGTGGATTAACATGTTTTGTATATGTATTATACACTGTATTCTTACAATAAAATAAACTAGAGAAAACAAAATATTAGAAAAATTATAAGGAAGAGAAAATATATTTACTATTCACTAAGTGGAATGGATTATCATAAAGGTTTTCATCCTCACGGTCTTCACACTGAGTAGGCTGAAAAGGAAGAGGATGGGTTGGTCTTGCTGTCTCAGGGGTTGCAGAGGCAGAAGAAAATCCACATAAAGTGGACCCATGTGATTTGCCCTGTGCTGTTCAAGGTCAACTATATTTGGTTTCTATACTATGCTCTACTATGTAGCAGCTACAGAGATTTAAAACATGATCCCTTTGCCTCAAGCCAATAGGAAACAAGCTAAAAGCAAGCAATCATAATGAAAAGGAAGGATGTTTTAAGTAGTAAAGGAGAAAGAAAAAAGAAACTCAAATGGATTCTCTCATTCTCAACAAACAAGCAAGTGAAACTTCTTTGGGTAAAGAGAGAACAACCAGAAAGCTATTCTGGCTCTTCAGTGCTCCTACTGCAAGGAGTGCAAGGGGGTGTGGTGCAGGAAGCCTGAGCTACCTATCCCAGGGGAGGACAAAGGGAGACAAAGGCATCAAGAGAGAGCAGCTGGGCAGTGACCGAACATGGCTGCCAGGCCAGGGGAAAGTAGCACATGGGTCCTGACTGAACCCTCTGTGGGGCTGGTAAGCCCTTTCTAGTCCAGAGATGCTTTTGGGAGGAGGAGGTGAGTGGCAGAAAGAAAATTATACAAGAAATTTTCTTAATGTTCTTTACACAATATACATGGGGAAAATGCACAAGGGGGTAATTGTGGAGCCATGTTTCAAAGTAAGATGACATTCACTTAATTTGTACAACCAGAATACAGTGTGTTTTTCTGTAATGATGTTATTTATAGCCTAGTACTTGTTTGACAGTACCTGACTGAGAAAGTGACAAACATCTCTGTATATATAGAACTTAACTTATAAAACATGTTTAAATAAGGTAATTTGCCCAAAGCTTCTCCATTGAATTTTAATTCCACAATATTTGTTATACCATATCAACAAAATGACACCAGATAAAAAAGACCACTAAGCTCAGAAACATCTATTTGGTATCTGTATCTTCGGAACTGTCTTCCACTCAGTATTTACCAACACAGTTAAAAACCAGCATATTTACAATGCTTCTTTACCAGCCTGCTAGCAACTTGTCTCTATCTACTACTGAGCACCTCCTTTGTTCTTGGTACTTCCCAGGGGATGATGGGGTGGCCCAATAGGAAGCTCAGTCTTGCCCTAAAGGATTTTACAGTTACAGATAGAATCACTAGAGAAATTTCTGAAATGCAAGGCTTTTCAAAATTAGCTGCCAAAAAAGGGAGAGTTAACTGTGGGTCAAAATAGCTGCAAACAGCTTTACCAAAAGAAAGGCATAAATTTCATCTTCAAGGACAGACAGAATCTTGGAAAGGTAGAGGAAAGGGTGGAAGGCATTCCCAGCAGGCCAAGCAGCATGCAAAGGGTACCAAGGCTGGCATCAGGCTGGCATCAGGTCGGCAAGGGGCAGGGTGGAAAGTATGCTCGTGTGTAAGGTGGCAGGAGGGATCAATCTGCTGGCATAGATAACGAGGCCCCACAGAAGAGTACATATAATACATAAAAGTTCTATAGTACACAAACAGCACCAAACAGGAAAGACTTGAGGAGTGCTACATTTTATAGCTGCCAAGTGACATATACTCAGTTAAAGGGCAGTTAGGACCAGCAGCAGACCAGCAGGAAGGTGTTGGACTAGCCCAGAGATCAAAGGCTGTGGGCTTAAAGCAGAGAAGCGGCCATCAGAATGGTGTCAAAGGATTGAGCCTAAGAGACATTTCAAAGTAGGAAATGACAGAAAAATCAAAGATGACTCCAAATTCTAGCATGTGAAAAGGAAAATAAATACTGGTGCCACTGAAAATACTGGGATAGTAGTTAAGAAGAACTGAGGTTTGGGAGTGAGGGAGGTGTAAAAGACTGGTGTGTTCACCATGACTAGTGAACTCTGTGGTAATGAGAGTGGCCACCCAAGTGAAGAAGTCCTGGAATCAGCTACAAACCAGGCTGTTGTCAGATGACAAAGTAGAAGAAAGGTTGGATTGTAGGTTTGCAAGTCAACTGGCATGCTGAAGGTAACTACTAATCAGAAAATCTCACGGAGAAATGAACAGAGAATGAAGGAGAGACCACAAAAAAAGAGAGGTAGGAACTAACACTTTTTAAGTATCTATGTGCCAGCCACTACATGAGCCACTTTGTATAAATTAAATACAGAAAAAATTGAGAGGTAGGAAACCTAGAAAGTTTCCTCTCACAAAGAGGAGTGCACCAATGACAAAGCCAAACATGAAAGGAAATTCAAGAGAATAAAGGCTGAGAAAAGAAAGGACACTGGCCTTGCCACTACAAAGGTTACTGGCACCCTCTGGGAGAGATTTCCAGTTGTGTGGTGGAAGCCGAGGCTACGATGTGGGTGGCTGAGAAGAGAAGGACAGATACAAACTGAAGGCCGTGAATAAGAAGTAGGCATTTAAGTCGCTGCGCAGCAAATGGACAAGATTCAATGGCTGCTAAAAAGGACAGAAGTGCCTTGCAGTGAGTGCTCTTTTTTTTTTTTTTCCCGAGACGGAGTCTCGCTCTGTCGCCCAGGCTGGAGTGCAGTGGCGCGATCTCAGCTCACTGCAAGCTCCGCCTCCCGGATTCACGCCATTCTCCTGCCTCAGCCTCCCGAGTAGCTGGGACTACAGGCGCCCGCCACCACGCCCGGCTAATTTTTTGTATTTTTAGTAGAGGCGGGGTTTCACTGTGTTAGCCAGGATGGTCTCGATCTCCTGACCTCATGATCCGCCCGCCTCTGCCTCCCAAAGTGCTGGGATTACAGGCGTGAGCCACCGCGCCCGGCCGAGTGCTCTTAATCCTTTGCTTATTTTAGTAATAGGAAAACACTGGCCAACAAACCCAAAAGTCAAAGGTTAGGGCCTACATATCATATGATTCAAGGTAATGCAATTATGGGAAAATGGAAGACACAATTTAGTTTTTGCAGGCTAAATTTCCATCACCAGCAAATCTAGTTCAGCTATAAATATAACAAATTAACATACACTGATTGGAGCATATTTCACCTGCTTTATAGTTGAAAAGCTAACATCTCTCAAAACTCAATGCTAAAGAGACTAATAACAAAAATACAAAAAAACCCATAAAAAATTATAAATATTTTATACTACCTTTCCCAAACCGTAAACCATATTTTGAAAAAGCATCTAAAAGACCAATCACAATCATCTGAAAATCTGCTTTAGGAATTGTGGAGCTACTGGATTTGATTATAATGTTGGCAAAAACACTTGCTGCTTCAATGGAAAATATTTTCATCAATATTTCCAGTGATGGGCTCTAAGTTGAGATAGTACAATTCATTCATGAAACTTGCTAAGTTACAATTTATGCACTAGTTTCTACTCAAAATGGTAAGGGTAATCATTCTTCAATCTTTCACCTAAAGAGTAAAACTCTTCTAGGTGGACAACAGGGAACAGGTAAACTTAGAATTGCCAAAGAATATTACGTCTTGAGTATAACTCTTAGTGGTATTGTATGGCTAAGTTGTTCAAAACAGACCAGAGGTGAGTTTCTGCTAAATTCACTTTTCTATCCACTGCTAGCTGGAATCAACTTTTTTCACATTCTAGGAAATGATTACTATATTTGCTCTTGCCAAAATGCTCTCACCATTTTGTTACTATTAGATAATAATCCATTAATAGTAAATTTAATTACTTCAAGAAGGAACACAGTTTATTTATAAAGAATCTTTTTTTTTTTTTTTTTTTTTTTTTTTTTTTGAGATGGAGTCTTGCTCTGTCACCCAGGCCGGAGTGCAATGGCGCAATCTCAGCTCACTGCAACCTCCGCCTCCTGGGTTCAAGCGATTCTCCTGTCTCAGCCTCCCAAGTAGCTAGGATTACAGGCGCCCACCACCACACCCAGCTAATTTTTGTATTTTTAGTAGAGATGGGGTTTCACCATGTTGGTCAGGCTGGTCTCGATCTCCTGATCCCAGGTAATCCGCCCATCTCAGCCTCCCAAAGTGCTGGGATTACAGGTGTGAGCCACTGCTCCCGGCCAAGAATCATTTTATTTAAATAAACTGCCTTGCAGTCAGGGAGGAAGAGAGCTGACACTTAGTGCTTACCGCACTAGGCACCATGTGATATGATACCTCTTCCATCCCACCACCATTTGAAATATTCCCATTTTAAAGGTCAGGAAATAAGAGACTCAAAGAAGTTATTTAACTTATCAAATATCACACAACTAGTAAATGACAGCCAAATCCATAACCTAAGTTATTCTGCCAACACACCGAGCTGCCTGCCATTCAAAAATAAAATATTTACATGTAAGGCTTTTTCCAAAATGGATTTCCTCATCTTCTATCATTTCTTCTTAGGCATTTCACTGAATGTCCTAAAGCCTCAATTCAGGAAAGAATTGAGATCACTTCTTAGAAAGTTTTTAGGTGAGGCGCAGCGGCTCATGCCTGTAATGCCAGCACTTTGGGAGGCTGAGGCAGGAGAATCGCTTGAGCCCAGGAGGTCAAGTTTACAGTGAGCCGTGATCACACCACTGCACTCCCGCCTGGGTGACAGAGTGAGAGACCCTGTATTTAAAAAAAACAAAACAAAACAAAACAAAACAAAACAAAACAAAACAAAACAGTTTCTAGAACCACCACCCAATGAATCAACTAACAAGAAGAAACCTATCTGAGAGCTTTTACTGATAACAGATCTTCATAAAAAGCTCTGGAGACCAACAGTAGTACATCTAGTCTACCTTATAAACTGTACAACTATTTTTACAATATTCTTTATTTTCGCAACACAAAATCAGGTGTCACAGTCTCTGACAGGGGTGAGTCCTAGGCTCTCTTGGGACTAGACTCTAAAGGACAGGCCCTCAGTGTGTGATGGAGTGAGTGAATGAATAAAGACACAGCCAGCATAAATGTTAATACAGCAGAGAGAAACTATGAATCTGGAGGACCCCCAAAATGAAAGCATAAAGCAACCTCCCTCAACAAATGTCATTTAAAAAGCCAGAATCATGTTTGAGTTATATAAAAAGTAATAGGACCGGGAGCAGTGGCTCATGCCTGTAATCCCAGCACTTTGGGAGGCTGGCACAGCAGATCGCTTGAGCCCAGGAGTGGGAGGCCAGCCTGGGTAACATGGTGAAACCTCGTCTCTACAAAACTTAGCTGGGCATGGTGGTGTACGCCTGTAGTCACAGCTACTGAGGAGGCTGAGTGGAAGGATCATTTGAACTCAGGAGGCAGAGGTTGCAGTGAGCCAAGATCATGCCACTGCACTCCAGCCTGGGTGACAGGTGAGAGAGACCCTGTCCCAAGGAAAAAAAAAAAAAATCATTGTATTTTAATTGGCAATACCCCAATTAAAGCTACAAGAATGGTTATCATAAAAAAAAAATAGAGAATAACAAGTGCTGTCAAGGATGTGGAGAAACCAGAAGGTAAAATGGTATAGGCAATTTGAAAAAACAGTTTGGCAGTTCTTCAAAAAGTTAAACATAAGAGTTACCATAGACCCAGCAATTCCACTCCTAGGTATATACCCAAGAGAAATGAAAACAAATGTTCACACAAAAACTTGTATAGCAATGTTCACAGCAGCATTACTGACAACAGCCAAAATGTACAAACAACCCAAATGTTCATCAACTGATGAGTAGATAAATAAGATGTGACATAGCCATATAGTAGACTATTATCTGGTAATAAAAACAAATGAAATACTGATACACACACAATATGGATGAACTTCAAAAACTTTATGCTAAATTAACACCAGGTCCAAAAGACCACATATTATATGATATCATTTACACAAAATGTCCACCATAGGCAAATCTAGAGAGACAGAAAGTAAATTAGTGGTTGCCTTAGGCTGAAAAAGCAGGGAAAGGGCATAACTGCTAATGGGTACAAGGTTTTTTTTCTGGAATAATGAAAATGTTCTAAAATTAGATTATCATGATGGTTACACTACCCTGTAAATATACTGAAAACCAATGAATTGTATACTTTAAGTAGGTGATTTTCCTCTTATTTTTTAAATAAGAAAAAGCTTACAATTGTTTGCTTCTCATTTTTCTTCTTCACACAGCAAGGCCTGCAGTAGGGAAGACTTATTTCATCAAGAACAGTATACTATGGTTTTTCTTTGATTTAGAATACTGTCTTTCTAGCACCCTACTTTTAGCAGTAAAAGAAAATAAAGTTAGGAATTTCTAACATTTAGAAAATAATCATTAATAAATTAAAGGACAAAGTGAAAAAAAAAAACAAAACCCAGAACTTTAAGCTTACACCTCTAACTCCAAAGCAGGAGGAATTTGCTTGGTCCAGCTCAGCACACCAGACACTACTACACTCTCTGAGCTCTAATAACACTTACCATCATAGTCTTGATCATGGATTGCGGTGCGAACCTCCAGAGATTGCCTCAAGCCAAAGACATGTCAATCTAGCTGAGGTCAGGGTGAACATATATCCAACTTTCAAAGCATACAATCAATGTCCAACCTTCCCAATGTGGTTGTATCAACACACATACCACAAGCGTGAATAACAGCTCCAGTGGCTCTACGTACTCAGTGACAGTGGGTTTTAAAATTCCTGCAAATCTAGTGAGTGTGTAATGACATATCCCCGTGTTTTAATTTGCATCCCCCAATTAAAGTGAGACAATGCCTTTTCTTATGTTTACTGACCACTGGATTCCCTCTTTTGAGAAGTGCCTTCTCAAGTCATTTTCCTACTGGGCTGTCTTCCTTATTTATTGATTTGAAGGAATTCCTCACATATTCTGACAGTTCTATGTGATTATTTATTCTCCCATTCTGTGGCTCATTTTTTCACTCTCTTTATGTCGTCTGTTGATAATGGTTTTAATTTTAATGTAGTCATATTTATCAACCCTTTCCTTTACAGTTAGTGCTTTTTGCCTCTTATTTTAAGAAATTCTTCCCCATTCTGAAACCACAAAGATCTTCGCTTATTGTTTTGCCTTTCACATTGGAAATTTCTATTTTGATTCACATTGGAAAGATCCAATTTCCTTTTTATTTTTCCCATCTGTAAAACTGATTATTGTTAACTAGATTCGTCTCCAGTGTCTAGACTTATATAACCACTAAGAAAAATAGGAACGAATGAGATCCTCCTTTTGTTGAGGATCTACTATGCTACTATGCTGAGTACTTTATATACAGTATACAAATATACAGTAATTCTGCAAAGTACATTATTACTAGTCCCATCTTAAAGAAAATGAAACTAAGGCTAAGAAACACACCCAAGCTGTTAGAAGATAAAGATGGGATCCATGCCTGTCTAATCTAGTGCCCATAATATTTCTGCACACCATACTACTTTAGGTAAGAATGTGATCTCTGGATAAAACAGGAAATATTTTCATTTTGAGGATGTTGCAGTCACTTTACTCTCCAGGTCCACTAGTATAGTGACACTTATTTTTTATTTGGCAGTTCTTTTATTAATTCACTCAACAGGTATTTCTTGAATTCCTACTACCTGCTAGGTACTGTTCCAGGATCCAGGGATGAAATAGTGAGCAAAACAAAATCCCTACCCTCTTGGGGGTTTATAGGCTAATCAGATCAGAAGTGTAGTCTCCCATGTCTATTCTACATTAAGTCTTACACAGTTAGTAAAGGAAACCTTCCTCCAACAGAAGAGTGACAGGACTGCAACATGAAGCACTCTCATGGAACAAGAAGGAACTTAAAGAGCAACTTGGAGAAATACCAGTACTCATATGAAACAACCCCACGAAATAAAGCATCCCATGCCTCTTCCCTTCTCCTGCAGCTTATACCTTCACTCTTCAAAAAAAGCAATATAATTACCTTAACAAAATGAGCATGACTTCTTGTAAACATCTATATACACCTTGTGCTGTTTCTAAACTCTTTTCCTTCTCTATTTAAAAAAGATGCTTTTCAGTGTGTGGCAAGTAACAATAAACTGCTTTTTCATTTCTTTAATACGAACTGGAAGTCTATGCATACTTAGAAAATTGCATACTTAGAAAATTGAAGAATAGGCTGGGCACGGTGGCTCACGCCTGTAATCCCAGCACTTTGAGAAGCCGAGGCGGGTGGATCATGAGGTCAGGAGATCGAGACTATCCTGGCTAACACGGTGAACCCCTGACTCTACTAAAAATACAAAAATTACCTGGGCATGGTGGCACGGGCTTGTAGTCCCAGCTACTTGGGAGGCTGAGGCAGGAGAATCACTTGAACCAGGGGAGGTGGAGGTTGCAGTGAGCCGAGATCGCATCACTGCACTCCAGCCTGGGCGACAGAGCAAGACTCCATCTCGAAAACAAAACAAAAAGAAAAAAAAGAAAAAGAAAATTGAAGAATGCAAGAAGCAGGCAAGAAAAAAAGTTAGTTCTGCAGTACAATATGAAGGCCAAGAACTTCCTTTATTTTCCCACCACCTGCCTGGATCTGTTTTCATCCTTCAGAGAAAGGAAAATCCCTTCCCTGAAGCTCTAGACACCACCCTGTTCCCATATTTACTCTGTAACCTAGAACCTTCAGTTAGACCCCATGTTCTACACCCCTATCTACCATAACAGTCCCATAAGATCAGCACACAAACAGGCTCTCATGTTGCTATCTCAATAGTAAAAGAAAACCCCTTTGTGCCCTCCAAGCACTTCTCCATTTCTCTGCTTCCTCCTCACAGCAAGCCGTCTCATCTCAGAGGCTTGCCTTCATATGGCATTTCCTCATTTCCTCCCCAGTCTGGCTACAGCCTCACCTAACTCACTGGTACTGCTCTTGTCCAGGTCACCAATGACCTTCCAATTGCTAAATCCAATGGTTTGCTCTCTTATCTTACCAGATCCCCTCCATTCTACACAGTAAACTGCCACTTCTCAGAGGATTTTCTTCTCTCAGGTACTGTGACACTACTCTCCTGGTTTTCCTTCTTCCTCTTTAGCCAATCCTGTCTCCTTTGCTGCCTCCTCCAGAATCACAAGCTCTAAAGCTTGGAATTCCTTGGGGTTTGGTGCTGTGTTCTCTTCTTTTTTTCCCATCCACACTGGAATTCTCTTCCTAGGTGATGTCATGCAAACTCATGGCTATAAATATTATCGATACTCATACCTGTAATCCCAGCATTTTGGGAGGCTGAGGTGGAAGTATTGCTTGAGCCCAGGAGCTTGAGACCAGCCTGGACAACACAGTGAGACTTCGTTTCTACAGAAAAAAATTTTTTTAATTAACTGGATGTGGTGGCCTGTATCTGTAGCCCCAGCTACTGGGGAGGCTGAGGTGGGAGGATCACGTGAGTCCAGAAGGTCCAGAGGGCTGCAGTGAGCTATGATTGTATCACTGCACTCCAGCCTGGGCAACAGAGAAAGACCTTGTCTCAAAAAACAAACAAAAAAAAGCACACGCATGTGCATGTGTGTGTGTGAAATCAATGATTAAGAGGACTCAGTCACTGGTGTGTGTGTGTGTGGGGGGGGTATATGTGTGAAATCAATGATTAGGACTCACTCACTGAGCTCCAGACTCACATATCCAACTACTCATTTGGAATTTCCATTTTAATGTTACATGGGCAACCAAAACTTTTTCCTTCTCAACCCAACTCTCCCCAGGTTTCCCCATCTCAATATTACAGGACCAACCTAGTCAAAAACTTAGAAACCACTGTTGATGGCTTCCTCATCCTCACCCTGTCCATGAGCAAGTCCTATTGAGTCTAGCCACCATGAATTTTGAAATCAAACACTTCTCTCCATTTTTCACTGTCATCATCCTAGTCCATGCCACCTAGACTATTGCAGCGACCTCCAAACTGTCTCCCTTTCCGCATTTGGAAGTCCATTCTCCATAGAGCATACAGGCATTTTTTAAAACACAAAGCAAATCATGACACAAACCTACTTAAAACCTTTCAGTAACTGACTAAATAGTAAAATCAAAACTCCTTACTGGGATATACGAGGCCCTGCAAGATCTGGTGTCCCCACTTACCACTTCGGCTTCTTTCCATTCACACTCCCACTGTTGGTTCCTAGTTCACCACAGACTCCAATCTCAGGGCCTCTGCAGGTGCTCTACCCCTCACCCAGCCTTCTCTACACGTGACTGCTTCTTGCCTTCCACAGCTTAGTCTAAAACCAGTACATAAAGATTTTTTTTTTTCTTGCCGTGGCCAGTGAGTACCAAGAAAAAAAAAAGTAGGCCGGGCGTGATGTAATCCCAGCACTTTGGGAGGCCGAGGCAGGCGGATCACCTAAGGTCAGGAGTTCAAGACCAGTCTGGCCAACATGGTGAAACCCCGTCTCTACTAAAAACACAAAAATTGGCCAGGCATGGTGGTGCATGCCTGTAATCCCAGCTACTCAGGAGGCTGAGACAGGGGAAATCGCTTGAACCTGGGAGGCGGAGGTTGCAGCGAGCCAAGATCACACCACTGCACTCCCGCCTGGGTGACAGAATGAGACTCCATCTCAAAACAAACAAACAAAGAAAAAACAAAAATAAAGAAAAAGAAAAAAAGGAAAAAAGAGACTTTTCACTCTATTGAACACATCCCCATCTTATTTTCTAATACATCAGTCAGATTTCCTGCTAGCATTTATCACAATTACTAGATTTTACTTATTTCCTTACTGGTTTATTATCTCCCTACCTTCCTGCAATACAAGCTGTTGTCTTTTTTGGGTAGTATATTAAAGCCGATACATGTTTGTAGAATGAATGGCAGAAAAACAAGTCGAGGATGGAAGAAGGAGGGAGAAGGGGAAACCAAGAACAGAGAACACATTTCCAATCTATACCCAGGCTTCCACCCAGAGTTTTGTAATACAGGTTTTTCCATACTAAGTAAAAGTAGAGGCCGGGTACGGTGGTTCACGCCTGTCATCCCAGCACTTTGGGAGGCTTAGGCGGGCGGATCACCTGAGGTCAGGAGGTTGAGACCAGCCTGGCCAACATGGAGAAACCTTGTCTCTACTAAAAATACAAAAAATTAGCCAGGCATGGTGGTGCGTCCCTGTAATCCTAGCTACATGAGAGGCCGAGGCAGGAGAATTGCTTGAACCCAGGAAGCAGAGGTTGCAGTGAGCTGAGATCGCGCCACTGCACTCCAGCCTGGGCAACAAGAGTGAGACTCCGTCTCAAAAAAAGAAAAAAGAAAGTAGAGGTCCCCTATTGGCTACGTTGAGCCTAACAGTGATATATAATAAACTTAATCTATTCGTAAAGGACATCTCTAACAACAATCTTTTTTACACTCAGTACATTTCTAACGAAAGACCAAATTCAATTATCACTTCTCTACAACTAGTCTTGGGAGTAACTAGTATGTACCTAAATTTGCTGAAGTAAATCTGGAGACAATTTTGCTTAAAACCTGATGTCAAGGAGTGGAAAAGGTAATATGAAACTCAAATGCTTTATGCCTACCCTCATTAGAAAATGTCTCTAGGAAAGCAAAATGTTAAAGCTGGGTGATGTGTAAACTGGGGATGTATTATATTATCTCTACTTCTGTGTTATGTTTAAATTTTTCCATAATAAAGAGTTAAATAAATAAAAGTAAATGCCTCTATGAAGTCAAAAGACAACAAGTATCCATGGGTCACAGACATACTCCTGGCTCAAGTGCACTCTGTTGCCATTTGGAGATTTAATTTAAATCAGTTGATGGTTGCTAACAGTGTCTCCATAAGTCTTATGACCTAAGGCCTTCATCAGGGCCTTTTTGGGAGAATCGGAAGACACAAGGAAGCAGGAGTCCCCTTTCACCTGCTCTGTGTCACAGCCTTCCAGCCCCAGCACCACCAACCCAGCCCCTTTCTATGGGAGTTTCCAATAACCACAGCTCAAAAACAGCAACCGCAGGGAGAAATAAAATCATTTACAAGGGGAAAAGAGAAAAAGCACGCAGAAGGGGAAAATATTAATACATTATTTTTGCTTAAATTCAAACCAACCATTTTCCCCTAGAATTCTGATGAGGTAATATTTCTTCTAAAGCAGCACTTCAAATTCAGGAAGGGATTCATAGAAGACTAAATGCAAAAAGAGCAGAGGCCAGCAACCCCACCCAATAAAGTTTCTTCTCTCAAAGATTCCTCACCGCTCTCTAGAATTCGTCTATGGCATTAAATAAAAAGTGGTTAAGAGGTGAAAATTAAGGCCTCACTTACTAGGTGAAACAAAGAACAGAAGAATCTAAGCTACTCTAGCAGGTGTTTGTTTTCTACTGTAGAAACAGCCTAGCTGGACTGGGTGCGGTGGTTCACACCTGTAATCCCAGTGATTTGGGAGGCCAAGGTGGGCAGATCACTTGAGCCCAGGAGTTGGAGACCAAACTGGGCAACATGGTGAAACCCCATCTCTAGTAAAAACACAAAAATTAGCTGAACATGGTGGCATGCGCCTGCAGTCCCAGCTACTCGGGAGGCTGAGACAGGAGAACTGCTTGGGCCCAGGAGGTAGACGCTGCAGTCAGCCATGATCACACCACTGCACTCCAGCCTGGGCGACAGGGTGAGGTGCTGTCTCAAAAAAAAAAAAAAAAAAAAAAAGCAAACATAAGACCCTGTTTCTATAAAAAACAAACAAACAAATAAATAAACCAGAATGAAGAAGCAAAATACACTATAGACATACAGTGGAATATTATTCAGTCTTTAAAATGAAGGCGATTCTGACACGTGTTACAATGTGGATGAACCTGGATGATACTATGCTAAGTGAAATAAGCCAGTCAGTCACAAAAAGACAAATACATGACTCCACTTCTATGAGGTACCTAAAGTAGTAAATTTCATAGAACTGAAAAACAGAATGCTGGTTACCTGGAGCGGGGTGGAGCGGGAAATGGGAAGTTATTATTTAATGTGTATGGAGTTTAAGTTTTACAAGATGAAAAGAGTGATGGAGACGGACTGTGGTAATGGTTGCACAACACTATGAACATAGTCATACCACTGAACTGTATACTTAAAAGCAGTTAAGATGGTAAGCTTTATGAATGCATTTAATACCACTAAACTATACACTTAAAAATGGTTAAGATGCTAAATTTTATTTTGCCACAATAAAAAATTTAAAAAAGTCATCCCTAATAAATAGCTTATTAATAACTTCATATCATAAATCATGTAGTTACCAAGTATGTTTAGATTTTGGTGTCCTTGTTCATAAAGTGAGAAGAGGAAAAAAAGAGGAGCAACCCGACCTTTAAATGACAGCAGGGTCCTGAGTAACAGATGACTCTAATCAGATCAGGAGAGGTCAATGTGATCCTTTATGTGACAGAGATCTAATCTGGGACATGGTTGGGCCTAAACACAGATTTACTGAACTCAAGGAAATGAACACTTAATCACACTAAGAGATCAGGGCCACAGTGAAGATATGTTTCCTGTCTTGTTCCATTTCTAGAGGCTGAGTTCAGTTTTGTGGTTCAACACATGGATATGACTAGGCTAAACTGGGATTTAATTCTTAGCTTTCTTATATTTCAGTCATGGTCTAAGATCTCACTCTGTGTTATTATTTGGTGGCACAACCCAAACTACTCAGTTTAATTTGTTCTACATCTAAATTTATCTCCATACATGAATTAAATAAATACCATCTGTGCTGGATAGTGTATGCTGGTACTTAGTCCCACATCTACCCTTCCAGACTCTCCCTGCATCATCAGGCCTGAAATCTACATTTCCAAACCCCCCGTCAGCTGTGCTCCCATTAGGCTCTGGCAGCAGCACTGGCAGGAGTACAGGTTCCTGCTTGGTTGCAGCGAACTCCAGTAGCATCAGTGAGAAATGCGGGTTTGTGGGCTCTGGTTTGTAGGCACCTTCTCCCTTTTGTTCCTACAGCCCTTTCTTTTTGTAAACAATTCCTAGAATTACATCCCTCTTGAATGAAACACCTGGAGTGGTTTCCTGACTAGACACTCGCTAATAGCCCTCCAAATTCAAAATTTATATAACTCATGGGCCAGGGTAGGGAGCTATGCTATGAAATACTCATTCATCCATTCATTCAACAAATTCTTAGTGAGCAACTACTATGGACCAGATGCTGTTCTAGGTACTGCAGATATAGTAGGAAACAACACAGACAAAAATCCTTGTCCTCAAGGAGCTTACATTCTAGTGAAGGAGAGGCAATACTCAGGATAAATAAATAAAACACATAGTGTGTAACACAAGTGCTAAGGAGAAAAAAAATTAATCAGGGGCAGGGATATGAAATGTTGGAGAAGGGTTGAAATTTTAGATACGTCAACTGTCTGCGTGTCACAGTCGGGTGGTGTGCTTGCTTCCAAGTCTGGAGGTGGGTGGTTAGAGCCTGTTCTATGAAATTTTAGATACGCAGGTCACTGAGATGATTTTGGGGGAAAAAACCCCAAAGAGGTAAGGGAGCTAGTTACTCACATAACTGTAGGAAGAGCATTCCAGGCGAGGGAAGATATGTCCAAGAGTCCTAAGGAGGAAGTCTCCTTGGCATGTTCCTATGTGGAACAGAACAGGCAATGGCGAGGATATCTGAGAGATGGGGAGGGCCGGCCATGAGAGCCTTGTTGGCTATGATAAAGGCTTTAGCCACTGCAGTAAATTCTGAGCAGAGTAACATCATCTGACTCACTTGCTAACAGGGTCGTTGTGTGTCAACAACAGACTGCAAGGGGCAAAGGGAGAAGTAACAGGGAAGACAGCTAAGAGGCTCCCGAAATAATCCAAGTCAAACTGAATGATCGCTGGGACCAATGTGCTAGCACTACTTAGAGGGTGCTAAGCAAATTCTGAATATATTTTGAACTCCCATCTGGGCCTTAAAAAGTCAGGGGCCGGTCCAACAATCTCGCTGGAAATCATACAACAGAAACTTCGAAGGGACTCCTACCAGGTGTAAGAATATAACGAATATTATAGAATTATTTAATTATCTTTGTCTAAAGCCATTATATTGTTTATGTTTTGATATTTAACCAAATATAAGAATATAAAGGCTTTGGCCATTATATATAAGAATATAAAGTATACAATGACTTTAGCCAAAAATAAATAATTGCAAATTAACATTCTCCAATAGTTATTATAGGGGAAAACTAATTTATAACATGCCAGGTTATAAAACTTTTAATATTTTTATATAAGTATTATAGAAACAGTACAGAAATATGTAAGTACCTATTAATCCAGTTTTTATTAAACTGGTCAAGTTACAGAAAAAACATGACCTTCTTAACTGTATTTTCAAGAGGATAATTATCAAAATGTAAATTTTCTAGACAGCCAATGAAGAAAGAAATTTAGAACTAGAAAAAATCTGGGAGTCCCATTCCCTTCATTTTTGGACTAAGGTAACAAAGCCCAGATATATAAATGAAGCCTGGTCATTCTTCAAGCATCAAAACATATTTCAGGCTGGGTGCAGTGGCTCACGCCTGTATCCTAACACTTTGGGAGGCTGAGGTGGAGGGATCACTTTAATTCAGGAATTTGAGACCAGCCTGGGCAATGTTGGGAGACTTTGTCTCTACAAAAAATTTTAAAAATTTAAAAATTAGCCAGGCATGGTGGCACACGCTTATGGTCCCAGCTACTTGGGAAGCTGAGGTGAGAGGTCACTTGCGCCCAGGAGGTAGATGATTCAGTGAGCCATGATTGTGCCACTGCACTCCAGCCTGGGTGACAGAGTGAACCCCGTCTTAAAAAAAGAAAAAAAAAGAAATTCAACACTGTGATGGAAATATTTCTAGAATATATTTTTACTTCCCTATCTTCTTAAAACAGAGACTCCTAAACATACTTCATCTTTGCCTTGGTAACTCTAGCCTCTCTAAAGAGCAACTATACCCAGCCCAGGTGTGATGCTGGACTTTGCTGACTGCTGCCTCCACTATGCAGCCCTAACAATCTCTACTCATCTTGCTCCCAGCTGATGGTGTCTGATCTACACGGAAGGCTGGAAAACAGTTAAGAACCATACATCAGCTTTGGTGCGGGAGCTTTATAACAATTATTGTCAGCACTTGAAAACTGATTTTGCTTTCTCTCAGTGTTGGGCTGTGTTTTGAAGAGCTAATATTGCGTGCAAATGGATGGGTTAAGTGATGTAAGCACATTGCTTCAGAAAAAGTTCTACCCCCAAATGCAACTGATCACTTTACAGAAAGTGTAGTTTTAAATTATTAAAAGCAAAATTAATTATCTGAAAAAATATTAACACCATAAACATCACTACATGAAAACACAAACTGCCACAGTAATGCTTATGTCTCAAGTAACAGCTTACAAGTATCAACAGTAAAGTAATAAGCTGTAATAAAAAGGCACTTCATCTCTTCAAAACCTGCTATCCCACCAAAATTCTCCAGTAAGTTAACATGAACTAAATTTTTGGTCCCTTTCCTAGCATTCTACCAAAATCAGTTTAATTTTTAAAATAATAAAAATATTTTATTGTACTAGAAAGGAAAGATTCTAAAAACACACAAAACCATAAGTCAAGACAGCAAACGACTCACACGTAGCCACTCAGTGAGGACAGTAAGTCTTCCTTAGCAATTAAAGAGCAAATAGAGGAACTCAACAGAGAATACAAAGTAAAAAGGCTGAGGCCCTTTAAGGATAGCTGGAATTCCTACCAAGCTGCATGTTCATGGCCACAAGTTAACAGAGTTTACCCTCCCTCCCTGTGCCCCCACAGCTGCTCACTGCAGTTACAGGTAGGTCCCTGTGGGGCTGCCTACAGTCCTAGATATAACAGCCCAGAGATCTGTGTGGTTGGTTCTTAGCCGCACTCTCAAAAAGGAAGAGCTGGCAAGAACCTCAACAAAATTAAATAATAGCTTAAGAAGGAGGCAGCGCTAAAGATAAAGGTTTGAGAAGGGATTTTTTTTCTTCCTTTAGAGACAGGGTTTTGCCCTGTCCCTGGAGAGGCTGGAGTAAGATGGTGCAATCACGGCTTACTGCAGCCTCGACCTCCTGGGTTCAGCCTCCCAAGTAGCTAAGACTACACAATCGTGCCACCGCACCTGGCTAATTTTTCAATTTTTTGTAGAGATGGGGTCTCGCTAGGTTGCCCAGGCTGGTCTCAAACTCCTCGTCTCAACTAATCCTCCCTCCTTGGCCTCCCAAAGTGCTAGGATTATAGGCATGACCCACCATGCCCAACAGGGAAGGGAATTCAAAAGAAAATTTCAGGGTTACTTTCTTATTTTACACTAGATGTTTCCTCTATTAAGACCTGAAATTTTTAGCTTATTAAAAATTCTTACACTAATAATACAATATAGAAGTATTCACAAATCACTAACTCACTGCCATTTACTCCTACAAAAAATCCTTTCTCAAAACAAAACTCTACAAATGTTAGCCCATTCCCCCACCCCCGTTAAAACACCTTCCATAGTAGACGCTTTACACTTTTTTGACAACACTTAAACACAAGTTCTGTATCATTTCCTATCCTGATTATAAGCTTCTCTAGGCCAGGGAACTTACTCAATTTTGCATTCCCTAAACCCCTGGCACCACTGCTTCATGTCACAGCTACTTAGTGTCTGCTAAATGAATTACTATGGTATCAGATCATGGCACCTCCAGTTCACTAATGAGAAAATTCAACTTTTTAACACAGCAATAACATTTCTGCCTCCAGGAATACTGTCATTTTCACAGGAGAAGGAAATTCAGTGATTCAGTGCCTACCATCTGCCCCAGAGGTCAGCTATTTCTGACAAGTCCTAGTGTGCACATGGGCCAATCAGGCTGCAGCTGCCTTTTTTCACAGGCATGGATGGAAGAATGAGAAAGGTCACTAAAGCAGAGTCCGTATGTAAATTCGTTAGGCATCATCCACAGGAAATTTGCTTCCTCTTAAAATCCTGTGAAATTAAAACATGCCTTTAAGCCATTGTTTCTTCCCCCTGTTCTTTAACCCATTTATGCTGGAGGTTGCAAATTTTTTTGTGTGAAAACTCAGACCTTGGTGATGACCTTGAGCACTATGATATAAATAACTCCCACAAGCTTAGCGTTCCAGTAATGGAACAGTAGGCATAAATGGGTTAAACTTTGGATAGTCCAACTTGCCAGGTTACCCCATTGTTTACAAAGCCTTTCACAGTACAAAAAACTTGATTAACCCTAATTGCCTGCTGACGTCTACGGTTGTTTCTTTTTCTCAGACCACTCTTTTTGAGACAGGGTCTTGCTCTGTCATCCAGGGTGGAGTGCAGTGGCTCGAACACAGCTCACTTGGAGGCAGATTCAAGTGATCTTCCTGCCTCAACCACCTGAGTAGCTGAGACTACAGGTGCACACCACCACACTCAACTAATTTTTGTATTTTTTGTAGAGACAGGGTTTTGTCATGTTGCCCATGCTGGTCTCGAACTCCTGGGCTCAAGCAATCCACCTGCCTTGGCCTCCCAAAATGCTGGGATTACAGGCATGAGCCACCATGCCTCGCTTTCAGACCACTTCTTGAAGTCACCTTAGTTCCATAAAACTTGTGTGTTGACATACAGTGTGATACTGTTTCTTTGCCACAAATTCAACTCTACAAGTCACATCTCTTTGTCTGCCTTCATGGGTCAAAACTACTTACTAGCTGGGCATGGTGGCACATGCTTGTACCACTAGTCCCAGCTACTCGGGAGGCTGAGATGGGAAAACAGCTTGAGTCCAGGAGTTGGAGGCTGTAATGTGCTATCATGATCATACCTGTGTATGGTCACTGCATTCCAGTCTGGGTGACATAGCAAGACCCCATCTTAAAAAAAAATTACCTGCTAGAACACAGAATAAATGGCAGAAAGAAGGCCATAGCAGAGCAAACACAACTCAGAAACGCCCAGTCTAGCACTCGTGGCTGGGAACCCTTGCAGGGAAGTGCACAAGTACTCTCAGAGGGGACCTGCCTGCCTGTCACTGGCTTGGTGTGAACACTCTCTGAGCAAGTCACAAGAGTTATGGGCTAGGCCGGGCGCGGTAGCTCATGCCTATAATCCCAGCACTTTGGGAGGCCAAGACAGGCAGATCACAAGGTCAGGAGCTTGAGAAGATCCTGACTAACACGGTGAAACCCCGTCTCTTCTAAAAATACAAAAAAATTAGCCAGGCATGGTGGCGGGCGCCTGTAGTCCCAGCTACTCGGGAGGCTGAGGCAGGAGAATGGCATGAACCCGGGAGGCGGAGCTTGCAGTGAGCCGAGATGCACCACTGCACTCCAGCCTGGGCGACAGAGCGAGACTCCGTCTCAAAAAAAAAAAAAAAAAAAAAAAGTCATGGGCTAGAAATGTACTACCATGGGGGAGAAAAAGAATAGACTACCACAAATTGTCACACTTTTTAGGAAAATATTTTACAGAAAATGGCAGTATGCAGAGCGTTATTGAAGGGTTATAAATATATTCTCTGAGGGGTATTCTGAAGTTCTTTTAATGAAGGATAATAACTAAGAGCTTGGGCTACAAAGGCATATACAACACTGTAAGATTCAACTACAGAATGCTTCAAGATTCCAAACTCAGTTTCTTTAGAAATTCTGCGCCAGAACAGGAGCAGCATTTTTAAAATTCCTTACCAAGTAGCCCAGGTAAAAACCAACTTTTAAAAACTTAGCTATATTTCTGCCAATGTACAAAAGAATACCACCCAAATACAGAAATTGATACAATTTGTTAATCCTTGCTGCTGCAATTTTCTCAAAACGAAAATACAAAAGCAAAGTATCTGAATTCATAACAAGCAGCATACATTCAGGCCTTAGGCTTCAAAAGCATGGTCAACACCTCAGTAGTCTGAAGACATCTTCAGATGCTTTAGTCTCCCAAGACTCAGCTGGGGATTCTGCCTATGCCATCCCCTCTGCAACATGTGGTGGGTGGAGGGTGGGGAGAATGGGGGTGGTAGAAGGCCTCTCCACGACTCTCTACCTCCAACTCCTCTTACTCCACTGCACCCAGTTCCTCTACCCTTGGCATCTTGGGGGCAGGGAGGCTGGAGAACAGTCTACCCCCACAAATACACTAACTTAGAAAAAAAAACACTTTTAAGTGTTTAGTATTAGAAATACTAACTTAGAAAAAAAAACCAGTTTAAATATTAGAAAACTTTTCTTAATCCAAGCAAATTCAATTATCATTAGTCTATGGTACTGTTTGCAGCAGCAAAAAAAAACCCAAAATATAAATAAATATGGAAACAAATAAATATGGTGCATCCATGCAATAAACTACTAGGCAACCATTAAAAGAATGCAGCAGATCTATGTGTACTTGGATATATCCAAGATATTTTCAGTGAAAAGAGCGAAGTGCAAAACAATGTCTAAAATATATCACCATTTGAGTTTTTTTAATATGGATGCGGAAATATATGATTTACACACATAGAATGTTTCTATAAAAATACAAAAGAAACTGGGAATAATAGTGGCCTACAGAAGGGACTGAGGAACTAGGGGTTTCAGTAAAAAGGAATACACTCTTTTTTGATATTCAAAAAAAAATTTTACTATGTATGTGTATCCCTGTTTAAAATGTTTTAAAGGCGTACTTAAGTCTGTGATGATGATTTTAAAAAATAAAGCAACAGAAGAAAAAGTAATGCCTATTAAAAGCAATCTCATTTTTCTTAACTATTTCTAAAGTCTTTGTGGCACAATTTGAATTCAGTAAAACAGGGGAGACTGGAGGGATTGGGAGTTTGGAGAGGTCCCTTTCACCCTCCTCCTTTAAAATTACAGTAACTTTCAACTGGCCATAATGCAAAAAAAAAAAAAAAAAAAAAAATCTACTTGCTTCTCCAACAAAAATATTTGGCTCCATTGTAACCAACATTTAAAAGATACAAATACATTAGCAAGTCTGTGACTAAAGTTCAATTACATTTTATATGCTAATATGAAATGCTAATCATATTTTTTATGAGTCAACAGTTTTACATAAGATTATTTTGTTTCTAAACTAACAACTTTAGAATTACTGAAGCATCCAAATTACCTAAACTCACTCCAGTCAAGCATCAGTTCAGTAAAAAACTAAAGGGTTTTCCCCCATAGCTTCAAAATTCCCAATCTTCTCCATTTCCAAGCATGATGCGGGGCAGGGGCAAGGGAGATGGCAGGCAAAGCCTAAGCCTGTCCAACCCTCTTCAGACTCTGTAGATGGCTCCTCCTGGTTTCAGGGATCCCAACTCCTCATATAGATACAGCCATCATCAGCAATCCCACATTAAGTGCATTGATTCCATTAACAACAGTGGGAGGCAAGTGGCTCCACTGGCTTGGATTCTGAAGCTCAACCTGTGGCCCATGCACCTGCGAATAACAACAGGCTCTCTCATCAGTCACACAGGGCAAAGGAAGTGGAGCTGCCCCACCCCACACCCACACAGAACCAGACTGCTGATTGCCTCTTTGTAACTACTGCCACAAAAAGTAAAGCAAATGCCCTGCAATTGGATTTTTACTAATGGAAATGCATTTGTCGAGAATCCAAAGATGCTCAGTTATCTCGGAAAAAAAGTTATAACATGATCTTCAAAAATGAAGATGAGGAAAGGCATTTTGCCAACTTAAAACATTCATCAAAATAGATATTTAAAGCAGCAAAATATGACAAAATACTAGTTTCTCATTTTTTAAAAACCTGAACATTCAGAACTAAAACTATAACACTGTAAAAAAAAAAAAGTGTCCAGGGATAGGAAAAAAATATTTCTTAATCATGTATAAATTGGTTATTTATTCATACCTCCATTTACATACACATATTTGCCAGGTGCTCAGTACCAGGATGCCATGGTGATTAAAAGACAGACACAGTCCCTACCTTCAGAGCTTACAATAGTAAATGAACACAAGGAATAATGCATTGGTGTATAGTTTATCTCTCCCACAAGGGACAATTAGGAAAAACATCCTGGGAGTAGGTTCACAGGTTTTAATATTCTCTATAGAGTGGCTTTAAAGCATTTTATGATAAATTAAAATTAAAATATTAAAATGAGCTAAAAATAGAATATTTCTTATAGTGAAAAGTGTCACTAAGAAAATCAATGGTGAGAAAAAAGTGCCTCTGGAATGGAGGTAAGGATGTCTAGGGAAGGCTTTGCTGAGCTGAACCCTCCATGATCAAAAGGAACTAAATGTAACAAACTTGATGTCCAGCCAGCTGGATACAATGGCTCATGCCTGTAATCCCAGCACTTTCAGAGCCCAAGGCGAGTGGAATGTTTGAGGTCAGGGGTTCAAGACCAGCCTGGACAACATGGCAAAACCCTATCTCTACTAAAAATATAAAAGGTAGCTGAGCATGGTGGTACATGCCTATGGTTCCAGCTACTTGGGAGGCTGATGTGGGAGGATCTCTTGAGCCCAGGAGGCGGAGGCTGCAGTGAGCCGGGATCACACCCCTGCACTCCAGCCTGGGTGACAGAGCGAGACCCTGTCTCAGAAAAATAAAAATAAATAAAAATTGATATCCTTGGGATGGACAGAAGACCCATATGGGAAAGCAAGTGGAAAAGTGGTAGAGGTGGGCAGGGAACAAGAAACAAAGTATTGTAGGCCACACAAGAAGTTTGGATTTTATTCTAATTACGATGGAAAGCCACTGGCAGCCTCTAAGCCTGGAAATGACAAGATGAGATCTCATTAAACATAATCATTTCTTGTTTAGAACATAATACATTTTCAAATAGGAATAACATTATAAGTGGATATGTTGCAGTATTGCTTCCATGCATTCATTCAGCTATAATTTATTTAGTGTCTACTCTGTGCTAGGTTGTGTGCAAGGTACTAACTAGGAATAAAACAGCATCTCTGACCTTGAGTTCACAGTTTAGTAGAGATGAGAAACACTGAACAAACAATCACAATTGTAATATTTACAACAGTGGAATATGTGGAATGCTGTGAGTGCCCAGAGCAAAGGGTGGTTAATGCAACCTGAGGGAGTCCAGGAGGGAAGGCTTCACAGAAGCCCTGGGCCTTAAAGGACAAACAGGGATTTCTTTAGCAGAACATTCCCCCCACACCTAAGCCTCTGATAGAATACAAGAAAATTTGGGGCCTACCAAAGACTCTGCCTTTTGAAGTATTTATGGGCCAGGTGCAAGAGCTCATGCCTATAATCCCAGTGCTCTGGGAAGCTGAGGTAGGAGGATCGTTTGAGGCCAGGAGTTTGAGACCAGCCTGGGCAACAGAGCAAGACCCTGCTTCTACAAAATTTTTTAATAAAATTTGCTTTTTTTTTTTTGAGATGGAGTCTTGCTCTGTCGCCCAGGCTGGAGTGCAGTGGCGCAATCTCGGCTCACTGCAGTCTCCGCCTCCCAGGTTCCGGCAATTCTCCTGCCTCAGCCTCCCAAGTAGCTGGGATTACAGGCACACATCACCACGCCCAGCTAACTTTTGTATTTTTAGTAGAGACGGGGTTTCACCATGTTGGCCAGGCTGGTCTCAAATGCCTGACCTCAAGTGATCCACCCGCCTCGGCCTCCCAAAGTGCTGGGACTGCAGGTGTGAGCCGCCGCGCCCGGCCCAACATTTTTTTAATACTAACTTTTTTTGCAGCCATTTTTACCCCCCTCAACTACAAGCTTTTATCAAAATTTTGAAAGAGATTTTGAAAAAATTCCAAATACTCTCTACTTAGATTCAAAAATTTTAAATTTCCTAATTATCTTTCTATATACACAAAGATTTATACACACACACGTATTTTATGAGCCATCTGAAAATGCTGAGGATATCATACCTCACCCTCTAAACTCTTCAGCTTGCATCTCCCAAGAATAAGCACATTCTCCTTTATGTATAACTACAATGCCATTATCACACCAAAAAAGACAAAAAAAAAAAAAAAATCACCCTGGCGCAGTGGCTCACGCCTGTAATCCCAGCAGTTTGAGAGGCCAAGGCAGGCGGGTCACCTGAGGTCAGGAGCTCGAGACCAGCCTGATCAACATGGAGAAACCCTGTCTCTACTAAAAATAAAAAAATTAGCGGGGTGTGGTGGCGCATGCCTGTAATCCCAGCTACTTGGGAGGCTGAGGCAGGAGAACTGCTTGAACCCAGGAGGCGGAGGTTGCGGTGAGCCGAGATGGCGCCATTGCACTCCAGCCTGGGCAACAAGAGCAAAACTCTGTCTCCAAAAAAAAAAAAAAAAAAAAAAAAATCAACAATTCCTTAATATCATCTATTATCAGGTACTTCTTTTTAAATACAAAGGACTTTGTTGAAATTTTATTGAAGGAATGTGTTTTAATAAACTGGTTAGATTTATTACTTGCATTGCATTTTGACATTTTTAAAATGTAATAATACTTTATAAAATTTAAGTTAAGGAATCTTTCCTTGGCAAGATTCATCACTGGCACGGGCATGGTAGCTCATGCGTATAATCCCAACACTGTGGGAGGCCCAGGCGGGCAGATCACTTGAGGTCAGGAGTTTGAGACCAGCCTGACCAACATGGTGAAATCCCATCTCTACTAAAAATACAAAAATTAGCTGGGTGTGGTGGTGCGTGCCTGTCTATAATCCCAGTTGCTCAGGAGGCTGAGGCAGGAGAATCACTTGAACCAGGAGGCGGAGGTTGCAGTGAGCCAAGATCGCACCACTGTACTCCAGCCTGGGTGACAACAGTCTGTTTCAAAAAATAAATAAATTAATTAATTAAAAATAAATTTAAAAAATAAATAAAAATTAAAAACATATTAAAAGAATAATTGTGGGCCAGGCATAGTGGCTCATGCCTATAAACCCAGCATTTTGGGAGGCTGAGGCGGGCAGATCACTTGAGATCACGAGTTCGAGACCAGCTTGGCCAACACGGAGAAACCCCCATCGCTACTAAAAATATAAAAAATTAGCCAGGCGTGGTGGCACGTGCCTGTAATCCCAGCTACTTGGGAGGCTGAGGCAGGAAAACTGCTTGAACCCTGGAGGCAGAGGCTGCAATGAGCCAAGATCGAGCCACTGCACTCCAGTCTGGGCGACAGAGCGAGACTCTGTCTCAAAATAATGATAATAATAATTTTGGTAATCAAATATACCAAAAAGTGTGACAGCGGTCCATGTGAGACTGACATTTTGGGAGCACTGCCTTAGCAGAACAACACCCTAAGCGGATGGAACATGGCAGGAAAGGATTTACAGGAGAGTGGGTTGGTGAGGCTGCAGAGGCCATGAGAGAAGGGAATAAGCTGGACAAATGGACTGGGCCTGAGTGCTTCAAGGATTCCGCATGCCTTCCTGAGGAGTTTGGACTTTACCCGGCCAAATGTGGGATTTTATGTGACTAAAATCAAGTTTGTTTAGAAAGCTCTACTTGGCCTCAGTGCTTCAAGGATTCCGCATGCCTTCCTGAGGAGTTTGGACTTTACCCGGCCAAATGTGGGATTTTATGTGACTAAAATCAAGTTTGTTTAGAAAGCTCTACTTGGCCTCAGTGTAGCTGGATGGATGGGAGAGGTGGGGAAGGTAGGGAGACCATTTGGAAGCAACAGAACAAGGTTTGTATTTTTCACTGCTAATATGTAACATTTTAGTTTTATGGGTTGAATAAGCCTACTACATTGATAAATGAACAAAACAAAAACAGTAAAACTAAACAAAGTTTATCTTGAAAATGTTCATGTTGGTAGAATAGCAACTTTCAAAAGAGTCAGCAGAGACTTAAGTAAATTTTTTTTAAATGGAGTCTCACTCTGTTGCCCAGGCTGGAGTGCAGTGGTGCCATCTCATCTCACTGAAACCCCCACTTGCCAGGTTCAAGTGATTCTCCTGCCTCAGCCTCCCCAGTAGCTGGGATTACAGGCACATGTCACCACGCCCAGCTAATTTTTTATTAAAATTGATGGGGTTTCACTATTTTGGCCAGGCTGGTCTCAAACTCCTGGCCTCAAGTGATCCGCCCACCTCAGCCTCCCAAAATACTGGGATTACAGGCGTGAGCAACCGCACCCGGCCAGAGACGTAAGTAAATTTTGAAAGGAGCCCTTCAGCATTTTTGACAGTCTCAGCATTTGATGAAGCTCTTTTTAATATCTAGTTTCACTTTCCAAGGTGTCTTTCCTTTTCCTTGGCAAGGTTCATCACTGGCACTAGTTTTACATTTATCAGTCACAATCAAAATTTAAATTTCCAAAGGAAGGAAGTGGGGTACAGAATAGATAAAATGGTTTAAAACATAGAGCATGCCCTCAAAGCAGTGCTGACAGCAACTCTGAGGAGCTCCATTTATGCAGAATCCACTGGGAAGGCTGCCCCAAGAGCCAGCCGCCAGTCCTGCCTGGGAGGAGAGGGAAGCAGAGAATGTCCAGCTATCCTGCCGTGGGACAGGATGCTGGCCCTTCACCCCTACTCCACTAGGAGGACTCTCATTTTATTTTACTTATCGGGCTTCCTAGAAAGATTTCATTTGAACAAAGGGTTCCACAACTTTAAAAACACTTGAAAACCAAGGAGTCAGAACTGTACGTTCTAACTCCAAGGCTGGCAATTGAAGAATAAGACCTCAAGTCCCACAGGAAAGCTCCCAGTGGACAAAACAAACACCATCGCTGAGGAGCAATGTAAAGAAAGAGACCTGGGCAAACAGGCCCACTAGAGGACTGGCGTCTTTGGGGTAGAAGGAGAAATTCTATTTTGGACCTGTGGATTCTGAGATGCCAGTGTGGCACCCAACTTGGAAGCCCAACGGGCAGGGATGTAGGGGTCTTAGAGGAGCACAGGAGCTAGACAAACTCTAAATGTGGACAACTTCATTGAGAGAGATGTAAATAGAAAGAAGGGAAGGTCTTAAAAGGTTACAGAAGGCAAAGACAGAAAGGTCTGCCTCAAGACAGGTCTTTCTGGAGAACCTGAATTCTCCTCCAAGGTAGTCTATATCCAGGAGCAGAGAGAGGCACTGGCTGGAAGGCTGCAGGTGGCTTACGGGGCCACAGAAGGGAAAGAGGGAAAGAACAAAGTGGATTGGCTAGGGAGCAGCTCAAAGATTAGACAGTGGGTCCAGGCCTGATGGGGCTGGGACTCTGGGAGAAAATGAAGGTCACAATGAGATAAAAGACGAGGCATAGGGAGAACAGGGAATCCTCTGAAGGAGGCTGTAGAGAACCCAACATTTCACCAGCACACTATTCCGGAAAGCACTCCTGTCAGACAAAGTCAATAGAAAGCCAAAAACAGGAGTAAAAGTCAATGGCTAGGAGAGGAGCTAGGGTGAGGGCAGTTGTGTCTTACCGCCCTGACTGGCTGCGGGATCATGCAGCCCTCCTCAAGCACTTGCTGCAGAAAAGGAAGACTCTCCCTAGAAGGGGAGGCCAGAAGAGACCACCCAGCCCTCTGCTTCCCTTGTCATAGCCATTCCTGAGAATGGAGCCTGACAACAAAGAAAGTCATTTGAAGCTCTTCTCTGTTGATTGAGGAGCCCAATTGAATACTTACAGGAAAACTGGGTACAGATAATGCCTAGGAGAAGATCTAAGCCTGTTTCCCAATTTGCATATGGTGTTATTCATATTAACGATAAAGAAAACTACGTATTTTTAAGTGCAACTATAACTTGATTGAGGACTGGAAAGCCAACATTAAAAGAGAAATAAAATTAAATTAATATTAATTACATTAAGAGATCAAGGGATTCAGATGTTTTAATACCATCATAAACACCTATAACAACAATAATACACCCGAAGTTTCTCAAATTTCTATCTTTAGCTAGACCACCCAACCCTGCTCATTTTGCTCAATGATAAAAATGAAAACCAGGCTGGGCATAGTGGCTCATGCCTGTAATCCCAGCACTTTGGGAAGCTGAGGCTAGAGAATCACTTGAGGCCAGAAGTTTTGAGACCAGGTTGGACAACACTGAGAGACCCCATCTCTACAAAAAATGTTTTAAAGGCCCGGCGCAGTGGCTCACACCTGTAATCTCAGCACTTTAGGAGGCCAAGGCGGATGGATCGCCTGAGGTCAGGGGTTCAAGACCAGCCTGGCCAACATGATGAAACCCTGTCTCTACCAAAAAATACAAAAAATTAGCCAGGCATGGTGGCAGGCACCTGTAATCCCAGCTACTCGGGAGGCTGAGGTAGTAGAATCACTTGAAACCAGGAGGCGGAGGTGGCCAAGATTGCACCGCTGCACTCCAGCCTGGGCAACAAGAGCAAAACTTTGTCTCAAAAAAAAAATGTTTTAAAAAATTAGCCAGGTGCTGGGGCATGCACCTGTAGTCCTAGCTACTCAGGAGGCTGAGGCAGGAGAAGTGCTTGAGCCCAGGCACTCCAGTTTAGACAACTGTCTCCTACCCTGTATCTCCTCCCCTAACCATTGACTTTTACTACCGTGGCTCTATGCTCTATTAGACAACATCATGCCAAAGAAACTGATACTTTCTCAGAAAAGCCTTACTAACTCTAGGAAACAACTAACCATTCTTAAGAATTGAATAGTAACACAACGCACAATAAAAATCAGGCTTCATGACATTTACTGTCTATTCTTCAATGGTTTCCAGAAAGTCAAAAACATCCTTGCCATGAAGAAAGGACAGTAATTAAGAGATGGCCTCCCCCCGGTAACAAACAGTATTAGGAAACTCATCCCACATTTACTACATTAATACAGCCATTAAAAATAATAATGGAGGAAAATATAACTCTTTAACCATTCTGAAAGTACATACCTGCTCAACTCTCTATTACCCTTAACTGTCAAACCTGCTTTCTCTCCAACCAGGATTGGACATCTATATTTCACAAATACAGAATTAAAGTGATACAGCAAATCTAAAATACAAAGCATTAATTAGGTGGTATCATTATTATGTAAGTCATTAAGCCTTTTTAAACACGTACTAGTTTTCTATCAATACAGAAACAAGAGTGAAATATGGCAAAACCTCAACTAACCAGAACAGCTGGGGATTGAGTCACTGAATATGCCTTTCAGATAGGTGAAGGCTTATTTACAATTCTGAACACACATATTTTTTTGGTTAACTGTTCTGGACGACATGCTTTGACACAGGCCCACACCACGAATGTCAGTGATCACACAGTAAGATGGCATCCTGAGACCCAAAAGGCCTTACTCCTTACTCAATGTTACCCTGGACTCCTGCAACCTTTGCTTTTATGTTCTCCTTGTCTTCCACCCTGCTGTCACAATCTGCTCTGTTTCTTTTGTTCGAATAAGCAAGTGTGCCCAAACTGTATCTAAGGACAAGGTACCTGGTTCTCTAGGCTCTGCTGGGCACATACGGAGTTCTTCCAAGGGAGGTAAACAAATCCTAGCAAACAGTATTCTGTGACCTGACCTCCACTTTACCTGCTGTGGAAGTCTTTCAAATAATTTACTTCCTCAAAAAAAATTCTGACACATGCTACAACATGGATGAACCTTAAAGACATTATGTTAAGTGAATTAAGGCAATCACAAAAGGATAAATACTGTATGATTCCACTTAGATGAAGTACCTAGAATAGTCAAAATCATAAAGACAGAAAGTAGAACAGTGGTTGTCTAGGGTGGGAGGAGGGGAGTTGGGGAATCCCTGTTTCATGGGTACAGAGTTCCAGTCTGGGAAGATTAAAAAAGTTCTAGAGATGGATGGTGGTAATGGTTACACAACAATGTCAATGTACTTAATGCCACTGACCTGTACGTGTAAAAGTGGTTAAAATGGTACAATTCATGCTATATGTATATAACTTACCACAACCATACGTTTACAGAGTCTCTCTCTGTTGCCCAAGCTGGAGTGCAGTGATGTCATCTCAGCTCACTGCAACCCCCACCTCCTGGGTTCAAGCAATTCTCCTGCCTCAGCTTCCCAAGCAGCTGGGACTACAGGTGTCCGCCACCACACCTGGCTAATTTTGGTATACTTTTTTTTTATTTGATTTCATTTAAGTTCCAGGATACATGTGCAGGATGCGCAGGTTTGTTACATATAAACATTTTTAATAATAAAAATTTATATCCTCATTATATATCACTATGTTCTAGACAGGCAATATGCTAAGTGCATTGGTGTGATCACCATCTAACCACTCCAAGAGGGTTATTTTATGACGCAAGTCAAAATGAGACCAAAAGGTATCTTAAAGTTACAATTCAAAATTACCATATACTATTTTTAACACAGAAAAAGCATATTTTAGAAGAACCGATCCTTAAGAAAGAACACTAGAAAAAACTGAGAGACAGGAAAGCACTCTAGTCTGGGGAGCAAATTAATGTGAACAGAAATGAAGAACCAGTGGCAGCCCATGGGCAGCCTTACTACTGAGCAAATATTCCATAGTAGCCACCTCAAATGCTTTTTTAAAAACTCTTCAGGGTATAAAAAATAATAATTTGGAATTCAAATCTGAGT